>NC_000008.11:11625382-11929863 GCF_000001405.40 Homo sapiens | reverse complement strand
ATTTTCATTGCATTGTATTTTTTCTGAAAAGAGTAGGCCGTATTTTACTGAGATCACGGATTTGTTATATATGAAGTTTTAGTCTTCTAATGTTCTTCAGTGGATATTCTCTAAAGTAGTATATACAGAAAGCCTCGTATAGCAAAAAAGTAAATCACGTAATAATTCTGAGATTTTTGGAATTGTCACAACTGAGAAACATTGCTGGCGGTGTATGGTCCGCAAGTGTGAAGATGTTCCTTGTGAATTGCTTGCATCTAGCATTAAGGGCTGATTTTTAACTTTTATTTTTCCAATCCTCTTTCCTTCTCAAGGTGTCCAAGACACACAGGGCCACGGAATCTCACAGGTGTCTGAGAATTTCTCCTCTTGGGACTCTCAAAGGATCCAGAACTGCAGCCAGTCCTCGCTTTGCTGTCCCTGTTCCTGTCCATGTATCTGGTCACGGTGCTGAGGAACCTGCTCAGCATTCTGGCTGTTAGCTCTGACTCCCCGCTCCACACTCCCGTGTACTTCTTCCTCTCCAACCTGTGCTGGGCTGACATGGGTTTCACCTCGGCCACGGTTCCCAAGATGATTGTGGACATGCAGCCGCATAGCAGAGTCATCTCTCATGCGGGCTGCCTGACACAGATATCTTTCTTGGTCCGTTTTGCATGTATAGAAGGCATGCTCCTGACTGTGATGGCCTATGACTGCTTTGTAGCCATCTGTCGCCCTCTGCACTACCCAGTCATCGTGAATCCTCACCTCTGTGTCTTCTTCGTTTTGGTGTCCTTTTTCCTCAGCCTGTTGGATTCCCAGCTGCACAGTTGCATTGTGTTACTATTCACCATCATAAAGACTGTGGAAATCTCTCATTTTGTCTGTGACCCCTCTCAACTTCTCAAACTTGCCTGTTCTGACAGCGTCATCAATAGCGTATTCATATATTTCGATAGTACTATGTTTGGTTTTCTTCCCATTTCAGGGATCCTTTTGTCTTACTATAAAATTGTCCCCTCCATTCTAAGGATTTCATCATCAGATGAGAAGTATAAAGCCTTCTTCAACTGTGGCTCTCACCTAGCAGTTGTTTGCTGGTTTTAGGGAACAGGCATTGGCATGTACCTGATTTCAGCTGTGTCACCACCCCCCAGGAATGGTGTGGTGGCATCAGTGATGTACACTGTGGTCACCCCCATGCTGAACCTTTTCATCTGCAGCCTGAGAAACAGGGACATACAAAGTGCCCTGCGGAGGCTGCGCAGCAGAACAGTGGAATCTCATGATCTGTTCCATCCTTTTTCTTGTGTGGGTGAGAAAGGGCAACCACATTAAATCTCTACATCTGCAAATCCTGCCCCTTAGTCACGTTATTTTTGTGGCTTGATGGCTTTTATTCCTTTCCGCATTTCCTTTGTGAATATTGTTTTCTTCTTTATGTCTTTAACTGGAATGGGTGAGGATTCTGGGATCCTTTGTTTAGCTTAAACCTCATGACTGAATCATCTATACCTAGGCGGCCTCCTTTGGTTTCTGAGCAATAACCCTGTCATCCAGGTGGAATCACAACCATCTTTTTATATACGTGAAGTCCTCACTTCATTTTGGAATTCCTTGAAAATTGACTTTATGGAAACAATGTACAGCAGGTCCTCCAACACCACTGGTTCTTCAAAGTTGTGTAGTTATAATGTTGGAGAGGAATAAGTGGTTTCACTATACCTAATTTTGCCTCAAGGTGAAGTTTCCAAGAGACTTTCAAAGATGTTAAGTGAGGACATACTGTACATCAAATTCATATCCTCTTCCACAGTTCATGTGGAATTTCTTTATAAACTGCTTCTAGAGAATCTATTTAGGCAGGTTCTGTGTAGAGATCCATGTCGCCGTTCCTCAATCTTGGCTTTGAGTCAAATCACCTGGGGAGCTTACACATGATGAGGCCTGGGTCTCATTACCTGAGATTCTGATTTCTCTGCACCTGTGTGAGTGTGTGGATTTTTTTTTTTTTTTTAAAGCACCAGAGGTGGTTGCAATGAGGAAGTTTTTAGAGGCATCAAGCTCCAATGAGTAAGAACAGAAGTTAATTGTAATATGATTTCTTCAAATATTATCTTCCAATGCATTGTCCATCAACACCGTACCAATGTTTATTATGCTGTTGTTTCTTACCATTTAGCATTTTCTATTTTTTTTCTTTCTTTTTTTTTTTTTTCTTTTTGAGGCAGAGTTTCACTCTTGTTGCCCAGGCTGGAGTGCAATGGCACGATCTCGGCTCACTGCAATCTCTGCCTCCCGTATTCAAGTAATTCTCCTGTCTCAGCCTTCCAAGTAGCTGGGATTACAGGCATGCGCTACCATGCCTGGCTAATTTTATTTTTTATTTATTTATTTATTTATTTTTTGGTATTTTTAGTACAGACAGTGGTTCTCCATATTGGTTAGGCTTGTCTTGAAGTCCCTACCTCAAGTGATCCGCCCGCTTCCACCTCCCAGTGTTCTGGGATTACAGGCGGGAGGGACCGCACCCAGCCACCACTTAGCATTTTCATTTTACATTTGTTGAAATTATAGATTTATACACACATTGATTGCTGCTTTGTTATACACTTGCATATACATAAGATGGGAAATAGAAAAGAATAAAATGGGCACAGTATCCCTGAAGTTTCACATTCCGAGACAAGTTAAAAATATTTGCTTTTTAGAAATTTGTTTCAATTGAGAAACTGTGGTATACACACACAATGAAGTATTATTCAGGCTAAAAAGGAATAAATAAAATTCTCTCCACTGCAGACAAAATGGATGAGATTGCAGGTCTGTATATGAAGTGAAATAAGCCAGGCACAGAATGACAACTATTTCATGTCCTCACTTCTATGTAGGATCAAAAAAGAAAATCTTGGCCAAGTGTGGTGGCTCAGGCCTGTAATCCCAGCACTCTGGGAGGCCGAGTCGTACGGATCACTTGAGGCCAGGAGTTCGAGACCCACCTGGCCAACATGGTGAAACCCTGTCTCTACTGAAAACACAAACAATTAGCCAGGCGTGGTGACGCATGCCTGTAGTCTCAGCTACTCGGAGGGCTGGGGCCCAAGAAGCGCTTGAACTCGGGAGGCGGAGCTTGCAGTGAGCCCGGATTGTGCCTGTGTACTCCAACCTGGGCAACAGAAAGAGACTCCATCACACACCTACACACAAAAGGAATCTCAGGAAGGTGGAGAGTATAAAGGGGGTTAGCAGATGCTAGGAAGAAAAGGGGTGGGATGGGGAATGAAGACAAGTGGATAATTGGGTCCCAAAATACAGAAAGATGGAATAAGTGAGTTCTAGTGTTTGATAGTACAGTATGAAAATTTTAGTTCACAAGAATTGCTTGCATATTTCCAGATGCTTTGGTAAGAAGCTTCCTCATTTTCTCATTATGCTGGTTTTTCAGCTATTCTCTTTCTGCTCTCGATATCGTGCTGGATTTTCTGTTTTTGGTTTTTTGTTTTGAGACAGAGTTTCACTTTTGTTGCCCAGGCTGGAGTGTAATGGTGCAATCTTGGCTCACCACAACCTCTGCCTCCTGGGTTCAAGCGATTCTCCTGCCTCCATCTCCTGAGCAGCTGGGGTTACAGGCATGCCCCAGCACGCTCAGCTAATGTTGTATTTGTAGTAGAGACGGGGGTTTCTTCCTGTCTGTCAGGCTGGTTTTGAACTCCTGACCTCAGGTGATCCACCCGCCTCGGCCTCCCAAAGTGCTTGGATTACAGGTGTGAGCAACTGTGCTCGGCCCATGCTGTATCCTTATCTGGTGTCTGTTGTTGTTTGTTTGTTCTGGAGCCCAGAAATAAGTTCTCACCTATATGTTCAAATGATTTTTAACATGAGTGCTAAGAAAACTCATTGGTGGAAAAGCAGCCTTTTCAAGAAATGGTGTTGGAGAAACTTGATTTCCACATGCAGAAGAATGAAGGTGGACCCTATGTCACACCAGGTGCAAAAATTAACACAAACTGGGTCAAAGCCCTAACCCCAAGTGCTGAAAGTATAATATGCCTAAAAGAAAACATTGGCCACGCTTTCATGACATCAGATTGGGCAATGCTGTCTGGGATATGACACCAAAAGCATAGGCAACAAAAGAAAATTAGATTCCTTGGATTACATCTAAATGACAGACACTTTTGTGCATCAGCAAACACTGTGAACTGTGAAAAGATAACCCATGGATTAGGAAAAATATTTGCAAATCATATCTCTGAAAAGAGGCTGATATGCGTCATATACAAAGAACAGCTAGAACTGAACAACAAGAAACTCAAAGCATCCCATTAACAATGGTCAGAAGACTCGAGTAGACACGTCGTTAAGAAGATATAGCAATAGCCAGTAAGCATCTAAAATGATATTCAAAATCACTCATCATAGGGAAGTGCAAATCAAACCAAGAATGTGATACCACACATTAGGATGGATATGATAAACAAACAAGCATTGGTGAGACGAGAGGGAAGTAGGAATGCTCGAATCTGATTGGAGGGAATGTAAAACCATGAAGGAACAGGGAAAATAGTATGGTGTATACTGGAAAAAGTAGAAACAGGATTATCAGATGTTCCCGCTGTTGCACTTGTGGGCACCTGCCAAAAGAATTAGAAGCCAGGAGTGGAAGAGAGATTTGTACACCCAAATTCATAGCAGCATTATTCACAAGAGCCAAAATGTGGAAGCAACCCAAGGGTTTGTGGACAGTTGAATGAAAAAGCACACTGCAGTTCCTTCATACAATGGAAGACTATTCTGCCTTAAAAAGGCAGGCACTTCTGTCCGGTGCGGTGGCTCACGCCTGGAATCCCAGCATCGTGGAAGACCGAGGTGGGTGGTTCACCTGAGGTCAGGAATTCAAGACCAGCCTGGCCATCTTGGTGAAACCCTGTCTCTACTGAAAATGCAAAAAATTAGATGAGCGTGGTAGCCTGTGCCTATAGTCCCAGCTACTCGGGAGGCTGAGGCACAAGAATCGCTGGAACCCGGGAGGTGGAGGTTGCAGTGAGCCCAGATTGTGCCACTACACTCCAGCCTGTGCGACAGAGTGAGACTCCATGTAAACACAAAACAAAACAAAACCAAAAAAAAAAAAGAAAAAAAAAACACCCAAACAACCAGACAGGCACTTCTGACACAGGATGCAACACGGATGAACCTTGAAGACATTCTCATCAGTGAAATAAAGAAATCCCAAAAGGATAAACACGACCAGGCTCAGTGGCTCGCACCTGTAACCCCAGCACTTTGGGAGGCTGAGGCAGGCGGATCACTTAAGGTCAGGAGTTCGAGACCAGCCTGGCCAATATGGTGAAAGCTTGTCTCTATTAAAAATACAAAAATTAGCTGGGCATGGTGGCGCACGCCTGTAATCCCAGCTACTTGGGAGACTGAGACACAAGAATCGCTTGAACCCACGATGTGGAGGTTGCAGTCAGCCCAGACCACGCCACTGCACTCCAGCCTGGGCAACAGAGAAAGACTCTGTCTCCAAAACAAACAAACCAAAAAAATTAAACACGGTATGATTCCACTTATATCACGTGTCTACAGTAGCTAAACTTATAGAGTTGCAAAATAGAATGGTGGCCCCCAGGGGTGGGCGAGAGAGAGAGGAATGGAGAGTTTGGTTAATGGGTGCAATTTCCATTTTCAACAAGAAAACTGTTCTGGAGATGATGGCGGTGTTGGTTGCTAAACAATGCGAATGTACCTAATGTGATTAAACTATAAACTGAAAAACAGTGGAAATTGTAAATGTTTATACTGGCCATTCTATATGAAATAATCTATATTTATAATTTTTAGCATTTATACATGGTATATTTTCCCATAATAAAAGATGAAAATTAAAGCACTTGGATCTTGTAAAAGAAAAGAAAGAAGCAAATAATACACACAAGCTCTCTCCTGATTAGAGGAAGAGCCCCAAAGCTTCTATGGACACTCGCTTTTCTCTTCTTCTTCTTGCATGATGATGAGGAAATCCTTAGAGCTTGGGGAACTTGGGCGACTCTGGCTAATGAGGGGCTCTGTGCCTTGAGCCCCCCAGGCCATAGAATAGTAAATACTCAGTCTGTGCCTCCAGCCCTGCAGTGTGAGGTTGCAGTCCTGTGGGCTCCACAACCGTCACCTGTATCGGGAGGCTCATGTCTCACCCTGTCTTCTGGCCAGCCTTGAGGACGGAGTCTGAGCCTCCAATGTGCACCATGCAGGGAGAACAGTGGACCTGTTCTCAGTGGTCGTGGCCTAGCAGAGGGGAAGGGCAGTTCAGTGAGTGCTGAGGGACAGTCGGGAGCCTTGTTTGTTTCCTCATCCTCAGGACAAACAGGACAGTGCGGTGGGAAGACGGGAGGAGACGAATGTGCAAACTGTCAGCTCAGCAGACTGTGGAGTTCCTGTTCTTGCTTGTGGTGGGGGTTCTCTCTCAGGAATCTTCTTCAAAATTTTGCTTCCCTCCCCCATTGGTTGTCCTTTTCATAGACATCTCACCCATGATAGCAGGGAATGAGTCCCTCTAAACTGTTCCCTCAGAACAACAAAAAGATGATGAAGGTGATGATGAGGATAAAGAGGATGATGACAGACACCATGGCATCATGAACCCTTACTGAGGGCTTCCTAAAGGCCAGGCTCTGAGCTCTGTGTTCTATGCAGCTTGTTGAAGCTTGTTTCATTTCATCTGCGTAGTCTCCCAGTTATTAGTGCACATTTCATGATGATTTTACAGACTAGAAAAGGAGCAACATATTTTGTTACAACTTGTACCAGATCATGACGTCAAAAAGGGTGAAGCCCAATTTGAACCAGGCAGTCTAAGTCCAGACACATGGCATTTGGCCAGTCCTCTCCCTGCATCCAACCTGCCCTCTCAAATCCTTGTCACTCAGGCCGATGTCCCTGCTCACTGTGCCCTTCCCTTTGGGGGTTCCTTGTAGATCACAGCTAGACCAGTGGGTGCCACAATCACTGTGTCAAGAATGGAAAGGGCAGCTGAGATCACATCGAGGATTCCAGGAATAATTGGCACAGGATCATTCAGGATGCATCTCTCCCTTGCCCTGTTCCTAGCTTTCCTTACAGCTCTCGACTTCCTCAAAGGAGTCATCAATTCGGGGTTTGGCTTCCATTCTTATTGAGGAAGCTGGGAAGTGTTTCAAAAATGCTCCTCTGATATGCTTGTGGTTAAGACCTCTGAGCTCTGTTGAAAACTTTTGGAAGCTGGGCGCGGTGGCTCACGCCTGTAATCCCAGCACTTTGGGAGGCTGAGGCAGGCGAATCACAAGGTCAGGTGTTCGAGACCAGCCTGGCCAACATGGTGAAACCCCGTCTCTCCTAAAAAGAGAAAAATATTAGCCGGGCGTAGTGGCAGGCCCCTGTCATCTCAGCTACTCGGCAGGCTGAGGCAAGAGAATAGCTTGAACCTGGGATGCGGAGGTTGCAGTGAGCCGAGCTCACTCCACTGCACTCCAGCCTGGCAACAGAACGACTCCATCTCAAAATAAAAAACAAAAACAAAAACAAAAAAGAACCCAAACATTTTGAGGGTTGGGAGACCATCAAGTATATTGCCCGGGACTTAGAGTCTGGCCATTAATTTTCAATACCACCCTTTCTGCTTATCTGTATGGCAAAGGGTGAGACGTCCATCCTCTGAGATTCAGCACTCTCATCTGAGTTGATTTCTAGTTGATCCAATGGAAGTGAGCAATGATTAAACCGATCGTGGATGCCCGCTGCGTGATCTCTATGTGATGGACGCGTAAAGTAAAGGCAAAGTGAATTTTAGATACATTCGTTAATATTTTAAGCTTAAACTCCATACGGTTCAACAGAAATATCCCCTGACCTGAAGTTCTGGTTTCCCTGCATTCCAGACAGGACATTTTGTTTTTTCCTTCTCTCAGTAAGGACTGAGTACTGTGAGAGGAACAAGTGAGTCTCTTTTGTTTCTGATTCCCCAGAGCCTATATCTTGCTTGGCACATAGGAGACAGCAAAAGGAAACGCCTATGTGAATTATTGAATTGACACTTCCTTGGTTCACAAAAATTGGCTGTCATCAGTGTGACGTCAGTGTGACAGAGCGTGTGTTTTTGGTTTTTTGTTTTTTGAGACAGAGTTTTGCTCTTGTTGCCCAGGCTGGAGTGCAGTGGTGTGATCTCGGCTCACTGTAGCCTCTGCCTCCCAGGTTCAAGCCATTCTCCTGCCTCAGCCTCCCGAGTAGCTGGGACTATAGGCGCGCGCCGCCATACCGGGTGACATTTTTGTATTTTTAGTAGAGGCGGGGTTTCACCATGTTGGCCAGGATGGTTTTGATCTCCTGACCTGGTGATCCACCCTCCTCCGCCTCCCAAAGTGCTGGGATTACAGGCATGAGCCACGGAGTCCGGCCCAACTTTCCGATGAGAACTCTAAGTCCACCTAAGCTGAGGACAGGAGTTATAGCTTACATGAATTTTAACACAAGACGCACCGATTTGAGTAAGCAATTACTCTCGGGAAGGAGAAAAGTCAGAAAACATAATGATGAAATCACTAGGACCTAACTGGCATATGGAAATATTTTCTGCTTAGGAACTACCAACTGTAATTTCATTTCCAGATGGCATGGTCTCAGCTGTTATACAGTGTTTATAAATGTTCTAAATCGGAATTTGTATCAATCTATTCGAATCAAATAAAATATTTGAGTTCTTAATTTCCTTTAATTAGGATAACCATTTTCTTAAAGTGAAGAGAATGGTTTTATTACATATTTTTCTTCGGAAAAGATAGGCTGTATTTTCTAGCAATTATGAATTTGTTCTATATGACGATCTGGTTCTTGGAGCATTCTTGAATCTAGTATCTCTAAGGCAGGTGTGTACAGCAAGAAGTGAATAACACAGAAATCAATGATGAAAGCATTAGAAGACAATTGAGTTTGTCAGAACTGCAAAATATTGCTGAGTGTGGATTGCTCTGAAATCTGAAAACATTACTTGTGAATTGCTTCTATCCAAAATGCAGACACAATGCTGGGTGTTGGTTTAGTTGTTTCCGATTTTTCAACCCTCTTTTCTAGGCAAAAGCTGTCCAAACTCTACAGACCCACAGAATCTAACAGATGTCTCTCTATTCCTCCTCCTAGAACCTCACAGGATCCAGAACTGCAGCCGGTCGTCACTGGGCTGTTCCTGTCCATGTGCCTGGTCACTGTGCTGGGGAACCCGCTCATCCTCCTGTCTGTCAGCCCTGAGTCCCACCTCCACACCCCCATGTACTTCTTCCTCTCCAACCTGTCCTTGCCTGACATCGGTTTCACCTCCACCGCGGTCCCCAAGATGATTGTGGACATCCAATCTCACAGCAGAGTCATCTCCTATGCAGGCCGTCTGACTCAGATGTCTCTCTTTGCCATTTTTGGAGGCATGGAAGAGAGACATGCTCCTGAGTGTGATGGCCTATGACCGGTTTGTAGCCATCTGTCACCCTCTATATCATTCAGCCACCATGAACCCGTGTTTCTGTGGCTTCCTACTTTTGTTGTCTTTTTTTTTTTTCTCGGTCTTTTAGAAGTGCAGCTGCACAACTTGATTGCCTTACGAATGAACTGCTTCAAGGATGTGGAAATTCCTAATTTCTTCTGTGACCCTTCTCAACTCCCCCATATTGCATGTTGTGACACCTTCACCAATAACATAATCATGCATTTCCCTGCTGCCATATTTGGTTTTCCTCCCATCTCGGGGACCCTTTTCTCTTACTCTAAAATTGTTTTCTCCATTCTGAGGGTTTCATCATCAGGTGGGAAGTATAAGGCCTTCTCCACCTGTGGGTCTTACCTGTCAGTTGTTTGCTGATTTTATGGAACAGGCGTTGGAAGCTACCTCAGTTCAGATGTGTCATCTTCCCTGAGACAGGGTGCAGTGGCCTCAGTGATGTACACGGTGGTCACCCCCATGTCACCCTCTGTGACATTAGGAGTAGCATCTTTCTAAAATATTATGAATAATTTCGAAAAATGTACACCCCCTGTGACATTAGAAGTAACATCGCCCGAGGATATAAGAAATAATATCAGATTGTGTACCTGCATTGTGAGATCAGTAGTAACATCCCTTTAGGGCACTACGAATATTATCAGAGTGTGAAGACCTTCTGTGACATTAGGAGTAACATCACCCTACAATATTGGGAATAATACCCCACGATGTACACCACCTGTGACATTGGTGGTAACATTTCTTTAGGATATTACGAATAGTATGACAGGGTGTACAGCCCCTGTGATATTAGGAGTAACATATCTGAAAAAACTTTACAAATAATATCACTGATTGTACACCACGTGTGACATTAGGAGTAACATCCCCCGAAACGATTATGAATAACTTCACAGATTGTACACCCTCTGTGATATTAGAAGTAAACATCTTTCTAGAATGTGAAGAATACCATCGCAGGGTGGACACCCCCGTGACATGAGGAGTAACATCACTCTAGGATATTAGGAATAATATAACAACGTGTACACAATTTGTATGGTAGGAGTAACGTCCGCCTGGGATACTAGGAATCATAGCACAGAAAGCACACCCCCTGTGACAATAGGAGTCACATCCCCTTAGGATATTACGAATAATATCACAAGGTGTACACGCACTGTGACATTAGTAACAATAACCAGCTAGTAGACTGTGAATAATATCACAGCGTGCACAGATTGGTGACATTAGGAGTAACGTCCCCCTAGAATATTACGAATAATATCACAGGGTGTACACACCCTGTGACTTTAGGGTAATCATCACCCTGGATTACTACAAATAATTTCACAGGATGTTAAACCCCTGTGACAATAGGAATAATATACTTCCACGATATGACGAATAATATCACAGTGTGTACACCCACTGTGATATTAAAAGTTATCCCTCCCTCAGATATTGTGAGTAATATCACAGGGAGTACACCATGTGTTCACACCCACTGTGATTTTTAAAGTACTATCTCCTTAGGATATTACAAATAATTTCAAGGGGTGTACACACCCCATGACATTAAGATAGCATCCCTTTAGGATATTCAAAATAATATCCCAGGGTGTACACCCCATGTGACATTGCTAGTAACATCTTCCTAGGATATTACCAATAAGATCCCACGGTTGACACCCTCTGTGATTTTAAAAGTAAAATCCCCCTAGAATATTGCTAATCGTAACACGGGGTGTACACCCCATGACGTTAGGAGTAACGTCCCCCCAGGATATTACAAATAATATCACAAGGTGTACACACATGGTGACATTCGTAGTAATCTCCCGTTAGTATATTGTGAATACTATCACAGGGTATACACACCTGTGACTTTAGGAGTAACATCCCCCTACAATCTTGGGAACAATATCACACAGTGTACACCCCTGTAACGTTAGGAGTAACATCCCCCCTGAATATTGCTAATAATATCACAAGGTGTACACGTATTGTGACATTAGTAGTAATATCCTGCTAGCATATTTTCAAAACTATCACAGAAGGAACACACCTGTGACATTAAGAGTAACATCCCCATAGAATAGTAAGAATAATATCACGGGGTGTACACCCCCAGTGACATTAGGACCCCTGTGGCATTAGGAGTAACATCTTTCTAGAATATCACGAATAATATCACAATGTCTACAACCCTGTGTCATTGAAAGTAAAATTGCCCTAGGATATTACGAAATAGAACACAGGGAGTACAAGCGTGTGACATTAGAAGGAACATCCCCCGAGGATATAACGAATAATATCAGAGAATGTACCTGCATAGGGACATCAGTAGTAACATCTCTTCAGGATAATACGAATAATATCAAAGGATGTACACGCATCGTGAAATGAGTAGTGAACACCAGCTAGCATGTTATGAATTTTATGACAGGGTCTACACGCCCTGTGACATTAGCAGTAACGTTTTCCTAGACTATTACGAAGAATATTAAAGGGTGTACAGAACCTGTGATTTACGAGTAACATTTCTATAGAATATTGCACGTAATATCACTGTGTGTACACCCCGTGTGACCTTAGGGGTAACATCCCACAAAATTATAACGAATAATTTCACAAGGTGTACACCCTCTGTGACATTAAAAGTAACAATTCCCTAGAAAATGACGATAATATCACAGAGTGTACGCCCTCTGTGATATGAGGAGTGACATCTTCTAAGGATAATACGAGTAATTTGACAAAGTGTACAAACCCTGAGACACAAGGAGTGACATCCCTCCAGGATATGATGAATAATATCAAAGGGAACATATCCAGTGTGACAATAAAAGTAACCTCCCCTTAGGAGATTAAGAAAAACACCACAAGGTGCACACACATTGTGACATCATTACTAACATTCCCCTAGGATATTGGGAATAACATCACAGTGTGTAGAGTCCTGTGACATCTGGATGAACATTCCCCTACAATATGACAAATAATATCGCAGGGTGTCTATCCCCTGTGACTTTAGTAGTGGTAACTCGCTAGAATATGGAAAATAATGTACCAGGTTGTTAACCAAGTGTGGCAGTAGAGAAAAGATCATAAGAATACTTGAGTAATATCATCCCCCTCTCCCCCCCCTGGATATTACGATCCACATCGCAGGGGGGCGGAGACGCCCCCCGCGATGCGGGGAGTAATATCACCCCCTCTCCACCCTGGATATTACGATCCACACCGCAGGGGTGGGGGAGACACCCCCCGCGATGCAGGGAGTAATATCACCACCCTCCCCACCCCCGGGTATTACGATCCACACCGCAGGGGGTGGGGGAGACACCCCCCGAGATGCAGGGAGTAATATCACCACCCTCTCCCCGCCCTGGGTATTACGATCCACACCGCAGGTGGGCGGAGACCGTCCCTGCGATGCGGGGAGTAATATCACCCCCCTCTCCCCCACTGGATATTACGATCCGCACCGCATGGGGGGAGGAGACGCCCCCCGCGATGAGGGGAGTAATATCTCCCCCCTCTCCCGCCCTGGATATAACGGTCCACGGTGGTCACACCGCTTGTGGACGTTATTGTCAGTAATATCTTCTCCACCTCTGGAAATTACCAACTATATCACAGACGGGTGTGCATCTTCTGCACTAGTTGCAGTAATAGCATCCTCTTCTCCCTCGATATTAAGAACAATATCACAGGATTGTTTTTACCCCCAGCGGCATTGGGTTTGGTATCATCCTCTCCCACGTTGAAATTAGGAGGAATATCACTGGGGGCGTGTCCACCCCATGCGATATTGATAGTAGCATCATCCTCTTCTCTCCTGGATCACGGGAGCAATGTCACTGGGGTGGTGTACACTTTCTGCGGTATTGGGAGTAAGATCATCCTCTCCGCCTTGAAATATGAAGGACCATATCACAGGGGGGCTGTACACACCCTGTGCTGTAAGAAGAATGTTATGCTCTCCCGCCCTGCACATTAGAAAACATATCGCAGAGTGGGTGTACTCCTCCTGTGATATGGGAGGTAATATCATCTTCTCTTCTTCTGGATAGTAGGAACAATATCACAAGGGTTCGTACACTTTCTGTGGTATTGGGAGTAATATCAACCTCTCTGTCTTTGAATATTAAGAACAATATCACAGACTGGATGTACACCCCCTGCGATATTGGGAGTCATATCAGCCTCTCCTTTCCATGGATATTAGGAATAATATCCCAGAATGGGTGTACACCTCCTGCTGTATGGGAAGTCATATCGTCCTCTCCCTTCCTGGCTACTAGGAACAATATCAGAGGGTGGGTGTACACAGCCTGCGATATTGTGAGTAATATCACCCTCTCCCCCTCCGGATATTAGGAACAATATCACAGAAGGGGTGTACACTTTCTGCGATACTGGAAATCACAGCATTCTCTTCTTCCGTGAATATTAGGAGCAATATCACCGGGTGGATGTACACCCACTGCTCTATTGGGAGTGACGTCATACTCCACCCCCTGGAGATTATATTCGGATCAATATCACCGGTTGTGTGTACACCTAATGCGATATTGAACGTAATATCATGATCTCTCCCTCCCTGAACATTAGGAACAATATCACAGGTGGGTGTACACCCACTAAGGTATTAGGTGCAATATTAATATTAATTATTCCTCATTTATTATTCACACGAATATGAATTACCAATAGTAATATGAAGAAATAATTGCCAATAAAACGTTTTCACATTATTAATATTAGTATTATTAATATTAATATCAATCATTAGGAGCTAATATTACTCTTTTCTAATGAATAAGGTCGATATCGGTTATGAATATCAGGCGTTATTAATCATTAATATTTCTCATTTATTGTTATCATTAGCACAAGTATTTAATATTAATTTTCATTATTATGGATATTGATTTTAAAAATTATATTATCAGTTATTAATATTGATAATTACAATTAATATCAATTACTAATAATTATTAGTATTAATAGTTGATATTATTGATTGATATTATTTATTCATAATTGATATTATTGCGATAAGTAATATTGCGCCATTCCACACAGTATCACAGAAAACATATACGCCCCCTGTGATGTTGTTCCTAACAGCCAAGGGTAGACGATGCCATTACGCCAAATAACGCACCGGGTGGGCCTCCCTTCTGTGATCTTGTTGCTAATATCCGGGCACGGAGAGGACGGTATTAATCCCAATAATCCAGAACGTGTAGACCTCCCTTGTGTTATTGTCCCTAATATCCAAAGGTGGAGAGGAAGATGTACCTCCGAATTTCGCAGGGGTTGTACACCACCCCTGTGACATTGCTCCTAATGTCCAGGGGTAGAGAAAATGACATGACTCACAATATGGCAGGGGGTGAACACCCCCTTCATGATATTGTTCCTAATATTCAGGGGGGAAGAGTATGATATTCCTCCCAATATCACAGGGGGTGTACTCCCCATATCCCAGAGGGTGGATAGTATCCCGATCTGTGATAGACTCCTCCACGATGCGGGGAGTAATGTCATCCCCCTCTCCTTCCCTTGCTATTACGATACACATCGCAGCGGGGCGGGCGACCCCCACGATGCGGGGAGAAATATCACCAACCCACCCCCGATAAGACGAGCCACATCGCAGAGGGGTGGACACTCCCAGTGATGCGGGGAGTCATATCTATCCCCTTTCCCCATGGATATAGGAGCCACATCTCAGGGGCGTGGACACGCTCCGCTGATGCGCAGAGTAATATCAACCCCCTTCCCTCCTTGCATGTTAGCAGCCACTGAGGACATACAGTGTATTGACGATATTTCCAGTAAAATCATCTTTTCTAATGAACCTTATGAACAAGAACACAGAGGGGTGTACCCCTCCTGCGATATTGGGGGTAATATCATTCTCTCCTGCACTGTATACTGGGAACAATATCACAGGGGCGTGTATTCCTCCTTCCATATTGGGAGTCATATCATACTTGCCTTCCATATATTAAGAACAATAGCAAAGTGGAGGGGGGTGGACACTTTGACGATATTGGGAGTAACATCATTCTCTCTACCCCTGGATATTAGTAGCAATATCACAGGGGGATGTGCATTTCTTGTGATATCGAGAGTAGTAGTATTGTCTTCCCCGCTGGATATTAAAAACAATACCACAACGGGCGTCAAACCACTTGCCAAATTTGAGGAAATGTTATCCTCTCCGCCCCCCCTCCACCCCCGGATATTAGAGACAATAACACAGGGGTAATGTACACCCACTGCTTGATTGAGAGAAGTATCATTCTCTCCCTTCTTGGATATTAGGAACAATATCACGGGTGTGGGGGGCTGGTGTACTGCCTCTGCGATATTGGGAGTAAAATTATCCTCTCTTCCCCTGGATATTAGGAAGTGTATCAGAGGGGGAGGGTGCACATCCCTGCGATATTCAATGTCATCTTATGCTCTCCCTCGCAGGGTATTAAGGACAATATTACAGGACGGGTGCACACCCTCTGCGATATTGAGAGTCATATCATCCTCTTTCGCTCTGGATATTAGGAACAATATCACAGGGTTGTGTACACCCCCTGCGATATTGGGAGTAATACCATCCTGCCGCCCTGAGGAGAGAAGCCATTTGTCTACTGTCTCCTGTCTCTGAAGAGGAGGAGGAAGTAAAAGTTGAAAAACAACAGGAATGAAGTCAGTGGCAAGACCAGCCGGTGGCACTGATGAGCCGGCCTGAGGTGAAAAGATTAACCCCCGCCCCCCCACTCTAAGCACATGTGCTCTCAATCCATCACGATTCTTTCACGTGGAACCCCTTAGAGTTGTAAGCCCTTAAACGGGCCAGGAATTCTGTCTTCCTTAGGGGAGCTGGGCTCTTAAGACGAGAATCTGCCGACGCTCCCGGCCGAATAAAAAGCCTCTTCCTTCTTGAGTCTGCTGTCTGAGGGGCTTTTCCGTGGCTCCTCCTGCTCCATTTCTTGGTTCCCTGACCGGAAATCAAACCCGGGTAGTGGCAGTGAGAGCGCCAAAGACTAACCACTAGATCACCAGGGGGACCTAGAACCCTGTGGGAAATAGATTGCCCACCATTAGAAGTGGATTGGCCATCAGAAGGAAGCCTGGACAGGTCCCTTGTTTCTGAGGTGTGGCACAAGGTAACTGGTAAAGGATAGCTAGACTAGTTCCCATAAATAGACACTTGGTGACGGCTGGTGCTAGACCCCCAACAGTGGCTGAGAGGGCAGGCAGCAACAATACTAGTACCAAAGGGACAGATGGCTAAGGAAGGATCCCGCTCCACCCGCCCAGGGAAATCAACTCCTCAAGTTCTGTTCGACCCAACATCAAAAGATCCATTGCAGGAGATGGCACCAGTGATCCCAGTGGTGCCCTCCCCTTACCAGGGAAAGAGGCTCCCCACTCTTGAGCCCTCAGTGCTTGCGCCTCCACAAGACAAGCATATCCCCAGGCCACCCAGAATAGACAAGAGAGGAGGTGAAGACTCGGGAGGAACCCCTCCCTTGGCAGCTCGTTTATGGCCCAAAATGGGGATCCAAATGCCCCTGAGAGAGCAGTGGTATACTGGGATAGATGAGGATGGGCACATGGTGGGGAGGCGTGTTTCTGGGTACCAGCCCTTGAGCTCTGCCGACCTTCTCAACTGGAAAAACAATAGCCTGTCCTATACCGAAAAGGCACAAGGTCTAATTGATTTGCTCCAAACTAATATCTGAACACACAACCCCACCTGGGCTGATTGCCACCAGTTGCTCATGTTCCTCTTTAACACAGATGAAAGGCGGAGAGTGCTCCAAGCAGCAACTAAGTGGCTAGAGGAACATGCACCAGCTGATTACCAAAACCCCCAAGAGTATGGAAGGACCCAGTTACCTGGAACCGACCCCCAGGGGGACCCACATGAAAGAGAGGATATGCAAAGGCTAAACCAACAGAGAGAAACTCTCTTGGAAGGATTACAGAGGGGAGCTCAGAAGGCCACAAATGTTAACAAGCTCTCTGAGGTCATTCAGGGAAAAGAAGAAAGTCCAGCACAATTTTAGGAGAGACTGTGTGAGGCCTATGGTATATATACTCCCTTTGATCCTGATAGCCCTGAAAATCAGCGCATGATTCACATGGCTTCAGTCCGTCAAAGCGCAGAAGACATGAGAAGAAAACTGCAGAAACAGGCTGGGCTTGCAGGGATGAATCCATCCCAATGATTATATGGTATGAGGCCACCACTTCTCCTGTTGTCCTTCCCAGTTTCTCCCCAACCTCCCCTTTTCCCTAGTTTATAAGACAGGAGAAAAGGGAGAAAGCAAAAAGTTGGAAATAGAAGTAAGATAAATAGCTAGATGACCTTGGCGCCACCTCCTGGCCCTGGTGTTTAAAATAATAATATTATTAACCCCTGACCAAAACTACTGGTGTTATCTGTAAATTCCAGACGTTGTATGAGAAAGCACTGTAAAACTTTTTGTTCTGTTAGCTGATGTATGTAGCCCCCAGTCATGTTCCTCATACTTACTTGATCTATTATGACGTTTTCACATAGAACCCTGAGAGTGGTAAGCCCTTAAAAGGGCTAGGAATTTCTTTTTCAGGGAGCTCAGCTCTTAAGACACGAGTGTGCTGACACTCTTGGCCAAATAAAAAAACCTCTTCCTTCTTTAATCCAGTGTCTGAGGAGTTTTGTCTGCGACTCGTCCTGCTACATTTCATGGTTCCCTGACTGGGAAGCGAGGTAACTGACGGAGAGTCGAGGCAGCCCCTTAGGCGGCTTAGGCCTGCCCTGTGGAGCATCCCTGCGGGGGACTCTGGCCAGCTAGAGCAACGCACATGCAGAGAGCACTGCCGGGTAGGCAATTGCCCGGGTGGAACGCCTCGTCAGAGCAGTGTGTGGTAGGCCCCTGTGGAGGATCAACGCAGTGGCTGAACACCAGGAAGAGGCACTTGGAGTCTGGACATTTGAAACTTGGTAAGACTGGTCTTTGGAACTTGCCCACTCCATTTGAGTGGAAGCGTGGCCTGATCACCCATGGCGTGCCTGTACTGGCACTTTGGTTTTTGTTTTTGATTTGACTTGAATTACTTGATACTTTGGTTTTGGTTTGACGTGGCTTGGATTTCTGGATACTCTGATTTTGGTTTTGATTCTGGTTTTGTGAAAACTGAAAAAGCGTGTGTGTGCCCTTTTTACCCATTCTTTGTTCTGTGGTGTGCGTGTGGTGTGAGCTTGGTGTTCTGTCTCGAGGAAACGTGGGTCAGACACAAAGTAAGCCTACTCCGCTAGGAACTATGTTGAAAAATTTTAAGAAGGGATTTAATGGAGACTATGGGGTTACTATGACACCAGGGAAACTTAGAACTTTGTGTGAAATAGATTGCCCAGCTTTAGAAGTGGGTTGGCCATCAGAAGGAAGCCTGGACATGTCCCTTGTTTCTAAGGTATGGCACAAGGTAACTGTTAAGTCAGGACACTCAGACCAGTTTCTAAACATAGACACTTGGTTACAGCTGGTGCTAGACCCCCCACAGTGGCTGAGAGGGCAGGCAGCAGCAGTGCTAGTAGCAAAGGGACAGATAACCAAGGAAGGATCCCGCTCCACCTGCCCAGGGAAATCAACTCCGGAAATTCTGTTCAACCCAACATCAGAAGATCCATTGCAGGAGATGGCACCAGTGATCCCAGTGGTGCCCTCCCCTTACCAGGGAGAGAGGCTCCCCACTTTTGAGTCCACAGTGCTTGCGCCTCCGCAAGACAAACATATCCCTAGGCCACCCAGAGTAGACAAGAGAGGAGGTGAAGCCTCGGAAGAAACCCCTCCCTTGGCAGCTCGTTTAAGACCCAAAATGGGGATACACATGCCCCTGAGAGAGCACCAGTATACTGGGATAGATGAGGATGGGCACATGGTGGGGAGGCGTGTTTCTTTGTTCCAGCCCTTCACCTCTGCTGACCTTCTCAACTGGAAAAACAATACCCCGTCCTATACCGAAAAGCCACAAGCTCTGATTGATTTGCTCCAAACTATTATCCAGACCCATAACCCCACCTGGGCTGATTGCCACCAGTTGCTCATATTCCTCTTTAACAGAGATGAAAGGCAGAGAGGGCTCCACGCAGCAACTAAGTGGCTAGAGGAACATGCACCGGCTGATTACCAAAACCCCCAAGAGTATGGAAAGACCCAGTTGCCAGGAACCAACCCCCAATGGGACTCAAATGAAAGAGAGGATATGCAAAGGCTAAGCTGAGACAGGGAAGCTCTCTTGGAAGGATTACAGAGGGGAGCCCAGAAGGCCAACAAACGTTAACAAGGTCTCTGAGGTCATTCAGGGAAAAGAAGAAAGTCCAGCACAATTCTAGGAGAGACTGTGTGAGGCCTATTGTATGTATACTCCCTTTGGTCCCGATAGCCCTGAAAATCAATGCATGATTCACATGGCTTTAGTTAGTTAAAGCGCAGAAGACATGAGAAGAAAACTGCAGAAAAAGGCTGGGTTTGCAGGGATGAACACATCACAGTTATTAGAAATAGCTAACCAGGTGTTTGTAAACAGGGACACAGTAAGTCATAAGGAAAACCTCAGAGAGAATGAATGTCAGGTCCGGCAAAACGCCGACCTGTTAGCTGCAGCAATCAGAGGGGTCCCCCCAAAGAGGCAAGGGAAGGGGGGCCCCGGGAAAGAAACTCAGCCTGGCTGTCAGAGATTGCAGCTTAATCAGTGTGCTGATTGTAAAGAAATAGGACATTGGAAGAACAAATGCCCTCAGCTGAAAAGAAAACCAGGTGACTCAGAGCAGGAGGCCCTGGACAAGGAGGAAGGGGTCCTGCTCAACCTGGCAGAAGGTTTATTGGACTGAGGGAGACTGGGCTCAAGTGTCCCCAAAGACTCGCTGGTCAGAATGACAGTTGGGGGTAGAGACATTGATTTTCTTGTAGATACCGGTGCTGAACATTTGCTTGTAACCACCCCAGTCGCCCCCTTATCCAAAAAGTCTATTGACATCATCAGAGCCATGGGGATTTCAGCAAAGCAAGCTTTCTGCTTGCCTCGGACTTGTGCTGTAGGAGGACCTAAAGTCATTCAGCAGTTTTTGTCCACGCCTGACTGTCCCTTGCGCTTGTTGGGAAGAGACTTGCTTAGCAAGCTGAGAGCCACTATCTCTTTTACAGAGCACAGCTCTTTGCTGCTAAAGTTACCCAGAATGGGAGCCATTATGACCCTTACTGTCCCCCGACAGGAGGAATGGAGACTTTTCTTAACTGAGCCGGGCCAAGAGAGAAGACCAACTCTGCTTAAGCGGTGGCCAAGAGTATGGGTGGGACACAACCCTCCAGGGTTGGCAGTCAACCCAGCCCCCATACTCATAGAAGTGAAGCCTGGGGCCCAGCTGGTTACGCAAAAACAGGACCCGATCCCCAGAGAAGCTCTTCAAGGTATCCAGGTCCATCTCAATCACCTAAAAACTTTTGGAATTAGAGTTCCTTGTCAGTCTCCACGGAACACTCCCCTCCTGCCTGTTCCCAAGCCAGGGACCAAGGACTACAGGCCGGTACAGGATTTGTGCTTACTTCTTCAAGCTACACTGACTTTACATCCAACAGTACCTAACCCATCCACAGTGTTGGGGTTACTGCCAGCTAAGGACAGCTGGTTCACCTGTTTGGACCGGAAAGATGCTTTCTTTCATATCAGATTAGCCCCTGAGAGCCAGAAGCTGTTTGCCTTTCAGCGGAAAGATCCAGAGTCAGGTGTGACTACTCAGTACACTTGCACCCGGCTTCCCCAAGGGCTCAAGAACTCTGCCATCATCTTCGGGTAGGCGTTGGCTCGTGACCTCCAGAAATTTCCCACCACAGACGTAGACTGCATGTGGCTCCAGTAGATTGATGCCCTTTTGCTGGGACACCCCATGGCAGTCAGGTGCACCAAGGGAACAGATGCCCTACACCGGCACCTGGTGGACTGTGGGTAGAAGGTGTCCAAGAAGAAAGCTCAGATCTGCTGACAGCAGGTACATTACTGGGGATTTACTATCTGACAGGGGGAACACAGCCTGGGATCAGAAAGAAAGCAGGTCATTTGCAATCTACCGAAGCCTAAGAGCAGAAGGGAGGTGAGAGAATTCTTAGGAGCTGTGGGGTTTTGTAGACTGTGGATCCCAAACTTTGCAGTATTAGCCAAGCCTTTGTATGGGGTCACAAAGTGGGCAGGTACCAGGAACCTTTGGAATAGGGATCCCTACAATGGCAAGCCTTTCATGACCTAAAGGAAAAACTTATGTCAGCCCCAGCCCTGGGGCTACCCGATCTGACAAAGCCTTTTCCATTGTATGTGTCAGAGAGAGAAAAGATGGCAGCTGGACTTTTCACCCAAACTGTGAGGCCCTGGCTGAGGCTGGTGGCCTACCTCTCTAAACAACTAGACGGGGTTTCTAAAGGATGGCCCCCGTGTTTGAGGGCCTTGGCAGCAACTGCCCTGCTAGTACCAGAAGCAGATAAGCTGACTCTTGGGCAAAACCTGAACATAAAGGCCCCCCATGCTGTGGTGACTTTAATGGATACTAAAGGACATCATTGGCTAACGAATGCTAGACTCACCAAGGACCAAACTTTGCTCTGTGAAAATCCCCGTATAACCAGTAAAGTTTGTAACACCCTACACCCCACCACCTTGCTCCCCGTGTCAGAGAGCCCTGTCGAGCCTGATTGTGTAGAAATGTTGGACTCAATTGACTCTAGCAGACCTGACCTCCGGGACCAGGCTTGGGCATCAGTAGACTGGGAGCCATACGTGGATGGGAGCAGCTTCTTCAACCCCCAAGGAGAGAGAGGTGCAGGGTATGCAGTGATAACTCTGGACACTGTTGTTGAAGCCGGATCGTTGCCCCAGGCCACTTCAGCCCAGAAAGCTGAACTCATTGCTTTCATTGGGCCTTAGAACTCAGTGAGGGTGAGACTGTCAACATTTACACTGATTCCCGGTATGTCTTTTTAACCCTTCAAGTGCATGGAGCGTGATAGAAAGAAAAGGGCCTATTGAACTCTGAGGGTAAAGACAGAAAATATCCACAAGAAATCTTGCAATGATTAGAAGCAGTATGGAAACCCCACAAGGTGGCAGTTAGGCATTGCAGAGGACACGAGCGAGCTTCCACCTTGATGGGTTTGGGGAATTCGCATGCTGACTCAGAGGCTCAAAAAGCAGCATCTGTTCAGAGGTACCTTAAACCAAGTCCAAAGTTTGATGTTCCTTGGTCCACCCAGGCAATGAGAACTTTAGCTGATATCCCCCAGAAGGACTGGTATATATCTGGTTTACCTTTACTCTAGAGTTGTGACCTTTTGCAATCCTAGCCTCTTGTAGGGGAAATTTCCTATTCAACTTCCCAACTTTCATGGGCTTAAATATTTATTTCCGTCTGGCGTCATCCATGAGACTGTCAAAGGAAAGTCTAAATTTGTCAGGATCAAAAAGTGCCATCAAGGCAACAATGATTTCCAAATTCTGTTTACATCTCTCAGTTCCTATTTACGTTTCAATTTTGGCCGAATAATTCAGTACTTACGTGGGTAAATCCCCAAACTCCTTCCCGTGGCTGAGCCCTTTCCGGTCACATCTCTGAGCTCTGACTCCATCCTTCCTTAGGCCTGAGCTGCCTGCCACCTCCCAGGCCCCCACTTCTGCCCCCACAGCCAGGAGACTGCCACCAGCCACCCGAGGCCACCCTCTTGGCTCTATCTGCAGCCATGTCTGGCCCGGGCGTCTCTGAGAAGCTCCCAGGCTGGGGCCAATGGGCATGCAGGCAGCGTCATGGGGACACCGTGGGGAGACAGAGGGTGCCAAGGAGTGGGAGATGAAAACAGGAAGGTGGAGGTGATAAGGAGAGAGTTTCAAGGGAACTATAACGTATTTTTAAAAATACCAAGGCTTGGGGAAATCCCGGCCTAAAGAATAGCAGTGCCTGGTCATCAGGATCAAAGCAAAGCTGAAACACCCCTTGGCACAGAGCCGGGAAGAAGAGGCAGCTGTGTGCTGTTGGGAGTGGCTCCTCCAAGAGGTGGGACCATTCGTTCATTCAATCCAACATTGATCGAGGTCTTATTTTTTTTTTATTTTTTTATTTTTGAGACGGAATCTTGCTCTGTCACCCAGGATGGACGGCAGTGGCGTCATCTCCGCTCACTGCAAGCTCCACCTCCTGGGTTCATGCCATTCTCCTCCCTCAGCCTCCTGAGTAGCTAGGACCACAGGTGCCCACCACCATGCCTGGCTAATTTTTTTGTATTTTTACTAGAGACGGGGTTTCATCATGTTAGACACGATGGTCTCGATCTCCTGACCTTGTGATCTGCCTGCCTCGGCCTCCCAAAATGCTGGGATTACAGGAGTGAGCCACCGAGCCTGGCTTCAAGGGCCTATTTTTTTTAGGTTTTGCACAAGCACAAATCTGGCAGGTCCCCCTGGGCCATGGCACCTGGCGAGTACCCAGGTTTATTTTTCCTGGGCATCCCAGGCACACTGCTGCCTCCACACCTTCGTACTCACTTTTCCTCTGCCTGGAGGGCACTTTCAGTTATATCTACACATACCACTCCTTTCCTCCTCTTCTTTAGTAAAATGTCACCTTCCCTGCCCATTCTACTTAAAATTGCAGTGACACCCCACCCCCCCGTCTCCATATCTATCTTCCCAGTCCTGTCCCTAACATTTGGAAAGCCTGGAAATAGATTAAAAATGGGCTGGGAATGGGGGCTCATGCCGGTAATCCCAGCACTTTGGAGGCCGAGGTGGGCAGATCACCTGAGGTCAGGAGTTCAAGACCGGCCTGGACAACATGGTGAAACCCCATCTCTACTAAAAATACAAAAAATTAGAAGGCATGGTGGTATGTGCCTGTAACCCCAGCTACTCCAAAGGCTGAGGCAGGAGAATCGCTTTAACCCGGGAGGTGGAGGTTGCAGTGAGCCGAGATCACCGCACTGCACTCCAGCCTGGGTGACAGAGCAAAACTCTGTGTCAAAAAAAAAAAAAAAAAAAGAGTAAAAATGATGGTTTACCCCCTTTCTCTTCCCACACCCATTTTCATCCTGCACCTCAGTCATACAAGTGAACATCCCAGCTACATCCCCAGGAAACAGTCACCTCTTGACTGTACTTTTGGCTTACAGGTACATTCCACTCTCTCAGGGTCAGACCTATGGGAACACAAACAAGCCCCGAACATGGGTTCAGTGCCATTTGAGCAGGAACTCTTGAGGTCTTGGATAACCAGAGTGAAACCTAGAGAAGGATCTTGGGCTCCCAGGGGCCACATCCCCTTGTCCTGGCAGACTCTTTGCCCTGGAGGGGCTTAGAGAAGGGTGGAGCTTGGGGAAAGGGACCCTCTTACCCAGGTCTAAGGATAGGACTGTCCCTTCCACTTTATTTTTCCCCAAACACTCAACACCGTCGAACATACTATATATTTTAAGTATTTACTTTGTTTATTGTCTGAATGCCTCCAGTAAAATGTAAGTCCCATAGAAGGCAAGGATTTCTGTTTTGTTCACTATTATACTCTCTAAACTTAGTATCTGGCACATAGTAGGTGCTCAATCAATATTTGTTGAATAAATAATGGATTACCAGGTTTGAGGTTCCAGGATAGAAGATAGGCTAGAGGCACCTAGTCTTCATAAAACTCCTTTGTTCTGCAGAGCGCTTCTGGCAAGAAGAATGTTAGGTGCATGGTGCAAAACCCCATCTTTTCAAATCTGCAAACCCTAGAGAGGAATCTATGCATTCTGCTCATTTAGAAGATAGCAGCACCCAGGCACGGTGGCTCATGCTTGTAATCCCAGCACTTCGGGTGGCCGAGGCAGGCAGATTGCTTGAGTTCAGGAGTTCAAGACCAGCCTGGGCAGCACAGCTAAACCCCATCTCTAGAAAAAGTAAAAAATTAGCTACGCCTGAGGGTGCCATGTGTACCAATCAAGTGGAGAGTTCAGATGCATAAACCAATAGCCAAATATAAGACAATAAGTACCGAAATTAAAGTGTGGTCAAGGTATCATCGACAACCAGGTGAGAGGACAGTAAACGCTGCCTGTCTGAGTCACAGAGACCTCCAGGGCGGAGTGACATGGGCTGCACTTTGACGGATGGGTAGGAGCTTCCGCTTTCGAGAAGCTCAGTAACCGGCTGCAGAGGCGTAACTTCTCCACACTAAAAGGTGGTTAGTACACGTAGTCCATGTATGTAAAATACATATATGTATTTGCACAGAAAAATGTTTTTAAGTCTAAGTAATACATTAATTAAAAATTAATAATAGGGGCACAGCGCAGTGGCTCATGACGGGAATCCCAGCACTTTGGGAGGCCAAGGAAGGCAGATTGTTTGAGGCCAGCAGTTCAAGACCAGCCTGGCCAATATGGCCAGACCCTGTCTCTACAAGTATATATACATAAAATAGTTAAATCAGAATAGTGGAATAATTCAGGAAAGTGGGTGATACTTTTTCTTTACACTTTTTGTGTATAGAAGAGCACATATAATTAGAAAACATTAAGATAATAATACCCCACATCTACACATCCAATATGAACATTTGTGTGGATCTCAGGAGGGCTGGGGGAGATGCCTTCCAGGCACCACGGATGGTGTGGAGGTGGGAAACCGTGGAGATATTTCAGAGGGACAGTGAGCCCCTCTGGCTGAGTAAAAAGTAGATGGAGTCGGCCAGGCGCAGTGGCTCACACCTGTAATCCTAGCACTTTGGGAGGCCAAGGCGGGTGGATCGTGAGGTCAGGAGTTCGGGACCAGCCTGGCCAATATGGTGAAACCCCATCACTACTAAAAATACAAAAATTAGCCAGGCACGGTGGTGTGTGCCTGTAGTCCCAGTTACTTGGGAGGCTGAGGCAGAAGAATCTCTTGAACCCAGGAGAGAGGTTGCAGTGAGCCGAGATCGTGCCACTGCACTCCAGCCTGGGTAACAAAGCAAGACTCCATCTCAAAAATAAAAAAGTAGCTGGAGTTGAGGGTAGAAGAGGAGGCCAGTCTTGGTGGCTCACGACTGTAATCCCAGTACTTCAGGAGGCCAAAGCAGGAGGATCACTTGAGGCAGGAATTTGAGACCAGCCTGGACAATATAGTGAGACCTTCGTCTCTGCAAAAATTCAAAACTTGGCTGGGCAGGTGGCACTGGCTTGTCCCAGCTTCGCCAGAGGTTGAGGTGGATCACTTGAGCTCAGGAGTTCGAGGTTGCAGTGAGTTATAATCGCCCCACTGCACTCCAGCCTGGGTGACAGAGTGAGACTTGTCTCTAAAAAAAATAAATAAATAAAACTGGAAGAGGAGACTAAGGCCCAACTGCGGGGCCGTAAATTTCAGGCAAAGGCTTTTGGCCTCTGACCTACCTCCCTGGCATGGCTTGCAGCAAGAAGGTTTAGCTTTCAACCGGGGATGTCTCTCTGCACCCCGTTTCCCAGATGGCAAGAAGCTCAGACGTGGCCGAGCTGAGCCTGGATCCCATCTCTGGTGACTGCAAGGCCTGGGTAGAAGGGCAGGGCAGGGGCAGCGGAGATGGAGGTGCAGGTGCCCCATCTGCCCGCAGATGCCCTCCAGTCACAGACAGGAAGGTCCCGAGACATACCTCACGGGAGAGCTTCCCAGTCCCGCAGACACAGCCCCGGCCACAGACCCTACTCGCGGAGGGAACGCTTGCGTCACAACAGAAGCCACAGAGGCGGGCCTCAGGATGCTCCAACAGGCGTGTGTGTCGCCATCTGTCCTCGTGGGAAGGCTCCTCCCCGCCGGGATGGTGTCCACCGGATCGCGACCAAAGCGGGGCCCTCCCCACTCTCTCCGCCTCCCCGCTTCCTTGGAATGAGGTGGCCGCTGTTTCCCAGCTGCCCGCTTGGTGGCGCTGCCAGCATTAATCGAGGGCGGCGCCGGGCCCCGCAGCCGCTGGAGCTCGGTGGAGAAACGCTCCGTGGTGACTTACAGTGGCCCAGAGGCCTGCATCACTTAAGCCCTGCATTAGACTCAGATCCAGGCCTGGAGAGGCCTGTCAAACCCACATAAGGTAGATAGGACAGAAATGGTGGCTGTCCATCATTCAAGGACATGTGGTCCCTTGAGGTTATGAGATCCACTCAAGTTTCCTTGGCTCAAATATCCAGCAAGCCACGCGGGGCAATCTAAAGAGACTCATCTCGACAAAACATGAAAAAAATTAGCCAGGCATGGTAGCAGGCATATGTAGTCCTAGCTACTCCCGAGGCTCAGGTGGGAGGATGGCTTCAGCATGGGAGAAAGAGGTTGCAAAAAGGCATGACCACAGCACTGCTTTCAAGCCTGGGCGACAAAGAGAGACCCTGTCTCAAACAAACAAACAAAAAGTCTAGTAAACAGAATTGCTTCCCTTTTTGTTGTTTGTTTTCTGAACAGTGCATATTTGTGCAGTAAACAAAAAGGCAGGGCTCAGGGGGATCAACAGGGTATTGGTGGGTCCAAACTGTCACCAACAGGACTCCAGTAGAGAAAAAAAGCAGACAGCCTTGAACTTTGATTTCAGAGCTGGGAAATTGTGGGAGGTCGCTACTATAAAATGCAGGAGACAGCGCTGGGAATGGCTCAACGTGGGTCTCTGGACTGAGGAGAGAGTCAAGGCCATGAACTGAGCCTGACTCTTCCTCCCAGCCTCTCAGGACCTGGCTCAGTTTAACTGTGAAGTGGGAACACTGGCCAGTGCCCTGCTCAGCTGGGAGGGAAGAAGTCTGGTAGGCAGAAAAGACTTTTAAAATTATTACATGCTCAATGAAGATAAAGAATTATTAATATCACCATCTTAATCATCATTATTGGAAAAAGACATCTCATCCAGTGCCCAGGAACAGCAGAGCAAAGACCATGAAGCACACACTCCTGGCTGCTCCTACTTTACATGGACATTAACATAGATGGGATTCAACTTTGGTGTTTTCACTCTGCAGCCAAATTTCCTGGTAATTTATAAGTCATCAGCTTGAGGGATACTCAACCTGGAGCCATTTGGGTACTGGGGCCAAAGGATTTCTGGGGGAACCCAAACTCAGTGACCTCCCCCATCACAAGGGCCCCATTTCAGAGGTTATGATGCCATAACCTTGACCTTGCCTCTCCCTCTTCTCTACCCTCTCCACCTCTGCCATATGACTTTGTTTGCTGCATTTGCCCCAGGTCGTCACAATTGCCCTCCACCTCCACCAACAGATTTCTAGCCACAATGGCGGCAGCAAGCTGCAGAAGTCAGGAGCAAAACTGGACAGGGACCACTGAATAACTGTCTTGTTTATAACACCCTTTATATTTCTCATTTCACTCATGTAGAAGTAGACAAATGGCCCTATTTCAAAAAAGGCTTGAACAAACATCTCACAAAAGATGTATGAATGGTTACTGAGCACACGAAAAGATGCTCAATGTCACTAATCATCAGGGAAATGCAAATTAAAGCTACAATGAGATCCTACCGCACACTCACGAGAGCAGTTACATTAAAAAGACTGACCACACTGATTGTCGCTGAGAATGTGGAACAACTGGAACTCTCATCGCTGCTGGTGGAAGTATAAAGTAGTACAACCACTTCAACACAGTTTGATCATTTCTTTAAAAGTTAAGCATGTAGCTACATATGATCCAGTGGTTTCACTTTTAGATATTTACCCAAGAGAAATGAAAACACAAGAGTTGCAGTAGAATGGCCACTGTGATTTTCCTTATAATGGCCAAGAAATGGAAACTCAAACTTCTGTCAACAGGTAAGGAGATAAACAAATTGAAGTCTATCTATTTGATGGAATACTACTCAACAATGAAAAAGAATGAAGTGTTGATACAGGCCCCTGTATAAAGGAATCTCCAAATAAGAACCCAGACCCCCTGGGAAAAAAAAAAGCATACTATGTGATCTCATTGATATATAATTCTAGAAAATGCAAATGAATCCCAAGTGAGAGCAGAATCAGTGGTTGCCTAGAGATAGAGGTGGAAGGAGCAGGAGGGAGGGATGATAAATGGCCACCAGAAAATTCTGGGAGGTGATGAGTGTTTTCATTGTCTTGGTTGTAGGGATGGCTCAGAATGTATATTCATGAGTGTAATGTTATTGGCAGGGCATGGTAGCTCATGCCTTTAATCCCAACACTCTGGGGGGCTAAGGCAGGAGGACCACTTGAGGCCAGCCTGGGCAACACAGCAAAACCCCACCTCTACAAAAAAATAAAAAATTATCCAGGTATGGTGGTGTGTACTTCTACTCCCAGCTACTCAGGAGGGTGAAATAGGAGGATCACTTGAGTCAAAGAGTTAAAAGTTGGAGTGTGCCATGATCACGCCATCGCTCTTCAGCATGGGCGACACAGCAAAACCCTGTCTCCAAAACAAAACAAAACTTATCAAAGTGTACACTTTAAACACATGCAGTTTGCTGTACATCAGTTATACCTCATGAAAGCCGTTAGTATTTTTTTAATTTTTAAAAAAGACAAACCACTGATACTCGTAACAGATGGATGATTGTCAAAATCATTCTGTTGAATGAAAGAAGCCAGACATGAAAGATAATGTTCTGTGTGGTTCCATTTATTCAAAATGCCTAGAAATGAAAACTAATGGGGGCCAGGCATGGTGGCTCATGCCTATAATCCCAGCACTGTGGGAGGCCGAGGCAGGCAGATCTCCTGAGGTCAGGTGTTCAAGACAAGCTTGGTCAACATGGGGAAACTGCATCTTTACTTAAAAAAAAAAAAATATATATATATATATATATATATATATATATATAAATTAGCTGGGCTTGCTGGCACATGCCTTTAGTCCCAGCTACTCAGGAGGCTGAGACAGGAGAATCACTTGAACCTGGGAGGCGGAGGTTGTAGTGAGCCAAGATCGTGCTACTGCACTACAGCCTGGGTGACAGAGCAAGACTCCATGTCAAAAAAAAAAAGAAAAGAAAATTAAGGGGAACAGACAATATCAGTGGCTGCCTGGGGCAAACGTGGGCATAGAGACAGATTGCATATAGTTGTTTAAAAATACATCAGAGGCTTCAGGAGGCTGAGGCAGGCAGATCACTTGAACCCAGGAGTTCAAGACCAGCCTGGGCAACACGGTGAGACATCATCTCTACAAAAAAAAAATACAAAAATTAGCAGGGCATGGTGGCATGCACCTGTAGTCCCAGCTACACAGGAGGCTGAGGCGGACGGACCACCTGAGCCCAGGAAGTCGAGCTGTGATTATGCCATTGCATTCCAGCCTGGGCGACAGAGTGAGACCCTGTCTCAAAAAAAATTAATAATAAAAATACATCAGAGCAGCCGGGCACAGTAGCTCATGCCTGTAATCCCAGCACTCTGGGAGGCCAAGGTGGGCAGATCACTTGAGGTCAGGAGATCAAGACCAGCCTGGACAAAATGGTGAAACCCCACCTGTAATCCCAGCTACTCAGGAGGCTGAGGTAGGAGAAACGTTTGAACCCGGGAGGAGGAGGTTACAGTGAGCTGAGATTGTGCCACTGCACTCCAGCTTGGGCAACAAGAGCGCAACTCCGTCTCAAAAAAAAAAAAAAAAAAGAAAATGCTGTTCCTGTATTGACTGTTTTTCAGCAGCCAACACCGACATCCACGTTCGCTGGCAAGATGAGCAGTGTTGTACTTGGAGCTCAAGACAGCTCCGGCAATCCCTGCTCCTGGGAGTCATACCCCTGTGCTTCCTCTCTGGACCTTGGTCCTGCCCAGCGACCTCAACTTCTGCTGATCCTCCTGTACTGCACAGGGCCGGACTGTGTAGCCACTGGGATATTGCAGAAATGACCGTGTGGCATCCAAGACAAGGTCCTAAAAGACACTGCAGCTTTTGCCTTGCTCTCTTTTGTGTCACTCGCTCAGGGAGAAGCCAGCACCACGTGGAGAAGGTGCTCAAGCAGCTCAAATGAGGAGAAACGGAGGCCTCCTGGCAAGAGCCAGCACCAACTTGCTGGCCATGCAAGTGAGCCACCTCAGAAACAGAAGCAGCAGCCTCATCAAGCCTTCAGATGACAGCAGCCCCCAGCAGACCCCTTACAGAGATTCCATGAGAGACCCTAGGTCAGAACAGCCCAGCTACACCACTCCCAGATCCTGAATCACAGAAACCATGAGATCATAAATGACTGTTGTCTTAAACCACTAAGTTTGGAAGTAAACTGCTTCTCAGCAAAAGATAACTGGGATAAGCAGTGATGGGCAAAAGCACAAACCATGAGATAGCAGAGATGTGTTTCAGTTCCTGTGCTTCCACTTACTGCTGTGCCTGTCTGAGCCTCAGTGAACTCACCTAAAAAAGACAATAGTGTGAAAATACTACTGGCTTCACAAGTGTGTTAAAGGATCAAACATATATAAAGCGAACAGCGCAGTGTTAGGCCCAGAAAGGTAATAAATGCTGTTTCTCTTCTTCAACCACGCTTCCCACCCCACCATTCTCCCACTCAGTGGCAGATTTTCTCATCTGTAAAATGGACTTGAAACACCTCCCATGAGATTGCTGTGGGGATCAAATCAAAGTCTGTCTTTGGAGAGGCTTTGTAAATCCTAAAGTACTCACCAAAGGCTCTTACTAGCACGTAAGGACCTGTCTCAGGAGAATCTGCCTAGCATGACTTCCTTTGTTGAAGGTTACAATCAAGGGCTCCCCCAAAAATCTATTTTAGGTTGGAGTCACGTAGACATGAATGGAAAGTGGCAGGAAGACTGTTCCCCACTGCTGACACCAGGCCCACAAACCAGCTATTGGCAAAGAGTTGCAGTTTTGAAAAGCTCAAACTCCAAAGTAGATACGGGCATGTGATTCCGTGGTCAGGAGACACTGAGGTCACTGTGCAGGCCAAAGATTCAGAGAGGAAGCAAAACTACAGAAATGAAAGCTCCTTTCTAAAGACTTGTGAAGAAACAAGTGGAGTTTCGCTGTGTTGTCAAGTTTGTGCCCTCTCTTTGCCTGTGCGTGGACAGGTCTGACATCCATGGTTCGGCAGCTCCCCCCGCCCCCCTGCACCCTGCCCTCAAGTCCTTCTGGGGAGGGAACTGGCCTGTGGGGGCGTCCACTCAAGGTAAGCAAACAACCCTCTTAAATCATGCCCTGACAGCAGGCCAAGAACCACGCAGATAGGGGGACAGAAAGAGAAAGAAAAACAACCTGGTCGAATGACCTGGTCAAATTATGCCTGAAAGTCCCTGTGAAAGTTTTGCTCTCTGAAATTTTGCCTCAAGATCTGGATTTCTTGAAAGATGGCTGCATCTGGGCCAGCTGAGCGGAGGTTGCAGTGAGCCCCGGTGTGGCTGAGGAAGACTGGAGAGGCACTGGCTGCTGGGAGAAGGGGAGTATAATGCTAAGATGCAAAATCATCAACCAGATGATACTATACTATCAAGGAAAATGTAGCAACATTCAGTATCATAACCAGAAAAATTAACCAACTTCCACAAGCAGAAAGGGATCTGTGTGAGCATGGGATCGACATATATTGGACTGAACACTGCCCTTCATGGCTTCATACCAATGTCAGTGAGCCCCCCTACCCTTTTTTTTTTTTTTTTTTGAGACAAAGTTTCACTCTTTCGCCCAGGCTGGAATGCAATGGCGCATTCTCGGCTCACTGCAACCTCCGCCTCCGTGTTCAAGCAATTCTGCCTCAGCCTCCTGACTAGCTGGGATTACAGGCACCCACCACCATAATCGGCTAATTTTTTTTTTTTTTTTTGAGATGGAGTCTCGCTCTGTCACCCAGGCTGGAGTGTAGTGGCGCAATCTCGACTCACTGCAACCTCCGCCTCCCAGGTTCAAGCAATTCTCCTGCCTCAGCCTCCTGAGTAGCTGGGATTACAGGTGCCTGCCACCATGTCCATATAATTTTTGTATTTTTAGTAGAGATGGGGTTTCACCATGTTGGTCAGGCTGGTCTCGAACCCCTGACCTTGTGATCCACCTCGGCCTCCGAAAGCGCTGGGATTACAGGTGTGAGCCACCGTGCCCGGCCATGATCAGCTAATTTTTGTTTATTAGTAGAGACGGGGTTTCACCATATTGGCCAGGCTGGTCTTGAACTCCTGACCTCAGGTGATCCACACGCCTCGGCCTCCCAAAGTGCTGGGATTACAGGCGTGAGCCACCGTGCCCAGCCAGTGATCCCCCTTTGGACAGCATGCATCTCACAAGGGGTTTGTGAGTTTATTTTTGCAGGCAGGTGATTTGAATTTTGAAACCTGTACCATCAAACGGCATGCATTGGCTGGCCTTCTTTTGGGTGGTCTGTACCGGTTTTATAGGCTATACCTATGAATGGTGGCCTAGCAGTCAGGCATGACTCAACCCTGCTACCTGGGAAAGAAAACAGTTTACTGGATTAGAATGTCTATGCTCATCTCCAGAAATATGTTATTTCCCATTTTGCTTCAGACTGTGTTTGCAGTAAACATTGCAAACACAATATAGAAAATATAAACCACTTATAAAGATATAGAAAATATAAAGATATAGAAAATATAAACCACTTATAAAGATATAGACCACTTATAAAAACATAAGCCACTTATAAAGATATAGAAAATATAAACCACTTATAAAGGCCCTTCAGTTACCTGAAGCTGGCCTAGAAATTCACTGATTTTAAGGAAATATGTACACAAAAATAAAATGGTTCCCCCAAAAATGTTAATCTAAATTTCTTTTATTCAATTTTCCTATCATATTTTTCCACAGAAGTGAAATAATCAGCACATTAAAATTTTTTGTGTGCTTCTGCGAGCAGAGCTTTTAAATTTTTTAAATTTTAATTTAAAAATGTTTTTCTTTAAAAATTCTTGTCCAAAGTTGATGCAAAAAAATTTTTTAAATAGAGATGGAGGCAGGTCATGGTGGCTTATGTCTGTAATCCCAGCACTCTGGGAGTTCGAGACCAGCCTGGGCAACATGGTGAGACACTGTCTCTACAAAAAATAAAAATTAAATAGAAGTGGAGCAAGATGGCCAAATAGAAGCCCCCACTGATCATACTCCATACAGGAACACCAAATTTAACAACTATCCACACACAAAATTACCTCCATAAGAACCAAAAATCAGGAGAGTAATGACAGTACTTGGTTTTAACTTCATATCGCTGAAAGAGTCACTGAAGAGTGTGGGAAAGACAATCTTAAATTGGCGATCACCTCCCCCGACCCCTCAACATCCCCTGGCAGTGGCTGGCTGCGTGACATGAAGAGAGAATCTGTGTGCTTGGGAGAAGGAGAGCACAGCAATCGCGGGAACTTGAATTGGAATTCAGAGCTACTGACATAGGGCAGAACTCAGCCAGTGGCCCTGGAGGGAGCATGTAGACCAGTCCTAGCCAGAAGGATAGATTCCAACCCATCCCAGAGGTTGGAACTTGAGTTTTGGCAAGCCTCACCACCATGGGCTAAAGTGCAGTGGGGCTCTAAATAAACTTGAAAGATGTTTAGGCCACAAGGACTGCAAATCCTAGGCAAGTCCTGGTGCTGTGGTGGGCTCAGAGCCAGTGGACATTGAGGGGCACATGAGCTAATAAGACACCACCCAGGGTGCCTAAGGGAGTGCTTGCAGCACCCCTCCCACAATCCCAGGCAGCACAGCTCACAGCTCCAAAACAGACCCCTTCCTGATGCATAGGAGAAGAGAAGGAAAACTAAAGAGGACTTTGTCTTGCAACTTGGATACCAGCTCAGCCACAGTAGGATAGGACACTAGTCACAGTCTTGAGGGCTCCATTCCAGGCCCTATCTCCTGGATGACATTTCTAGACACACCCTGGGCCAGAAGGGAACCCACTGACCTGGAGAGAAGAGCTCAGTCCTGGAAGAATTAATCACTTGCTGACTAAAGAGCCCTTGGACCCTGAATAATCAGCAGCAGTAACCAAGTAGTACAGGCAGTTGGCCTTGAGTGAGACTCTGAGACGTGCTGGCTTCAGGTGTGACCAGAAGCACATTCACAGTTCTGGTGGCTACGAGGAGAGAGTCCTTCTGCTTGAGAAAGAGAGAGGGAAGAGGAAAGAGCACTTTGTGATGAGCTTAGGTGCCAGCTCAGCCGCAGTGAGGAAGAGCACCAAAAGGGCCCTTAAGGCCCTCGATTCCAGGCTTGATCCAGCAGAAGAAAGAATGAGTGAGCTTGAAGATAGACTACTTGAAAATACACAGTCAGAGAAGACAAAAAAAAGAGAGAATAAAAAACAACAAAGCATGCCTATAAGACCTAGAAATTAGCCTCAAAAGGGCAAATCCAAGTAATTGTTCTTAAAGAGAAAATAGAGAGAGATTGGGTAGAAAGTTTATTCAATAAAATAATAACAGAGAACTTCCCAAACCTAGAGAAAGGTATCAATTTTAAAGTACAAGAAGGTTATTGAACACCAATCAGATTTAACCCAAAGAAGACTACCTCAAGGTATTTAATAATCAAACTCCCAAAGATCAAGGATAAAGAAAGGATCCTAAAATCAGCAAGAGAAAAGAAACAAATGACATCCAATGGAGCTCCAATCCATCTGGCAACAGACTTTTCAGTGGAAAGGCCAGGAGAGAATAGTATGACATATTTAAAGTGCTGAGGAAAGAAACTTTTACCTAGAATAGTTTATCTAGCAAAAATATCCTTCCAACATGAAGGAGAAAAACTTCCCTGACAAACAAATGCTGCGGGATTTCATCGACTCTAGACCTGTCCTCCAAGAAATGCTAAGGGCCGGGGTCGTGGCTCATGCCTGTAATTCCAGCACTTTAGGAGACTGAGGCAAGCGGGTCACTTGAGGCTAGGAGTTCAAGATCAGCCCGGTCAACGTGGCGAAACACCATCTCTACTAAAAATATAAAAATTAGTCGAGCGTGTTGGCGTACGTCTGTAATCCTGGGTACTCGGGAGACTGGAACATGAGAATCACTTGAACCCGGAAAATGGAGGTTGCAGTGAGTCAAGATTGTGCCACTGCACTGCATCCTGGGTGACAGAGTGAGACTCCATCTCACACACAAAAAAAAAAAAAAAAAAAAAAGCTAAAGGAAGTTCTTCAATCTGAAAGAAAAGGACATCAATGAATAATAGGAAATCATATGAAGGTGCAAAACTCACTGGTAAGTACACAGAAAAACAGAAAATATTATAACACCATAATTGTCGTGTGTAAACTACTCATGTCTTAAGGAAGAAGACTAAAAGATGAACCAATCAAAAATAATCACTACCATGACTTTTCAACTCATAGACAGTACAATAAGTTATCAATAGAAACAGTGGGCCAGATGTGGTGGCTCATTACTGTAATCCCAGTACTTTGGGAGGGGGAGGCAGGTGGATCACCTGAGGTCAGGTGTTCAAGACCAACCTGGCCAACATGGTGAAACCCTGTCTCTACTAAAAATACAAAAATTAGCCAGGCATGATAATTTAAAAATTAGCACACACCTTAATCCCAGCTACTAGAGAGGCTGAGCCAGGAGAATTGCTTGAACCTGGGGGACAGAGGTTGCAGTGAGCTAAGATAGTGCCACTGCACTCCAGCCTAGGTGACAGAGTGAGAGTCTGTCTCAAAAAAAATAAATAAATAAGTTAATACGTGGGGAGAGCAAGTTAAAGTGTAGAATTTTTATTAGTTTTCTTTTTGCTTGTTTGGTAGTTTGGTTTTTGTTTATGCAATCAATGCTGTCATCAATTTAAAATAATTGTTTACAAGATATTTGCAACCCTTACAGTAACCTCAAACCTAAAAACATACAACAAATACACAAAAATAAAAAGAAAGAAAGTGGCCAGGCGTGGTGGCTCATGCCTGTAATCCCAGCACTTTGGGAGGCCAAGGTGGGTGGATCACCTGAAGTCAGAAGTTTGAGACCAGCCTGGCTAACATGGCAAAACTCCGTCTCTACTAAAAATACAAAAATTAGCCTGGTGCGGTGGCGTGTCCCCTCCTGTGGTCCCAGCTACTTGGGAGGCTGAGGGAGGAGAATCACCTGAACCTGGGAGGCAAAGGTTGCAGTGAGCCAAGGTTGCTCCACTGCACTCCACAGCCTGGGCGACAGAGCAAGAGTTCGTCTCAAAAAAGAAAAAAGAGAGAAAAGCAAACAAAGGCTGGGCGCGGTGGCTCATGCCTGTAATCCCAGCACTTTGGGAGGCCGAGGAGGGCTGATCACGAGGTCAGGAATTTGAGACCAGTATGGCCAACATAGTGAAACCCCATTTCTACTAAAACTACAAAAAAAAAAAAAATTAGCCGAGTGTGGTAGTGTGCGCCTATAACCACAGCTACTCGAGAGGATGAGGCAGGAGAATTGCATGAACCCAGGAGGTGGAGGTTGCAGTGAACTGAGATCTCGCCATTGCACTCCAGTCTAGGCAACAGTGTGAGACTCTGTCTCAAAAGAAAATAAAATACAGAGGAGAGGAGAGGAGGGGAGGGGAGGAGAGGAGAGGGGAGGGGAGGGGATCTTGGAGAGCTATCCAAACTTCTCATTTCATCAGGAAGGAATCTGAGGGTTTAGTAACAAGGGGCCTCATCCCAGATGACTCAGATTTACTGGTCACTTCCTTTTCTGTTCAGGGAATCTGCCTCAGGCCAATACTAATTGGACCCCAGAGAGTCTTTATTCTACCATCTCAAAAACCTTGTTTAGGATTGTCTTAGCTATTTACTGCTGAGTGACAAAGGAGCATAAATTTGGCACCTAAAACAACACACATCGGCAGGGTGAAGTGGCTTACACTTGTAATCCCAATACTTTGGGAGGCTGAGGTATGAGGATCACTTGAGCCCAGCAGTTTGAGACCAGCCTCAGCAACATAGTGAGATACCATCTCTACCAAAAAATAAAAGTTGTTAAATTAGCTGGTCATGGTGATGTGTGCCTGCCATCCTAGCTACTCAGAAGGCTAAGGCAGGAGGATCACTTGAGCCCAGGAGTTCAAGGATGCAGTGAGCTATGATCATGCCACTGCATTCCAGCCTGGGTGACAAAGCAAGATTCTGGCTCACACACACACACACACACACACACACACACACACACACACACGTTTTCTCACAGTTTCTGTAGGTCAGGAATCTGGACACAGCTCAGCTGGTTCCTCCATTTTATGGTCTCTCACAAGACCACACTCAAGGTGTCAGGCAAGGTTGAGTCTTATCGAAAGGCCCAACTGGGGAGAATCTGCTTCCAAGCTCACTTTTTGGTCGTTGACATGACTCAATTGCTTTTAGGCAGTTGAACAAAGGGCCTTGATTCCTAGGTGTTTTTTCCCAGAAGGCACCCTGTGTTTCTTGCCTTGTGGGCCTCCCCAATCAAGCAACTTGCTTTATGAAAGCTTATAAAGGAGAGAGTCTGCCACCAAGACACAAGTCGTCATCTTATATTTACAGAGGTGACATCCTATCATCTTTGCTCTTCTCTGTTTGTTAAAACCAAATCGAAGGTCCTGCCTGCACACAATTGGGGACATTACACAAGGGTGAGAACACCAGGAGTCAGGGACCACAGGGAGCCATCTCAGAGTTCACTCAACACAAAGATATTAATCTTCATTAAGCTCTTTCTGCCCCAGAAAGCAGCCCAGCTTTTGTGGATGTTGTGAGGCCTGTCTCCCAGAAGGGCATTTATTAACCAAACAGTATACAAGATGGTATTAGTCCATTTTTATGCTGCTGATAAAGACATATCAGAGACTGGGCAATTTACAAAAGAAAGAGGTTTATTGGACTTAAAGTTCCACATGGCTGGAGAGGCCTCACAATCATGGTGGAATGTGAAAGTCACATCTCACATGGGGGCAAACAAGCGAAGAGAGAATTTGTGCAGGGAAACTCCCATTTCTAAAGCCACCAGACTTCATGAGACTCATTCACCATCTCAAGAACAGTGCAGGACAGACCTGCCCCCATTATTCAATCACTGCCCACCAGGTTCCTCCCACGACACATGGGAATTCTTGCAGTTACAATTCAAGATGAGATTTGGGTGGAGACACAGCCAAACCATGTGCAGTGGCACAATCGGCCCACTGCAACCTCTGCCATCCAGGTTCAAGCAATTCTCATGCCTCAGCCTCCTGAGTAGCTGGGATTACAGGCATGTGCCAGCACACCTGGCTGATTTTTGTATTTTTAGTAGAGACAAGGTTTCACCATGTTGGCCAGGCTGGTCTTGAACTCCTGACCTCAAGTGATCTGCCCACCTCAGCCTCCCAACATGCTGATGCCTGGCCCGATTTCTTCTTTTTCAATATAATGTGGAATTATCTGATATCTGGATCCAATTTAGTTGTTTATGGAACTGAAACTTCCATTTATTTTGTGGATTATTTCCAAAAACTGATTGGGACTTTGTGTCCGATTTCATTCGTTTCTGTGTGTCATCAAAAGCTGTATTTGTTATGGAGATTAATAATATGTTCTAATTCCCCAGAACTTAGCCATGTCTAACCCTGATATGGACAAGGTTCCATCACCTTTTATAAGACCTTTACAGTAAGTCTTCAATAAATATTTGTTGAATGAATGAGTAAATGACTGAATGGATGGGTGAATGGACACTTTCGCTGGCTTGGGTTTGGGCAGACAGTAGGAAGTGGGGGCCACTGTTTCACCAAAGGAATCACGCTGGAGAAAATCCCTGCATAGCATTGAGTTGTGCAACTATAAATCTATTCCCATAAATTCCAATCAATCCTGTAAACTTCAGAGCAAAAATGCCAGGCTGTGTTAGTTTGCTCAGGCTTCCGTAACAAAATACCACAGGCTGGGCAACTTAACAATAGGCGTTCGTTTTCTCACAGTTTTGGAGGTTAGAAGTCTGAGATCAAGGTGTTGGCATGGCTGGTTTCTCCTCAGGCTATGCCTTCTCCGTGTCCCCACATGTTGTTGGGTTTTTTTTTTTTTCTGTGTATGTGCAGCCTTCATGTCTCTCCCTCCTCCTATAAGGACACCAATCAGATTGAATTAGAGCCCACCCTAACAGCCTCGTTTAACTTAACTACCTCTTTAAAGACCGTGTCTCCAAAGACTGGGTGTGGTGGCTCACAATGTAATCCCAGCACTTTGGGAGGTGGGAGCGAAAAGATTGCTGGAGCCCAGGAGTTTGAGACCAGCAGGGCAACATAGTGAGGCTCTGTCTCTACAAACTGTTTAAAAAAACAGCTGGGTGTGGTGGCGCATGCCTGTAGTCCCAGCTACTCAGGAGGCTGAGGCAGGAGGATCGCTTCAGCCAGGTAGAAGAGGCTACAGTGAGCTATGATCATGCCACTGCACTCCAGCCTGGGCAACACAGCAAGATCCTGTCTCTAAAACAAAACAAAAATCAAAACCTTATCTCCAAATATAGTCACATTCTAAGGTAGTTGGGCTTAGGACGTCACTGTGTGACTTTGAGGGAAGTCACTATTTAGACCATACCACAGACCAGGCCTCGTTTTTGCAGGCCTTCCTGTCCTTGCCTCTCACCATCAGACCCTGTCAGTCCCCAAGTCAGTTGACTGAGGAGCCTTCTATCAGCAGCCCCAGACCATTCTTATGGGGGTGTGAGGGGACAGTGCAGGTCCCTAGAGGATATGTCCATCTTCTTTACTCTGGGGATCAGCCCAGAGTCTGGGGGCCACAGTGGACCCCTCTGAACAGCTGCTCCCCAACCCACACACTCCCACTCCCTTCAATGGGGCACCTCCCTACACGCCCGGCCCTCCTGCACTGCTCCTCAATTCCCATCCCTAACCTTGTCTCCTCACACAACTCCAAACCCTGAACTGCCTCCCAATGGCCCTCAGATTTAGCAGTGGCTGTAGACAGATTCGTGCAGGCACAAACCCTGATAGTAGGAAGCTCCCGAGGTGCCACTCCGCCCGAGCCCACGAGCATAGCGCTCACCCTTCCGGCGGTCCTCCCTCCCTCGTTGCTGTTCCTCCTCTTCCCCTTCCTGATCCCTCCTTGGATGGCTGACCTTTCAGCTTAAAGTCTCTGGCTCACTCCTGGGACCTGTGGAGAACGTTTTGGTTTGGTTTGGTTTTGGCTGTTCTCGCTACGCTGGTGAACTCTCAGTCCCGTGGAACTGATGCCATCTGTGCACTGATTGATTGCAAATCCATGTCCCCAGCTTGGCTCTCTGTGAACTCCAGACTCAGCTCTGTTCAGTGTCTTGGCTCGAATGTTTAATAAGGCATCTCATTCTTGACATGCCCCAAACTGAGCTCCTGCTCTCCCCCATAAAACTTCCTCCTCTGAAGTCTTCCCCACCCACGTTTATAGCATTCCCATTGTTGCACAACCATCTCCACCATCCATCTCCAGAACTTTCTCATCCCCCAGCTGAAACGCTACACCTATTAAACACTAGCTCCCCCTTCCCCAGCTCTTGACAGCCCCCATTCTACTTCCTGGGCCTGGGCTTTTACTTTGATGGTGTGGGCGCGATTGGTGGCCTTTGAGCAGAGGAGTGTATGATTTGACTTGGGTTTTAAAGAAGCCCTCGGGCGCTGCGTTGAGACTGACATGCCAGGCGTGAGGGAGAAAGCAGGACGCAGGGGGTCATTAGGAGGAGCCCAGAGGCTCAGCCAAAAAAAAAAAAAAAAGAAGCTGGGCGCATTGGGTCATGCCTGTAATCCCAGCACTTTGGGAGGCTGAGGCTGGTGGATCACGAGATCAGGAGATCGAGACCATCCTGGCTAACACGGTGAAACCCCATTTCTACGAAAAGTACAAAAAATTAGCCGGGTGTGGTTGCGGGCGCCTGTAGTCCCAGCTACTCGGGAGGCTGAGGCAGGAGAATGACGTGAACCCGGGAGGTGGAGCTTCCGGTGAGCCAAGATCACGCCACTGCACTCCAGCCTGGGCGACAGAGCGAGACTCCGTCTCAAAAAAAAAAAAACAACTTGGAATCATCCTGCTTCCTCTTTTTCTGTCTTTTTCTCTCATAGCCCACACCCAACCCATGAGGAAATCTCTGCCTTCAGAATATTCTCACTTCTCACACCTCCCTGCAAGCCCCCTGCTCCAAGTCACCCTCTCCCCTAGCCTGGATTCCTGTTTTGTCTTTCATTTGAGCCAACATTTAAAAAGCAGGAAGCTTCATCCAAAAATACGGATTTCTGCTTCTAGCGAATAAAGAAGCAGCCATGGCAACATTCTGCTATCATCCTCTCTTGGCAGGAATCTGCTAGAACTAAGTAGAAGCTACCGTCTTTATTTAAGGCTTACACGTTCCACTTTTCCTCCTCCGTCCTTTAGTTTCTCCGCAACATTGAGGCCACGTGTGAATTACCACTTGTCATTGTCACTGAACTTTTTCTTTTAGAAAAAAGAGAAATAGGGATAGGCGCTTTGAGGGTTCAAGGTGATAGGATCACTTGATACCAGGAGGTCAAGACCAGCCTGGGCAACATAGGGAGCCCCTGTCTCTACAAAATAATAATAACTAATTAATTAATTAATTTAGCTAGGTGTGGTGACACACACCTGTGGTCCCAGCTACTTGGGAGGCTGAGGCAGGAGGATTGCTTGAGCCTAGGAGTTTGAGGCTGCAGTGAACCATGATTGTGCCACTGCACTCCAACCTGAGCAACAGAGTGAGACCTTGTCTCAAAAAAATAAAAAATAAAAATGCTGGATGCGGCAGCTCACACCTGTAACCTCAGCATTTTTGGGAGGCTGAGGTGGGAGGATCACGTGAGTCCAGAAGTTTAAGACCAGCCTAGGCAACATAGCAAGACCCCATCTCTTAAAAAAAAAGAATTAGCTGGGATCTTCAGTTGTCACATAGGTGGAAAAAAAAAGAAAAAAATTAAAATAAAAAATTAGGTAGGCGTGGTGGTGCATGCTTGTGGTTCCAGCTACTTAGGAGGCTGAGGTGGGAGAATCAGTTGAGCCCGGGAGATTGAGGCTGCAGCGAGCCGTGATTGCACCACTGCACTCCAGCGTGGATGACACAGCAAGATCCTTTCTCGAAACAACAGCAACAAAAACCCTGAATTGCCAACCCGGGGAGCCTCTGATGGACTCCGCCCTGACCAGGACTGTAATGAGCTGTGGACGGGGCTCATGGGCTATTGCGTTCCATAGTGCAATTCACCTCACCATTTATGTGAGTGGCACCCCCTAAGGTTATGCCATGGGCAGTCACACAGCCATCCAGTGCATCCTGGAGACAGAGGAAAAGTCAAGTGTGGTCTGGGCCCAGGACCAGGACAGCAGGGTGGGCAGGCATGGCCAACAGAAGGAGCCCTCTAAGCTTCACTGGGAAAATGAACAGAAGGGAGGAAGGAAGGCATGGGGCTGGTTGTGGGGTCAGACTCTGCTTCCGTGACCCTCAAAGCAGAGATGGCAAAGCAAACCTCCAGGGCCTCCAAAGGCCTCACGAGTCCTGGCTGTGGAGCGGGGGCTTGCAGGAGGCTGCAGGCTCAGGAGCACCCAGGACATCAGTGGCCTCTGCAGACCAGCCTCGTCTGAATGCTTCCATCACAGTAACGCAGAAGTTTCTGGACACCAAGAGACAGAGGCCAGGCAACATGTTTTCACAGTCTCATTAGTCCCTGTCCAAAGTAGTGCCATGCAATATGGGGCAGTCCCACACCGAAGGGGCCTCTTCACTGCCCGCCTGTCCAGGGTCCTTACCGCCATTGACGGGTCACCTGGACCCTGCAGCCACACTCTGGAAGAGCCTCTGCAGAGAGGCTTCAAGCCCCTTTTCTTTCTTCCCCTGCTGCAGAGAAGGGGCTCACGAAGGCATCCTGTCAAGCTTCTCTTGCCTTACTTAGAATAATGACGGGCTAGGTTTTTGTTTTTCAACTGTCAAATCAAAACAGAAAAAAAGCAAATGTAGATTGTAGACCCAGGGGACTTTTGCAAGGGATCCTTCTGGCATGAAACTTTCTCCTTTCTCTGCCTGGCATATTTTCTGGTAAAGGGGAACACACATCTTGGGGAGGTATCTCGAGAGTCGATAATAGTTATGGTTCAGTTCCGTCTGCTTCCCAGAGAATTCTAACTGTATTGCATAGTGAGTGCCAAGACCTCTTGAGGCCAGTGGGGGATTGCCTGAGGGGCTCCCATAACTCATCCATGGACTCATTTAGCAGGAAGGAGCTGAGGGAGGAGGCAGGCAGGAACCAGTCCTGAGTGAGGGCAGGGAAGTGTAGGGTGCCATCTCTCCCTTCAGGGCAACCCAGGGTAGTGGCACTTATGCTGCAAGGTACAAGTACCTGCAAGGCCACTAGCAAGGTGACGACAGAGAATGAACTCCAGCAGGCTTAGGAAAGGGAGAGTTCACTTCCCACCACGGGGATCAATAACACTGCGGAAAACAGATGCATTCATTCTTGGCCTGAGCTCCCAGGTGCAAATGGAGAGAGGGGAGGGCATTGGAAGTACAGAGAGCAGCAAAAACAAATTTCAAAGGCATGGCTATGAAAGGCTCCACGTGAAACTTCTTCAAAAGAATGCCCCACGGTCTACTGTGGCCGCCATTCCTTCCTGGTGCTTAACCTCCCTCCCTCAGCTGCTCTTTCCAGCCACATCTAGTCCCCTTGCCAGCTAGATTCTACTGGCAGAAGATTCAAAGACAGAAATCCCCCTGTCTTCCAGTCTAACTCCGAAGCCTCTATGGTAAAGCCTACCTGAGTCTCTCAGTCTGAATTCTAGCCTCTCCTCCCCACCCTCCCTGACACAGCATTTCTGAGTATGTGAGTACTGAAGTGCTAACTCATGCGGATCCTCAACTAGAATTCCAGCTCCTTGAGGGAGTCTCTGGGGCTCACTCTGCTTTCTGTCCCACCCCATGTTCTTCCCACCCGGCTGCCTCAAGAAGAGCTCTCCATCTCTCTCGGTCTGTCTCAGTCTCTCTCTATCACTGCCCCGGCCGTCTTTGCTGAATGCCAGTCACTGAATTGAGTTCATGTCCTGACTTTACTGCTGACCTATCTGGGATCTTGGACAGGTTACCTCATTCCTTGTGCCTCAGTTTCCTCATCTGTTAAAAGGTCTTAAAATTGATGTAAGGACTGAACGATATTGTGCATCGAAAGTACATGTTAACTATTATTATCATTTACATTTACTTGTTATGTATACAAAACATATATCTTTAAATCTGTCTTTGAAAATTCCAGAGCTATTTTTACCTTACACCCAGAGATAAAAATTTGCTTTGATAACTACAAGAAGAGAGTGACCTATCCTTGAGCTCACAATGATCTGAGACTATTCCAGAAAGAAAAAGGAATTCCTGCCATCCCCTTTCAGCTCAAACCACAGAGTCGGCTTTTAGAAATCCATAAAATATTTAGGACAGGTTTGCTACACCAGACTTGCCGTAACTGGCCAACTTTTTACAAGTGGACCAATGTAATTATTTATAACAACAAAGGGCACGATTTCATAAGGCTACTTGAATGTAAGGAAGGGGGAAGTGCAGGGATTGAATGGTGAGTTTGAATGTTAGAAATGTGAGGAAAAAATACTCTTTTTTCCCTAGTGTTGATAATCTTATTGCTTCCTGAAGAAATAGCACCTGGATCTGTGTGAGAACCACTATCCCCCCTATTTCTTCTCCTCCTCTGACTTGGTTGCAACACATTTCTGTGAATTCCAGAAAAAGCAAACAATTCCTCAGTACTCCTAGCCCAAGACAAGTACCAGAGTAGACCCTGCATCTAGACGATGCTGAGCAGGCTTTACATGTTTTTCTCCTCCTGACATCAGCTTTTCCCGTGAAACTCTGAAAAATACTGCAAGCACTCCCTGCAGAATCACCAACTCCCAAACCATGGAAACAGTCCAGAATTAGGAAGAGCCGCGGGAAGGAATGAGAGCTCTTGTAATAAGAGCAGCTAGACCGAGCGCAGTGGCTCACGCCTGAAATTGTAGCATTTTGGGAGGCCGAGGTGGGCCAATTGCTTGAGCTCAGGAGTTCGAGACCAGCCACAATGTGGCAAAACCTCATGTCTACTAAAAATACAAAAATTAGCTAGGAGTGGTGGTGCATGCCTGTGGTCCCAGCTACTCAGGAGACTGAGGCAGGAGAATTGCTTGAGCCCAGAAGGCTGAGGCTGCAGTGAGCCGTGATTGCACCACTGCACTCCAGCCTGGGCGACAATGAAACTCTGTCTTGAACAAATATATAGATAAAAAATGAACAGCTATAATGGTGAACTGTGTCCCCCAGTAATTCATACATTTAAGTCCTAAGCCCCAGTCCCTCAGAATGTGGTTATCTGGAGATAGGGTTTTTGAGGAGGTAAGCATATATATATATATATATATATATATAAATTTTTTTTTTTTCAAGAAACGGAGGCTGGCTAGGCATAGTGGCTCACACCTGTAATCCCAGCACTTTGGGAGGCTGAGGTGGGTGGATCACTTGAGGTCAGGAGTTCGAGATCGTCCTGGCCAACATGGTGAAACCCATCTCTACTAAAAATACAAAACTTAGCTGGGCTTTCTAGCACATGCCTGTAACGTCAGCTACTAGGGAGGCTGAGGCAGAAGAATTGTTTGAACCCAGGAGGCAGAGGTTCAGTGAGCCAAGATCGCGCCATTTCACTCCAGCCTGGGCAACAGAGTGAGACTCCGTCTCAAAAAAAAGAGAGGTTTGGAGACAGATACACACAGAGGAGAGACCATGTGAGCACATAGTGACAAGGCACCCATCTGCAAACCAAAGAGAGAGGCCTCAGAAGAAATGAAACCTTCTGACACCTTGATTTTGGACTTGCCAGCTTCCAGAACGGTAAGAAAATAAACACATAGTTTAAGCTGCCCAGTCTGTGGTATTCATTATAGTGGTCCAAGCAAAGTAATACACCTGTTGTATTTCATTTCACCCTCAGAGCTACACCGATTCTTTTTTTCTATCCTGCAGAAGAAATCAAGGCTCAGAGAAGTCAGCTAATTTGACTCAGCTCATAGTGAGTGTCAGAGCCAGGCTCTGCAATGAGGTTTGTATGGTCGCAAAACTGACATTCTTTTATTTTTTCTTTCTTTTTTTTTTTAGACTGAGTCTTGCTCTATTGCCCAGGCTAGAGTGCAGTGGCTCAATCTTGGCTCCCTGCAAACTCTGCCTCCTGGGTTCAAGTGATTCTCCTGCCTCAGCCTCCCCAGTAGCTGGGATTACAGGTGCCCTCCACCACGCCCGGCTAATTTTTGTATTTTTAGTGGATACAGCATTTCACCATGTTGGCCGGGCTGGTCTTGAACTCCTGACCTCAAGTCATCTGCCCGCCTCGGCCTCCCAAAATACTGAGATTTTAGGTATGAGTCACTGCATCCGGCCAAAATGCATATTCTTTTTACCATATCAAGTTGCCTAGTCAAATGAACATTTCACTAAAAATATTCTAGAATCTAACTGAAACTAGTTACTAGCTAGATCAGTCATTGGAGGACCTCCCAATGGGGCGATTTCTTGCTAATCCTACAAGTAGGCTGGGCAACACCAATTTAACGCCTTTGCCAGCTTCAGTCTCACCCACAGCAAAGTTACATGGGCCTGATGACCACTGGCATGAGGAGGAAAGTCCATCAAGTCCTCAATACATTTTTTTTTCTTTTTGAGACAGAATCTCACCCTTCTCCAGGCTGGAGTGCAGTGGCACAATCACAGCTCCCTTCAGCCTCGACCACCTGGGCTCAAGTAATCCTCCTACCTCAGCCTCCCCAGTAACTGGGACCACAAGCAAATGCCACGGGGCTAAATTTTTTTTTTTTTTTTTTTTTTTTTGGAGATGGAGTTTCGCTCTTGTCGCCCAGGCTGGAGTGCAATGGCACGATCTTGGCTCACTGCAACCTCCGCCTCCTGGGTTCAAGTGATTCTCCTGCCTCAGCCTCCTGAGTAGCTGGGATTACAGGCGCACACCACCATGCCTGGGTGATTTTTGTATTTTTAGTAGAGATGAGGTTTCACCGTGTTCGCCAGGCTGGTCTTGAACTCCTGACCTCAGGTGATCCACCCACCTCAGCCTCCCAAAGTGCTGGGATTACAGCGTGAGCCACCGTACCTGGCCAAATGTTTAATTTTATGTAGACACAGGGTCTTCCTATGTTGTCCTGGCTGATCTTGAACTCCTGGGCTCAAGTGATGCTCCTGTTTCAGCCTTTCAAAGTGCTGGGATTACAGGCATGAGCCACTGTGCCGGGTCAAGTCCTCAATACTTAAGTCCACCTTTAGCCATTCCTTGCATACTCTGAAGGTGGTGCTGACTGTTACACAAACTCCCATCTCAGTCCCTGTCCTCATGGGTGTCAGAGAGCGGGGTTCCTCGCAGAACAATAATAATTATGGTGCCAACTATTACCTGCAGCCTAACCCCTCCAATCCACTGAGCACAGTGCTAGGCACATGACATATGCTATGTCTAATCTTTTTTTTTTTTTTTTTTTTTGAGACTCAGTCTCGCTCTGTCACTGAGGCTGGAGTACAGTGGCATGATCTCAACTCACAGCAACCTCTGCCTCCCGGGTTCAAGCGAGTCTCCTGCTCAGCCTCCCAAGTAGCTGGGAGAAACGTGCCACCACATCCAGCTAATTTTTTGTATTTTTAGTAGAGACTGTTTCGCCTTGTTGGCAAGGCTGGTCTCAAACTCCTGACCTCAAGTGATCCACCTGTCTCAACCTCCCAAAGTGCTGAGATTACAGGAGTGAGCCACCGCACCTGGCCCCTGGCTGGTTTTTGTATTTTTAGTAGAGACTAGGTTTCACCATGTTGGCCAGACTGGTCCCAAACTCCTGACCTCAGGTGATCCACCCACCTCAGCCTCCCAAAGTGCTGGGATTACAGGTGTGAGCCACCACACCCGGCCTGTTGTGTTTAATCTTTCCCTCTGTTTTGTGAAGAATATACTATCCCCATGCTGCAGAGAATAAACCTGGGCCTGGGAAAAGCAGTGTGACTCACCCTGGGAGGCACCAACGGAGCAGCACAGAGCCTGGGTTCAAGCTCACCTGTGCTGGCCCCCAAAGCCTGTTCTCCCTCCTCCACCCCGCCCTGCCTCGCAGTGACAGAAACCAAAGGACACTAAGGCATCCCTGTGTGGCTCATTCGGGCTGCCCCAGAGACCCCTAAGAAGACCCTCAGGAGGTCCCTGAAGCCCCTTCAGAGGGGAAACCACTATAGGAGTCAGGGGAGCTCCAGGGTTGTCATCCACCTAATTAAAGCAAGTACCCAGCCAGTAATGGACCAAAGATGGTTCACAGAGAGCACATTCCTGCCAGCCCATCCCAGTGGCTCCTAGCACCCTGCTCAGCCCCACACCTTTGACCCACCCTCCAACAGGCAGCCATGGACCGGGGGAGTGGTGGGATCAACACTATGACCTTGGCATTTGTTATCTCTGGCCCAGGTAACAGCAGCATGAGGATGACCCTCATCATGTGAGTGTCTCTGTCATGTTTGTGGACATCTGGGTGTGTCTCAAGGACAGGCAGAGTGGGGCAGGGGACTGCAGGAGTTCCAGCTCGAATGAGCCACAGGCCCATGTTATCTCTCTGAGCCTAATCCTCCTCAACTCTCCATTAAGGGTGTGCCTGATCCTCTCTGAAGACCCTCAGGGCAAAATGATTTTGCATTCCATTCCCTGGATTTTAGTCCTAACCAATAGTGGCTATACCATGCTTCTAGATGAGAACCAGAGTTGGACTTTATAATTCACACATTTACCACATCCAGCTGATGTCTACTAGGTGCTGCTGTGGGCCTGATGTGGGAACAGCTACAGGAATCCCTTGGAGAAGCATAAGACAGCACTTGATAACCCGGGTTATCAGGCCCCCGAGGGTCTGCAGCTGGGAGATAAGCACACTGTGTCTGGTTGAGCTGACTGATTGACGTCTGTCTTCTCCAACCTAGACCCAAGTTCCATTCCAGGTGGGCTGACATTCAGTTCCCACTGCCTGCTGCAGTGCCTGGCACACAGGAGGCAAAATAATAGACCAACACTGCAAGCCTAGAGAAGGACTTTTATTTTATTTTATTTTATGTATTTATTTTTATTTTATTTTATTTTTTGGGACAGAGTCTCTCTCTGTCACCCAGGCTGGAGTGCAATGGCGCGATCTCAGCTCACTGCAACCTCTGCCTCCTTGGTCCAAGTGATTCTCCTGCCTCAGCCTTCCAAGTAGCTGGCACTAAAGGCACACACCACCACCCCCAGATAATTAAGAAGGACATTATTTTTACATGAATACAAACATGGATATCTCTGGAGTACAAGTCCAATTTCACATGCATTTTTAAGATGAAACTTTAGGGCAAATTGCCTAAGTGGGTACGTTTGTAGAACAAGGTTATTCGTCTGGGAGAGCTTATGGGACACCAGCACCAGACCAGGCCAACAGAGAAAAAGGGGCCCACCCCACGCCCATTATCTCCCTGCTGGGCGCCCCTTTGGCCAGCCCGTCTGCTTCCTATAGGCATATCGGGAACCATGGAAGCCACAAGAAGATGGGGTGTTCAGGCCCACATGACCCCACCAGCAGTACTGCCCTGACCCCCTCCGTTGAGCTAAGCAAGGTTGCAATTTCTTAAGAAGCTTTTCTAGAGAAGTGAAATTAAAAAGAGAGAGAACAGCTGGCCCCAGAACTCTAACCAGTGAAGGAACTATCTTTAGCGTAGAGAGACTTGGTTGGGGAAGATGACATCTTGTGGGACGAAAGTCAGCTCTGAGCCTGCAGATCATGAGGGAGGCTGTTCTTGGGGGAACAGGGAAGAAATGAGTTGTTTTGCCACTGAAAGGAATGGAGAGAAATCTGAGAATGAGGGCGAAAGGGAACCAAAAAGATGGGAAGTTCAGAGTGAAATGAAATCTAGCCTGGAAGGGTCACCAAAGAACGTTAACTGAAAGGCAATGCCTGTGTTCTGGATGCATTTCTACCAAGTAAATCTCTCCTCTATCTCTTGGTCACCCCCTCCTCATCCTCATTGCCTACCCCTAAGCCTCCAGAAAAGTCTAAACTCACTATGATTCCAGTGTACATAGAAATCAAGCAAGAGGCTGAATTTTATAGCCGGATCAAGCATGCCCAAGAGACAAACATGCAGAAAGAGTCCTCTTAGAGACAAGACATCAAAGCATGAATGAAAGACAACCACAGCCTCCTCCACCAGCACTTCCTTCTTTGCCTGGAGGCTTGCAAACATCTTAGGGACAGGTTTAAGCCATCAGAAACCATGAAAACGGAAGGTTTTTGTCCATTTTACCTAGATCTAAAAGGAGGAGAGGCCACAAATGGAAATCTAAAGCCCATCCGTGAAAAGAAAAAAGAATAAAAGGGATAAATGAACAGAGCACAATAGTTCTGTCTGAATTAACTCAGGACTGTCTGAGACACACAGACCCTGGTTCACTTCCTGCCCCGGTCTTGAGCTAATGCGCTGATTCATCATGAAGGCTTGGGCAAAGCTCAGTCTCCACCCTTGGCTCCAGATTTGCATCTGGCCCAGTAGTACCACAGCCACTCTGATGGCAGGCCCGGCCACGCTCCCACCCGGCCTCTGTATGCCAGCTCCCCCTCTGTTGGCAGGAGGCTCCATTCTCTGACAGGCTTACTCGCCTGCAACCCCTAACCCCAGTCAATCTTCCAGGAAGCTCCTGTTCCAGTTCCAGTTCTTCTTCTTCTTCTTTTTTTTTTTTTTTTGAGACGTTGTCTCACTCTGTCACTCAGGCTGGAGTGCAGTGGCGCAATCTCAGATCACTGCAACCTCTGCCTCCCGGGTTCAAGCGATTCTCCTGCCTCAGCCTCCCTGACTAGCTGAGATTCCAGGCACCTGCCACCGTGCCCAGCCTGATATTTTTGTATTTTTGGTGGAGACGGCGTTTCACCATGTTGGCCAGGCTGGTCTCGAACTCCTGACCTCAGGTGATCTGCCTGCCTTGGCCTCCCATGGGATTACAGGAGTGAGCCACCGCACCCGGCCCGGTTCCAGTTCTGAAGGACACTTCCAGTGGAAAGGCAGTCAACTTGAGCTCTCGTTAAGCCAGCTGACCTGAGACTGAAGATGTACCCTGCCCCTATGGAATGTTCAAGCCCTTCCCAGCTATTGTTGCAAAATTTCACCAGCTTCCCACATGTTCCCGGGTGACTAATCCACCACTTCCCCCCATACACACAAACAAGATGGCTAACAAAAGAAAAATGTCTTCTGTGTCTAGTCACAGACACATCTGCCAATTAAGTCCTCTTGCCCACACAGAGCCCTAAATAAATAAACAAGGGTCATATGCTCAGGCAGGTAAACATCTGGGAAAACAAATTATTTCATGCCTCAACATGGATTTCCAAACTCCAAAGACACCCTCAACCAAAGCAAAATTCACAAATAATAAAAACACTTCTTTAAAGATGAGGACATTTTTGAAAATGATTTCATGGCCATCTACAGCGAGCATGCCAATGATAATGAAATCCATAAAGCCCTTAGACCTTCTCCATGGATGATCTCCCTGGTATCTAAGTAAGTCAGAGCAGGTCAGGTGTGGTGGCCCACACCTGTAATCCCAGCACTTTGGGAGTCCGAGGCAGGAGGATTGCTCGAGCCCAGAAGATTGAGACCAGCCTGGACAACATGGCAAAAACCCATCTCTACAGAAAAATACAAAAATTAGCCAGGTGGCCAGGCATGGTGGCTCACACCTGTAATCCCAGCACTTTGAGAGGCTGAGGCTGGTGGACCTCATGAGGTCAGGAGTTCGAGACCAGCCTGGGCAACATGGGAAAACCACATCTCTACTAAAAATACAAAAAATTAGCCGGGTGTGGCCGTGCACACCTGTAATCCCAGCTACTCGGGAGGCTGAGGCAGGATAATCCTTTGAACCCGGGAAGCAGAGGCAGCAGTGAGCTGAGATCACGCCACTGCACTTCAGCCTGAGCAACAGAGCAAGACTTCATCTCAAAAAAAAAATAAAAAAAATTAGCTAGGTGTGGTGGCACACAATTATAGTCCTAGCTACTTGGGAGGCTGAGGTGAGAGGACTGCTTGAGCCCAGGAGGCTGGGTCTACAGTGAGCCATGATTGCACCACTGCACTCCAGCCTGGGTAACCTGGTGAGATCCTGTCTCAAAAAAAAAAAATTAATTAAATAAATAGGCTGGGTGTGGTGTCTCACACCTGTAATCCCAGCACTTTGGGAGGCTGAGGCTGGCAGATCACTTGCAGTCAGGAGTTCGAGACCAGCCTGGACAACATGGTGAATCCCCATCTCTACTAAAAATACAAAAATTAGCTAGGTGTGGTGGCATGCACCTGTAGTCCCAGCTACTCGGGAGGCTGAGGCAAAAGAATTGCTTGAAGCCAGGTGGTGGAGGTTGCAGTTAGCTGAGATCGCACCACTGCACTCCAGCCTGGGTGACAGAGCGAGACTCCATCTCAAAAAATAAACAAACAAATAAATAAGTCAGAGTAACAATGATGCATGGAAATGGGAGTGGTTTACTGTCCACCTTTACTCCACCTACAAAAGGAGTCTCATTCAGAAGCTTTTTCTGCTGGCCTGTGGTACTGAAATGTCTCTTCTGTTTGGGTTTTTTTTCTGAGACGGAGTTTTGCTTTTTCACCCAGGCTGGAGCGCAATCTCGGCTCACTGAAATCTCCGCCCCCGGGCTCAAGCAATTCTCCTGCCTCAGCTTCTCAAGTAGCTGCGATTACAGGCACCTGTCACCACACCTGGCTAATTTTTTTGTATTTTTAGTAGAGCGAGGGTTTCGCCATGTTGGCCAGACTGCTCTTGAACTCCTGACCTCAGGTGATCCACCCACCTTGGCCTCCCAAAGTGCTGCGATTATAGGCATTAGCCACCACACCTGGTCTGTCTCTTCCATTTGGACCACGGACTGGACCAAAAATGATTGAGAAATCCAATTGTTTCCTCTTCTTGTCCACAGAAACTGAACTGATAAGTTTGCCAGGTGGACATTCAGTGTCCACCGTTGACAGCACAGATCTATTTTTCACAGACAGCGAAGTCAAATTTACTACCTAGGATAAAACACTCCAAAATATTCCGTGAAACGCCAAGGTATAGGATCTGAAGTAGATGCCTCATTTTTCTGTGACTCAGATTTCTCCGCAAACTTCCCAGCAGCTTTGGGGTGGGCCCAGGGGGCCACACTGCACTCAAGGTGGTAACTGTGATCTCCGCAAAGAGACAGGAAAAGTGCTGGACTGAGTCAGGAGGCTGAGCTGTGTAAGTGCCATGTGACCTTGGCAAATCTCCCAGCCTCTCTTCGGTTTTCTCATCTGTGAAATGCCTACCCCACAGCTTGCTGAGAAGCTAAAAGTAGAAACAGTTATGAAGATGAGAATGCATTGTAAACTGCAAGGAGTTGTAGGAGCGCAGGTGGTTTGCAGGGCTGGGTGGTAGCTAAGGTGAACTGAGCTTGCTCTCACTGAGTACCAGGGGTACTAACTCCCTCATCTCACAACAGCCTTGTGACACCAGCCCATCGTCACAACCCTTCTGCAGATGAGGAAGGCCCCAGGGAGTTTAAGGAACTTCCCCCAAGGAACCATCGGGGAGGTGGTAGTACCAGGATCATACACCTGTGGCTCAGATAAGCTGGAGCCCACCAAACCGTATTTTTTTCCCTGGGAATGCAGCTTAACCACATTCCCCAACTCTGTGACATTCAAATAGTTGTCATCAATGGAGCACATATCCTGCTCGCAGGCTGGGACAGTTTTCAAGACAGGAGGGTTTTTCCCATTCTCTCCCTCCCCTGGAGCAGGGACCCTGGCATCCATGTGTAGGAGATGGTGGTGCATCCCAAAGCAGCCCGAGTCCCTCAGGAACCTCAGAGTGCAGCATCTCCCCCCTTACGAACCCTCACGGTCTTCAACCTGAATAAGAAATTAACCATTGTTGGGTGGGCTTGTTTATTATAGCAGCTTGCATTATTACCCTGATGAATACATCTCCAGTCCCCAAGAGTCCTTCTTAACAGGGACTACTGAACCCTCTTCTGACTACAGCTACAGGCAGCAAAGAGGTACTACCATTTAGGATGGCTTAACAGCGTAAAGGTAGAAATTTAGTATCAGCCAGGCAGCCAGACCAGAATTATATGTGAAACCAATGAAGATTCTTGGCTGCAGTATAAAAGAATGAATGAATGCTACCTCTAATTATAAATCAGGAAACAACACAGAGTTTTCTTTTTGTTTTTTGGAGACAAGGTCTCTGTTGCCCAGGCTGGAATGCAGTGGCACAGTCTTGGCTCACTGCAGCCTCCAGCTCTCAGGCTCAAGCGATCCTACCAAGTAGCTGGGACCACAGGCATGCACCATCATGCCCAGCTAATTTTTGTGCTTTTTGTAAAGACGGGCTTCACCATGTTGCCCAGGCTGGTCTCGAACTCCTGGGCTCCAGCGATCCTCCTGCCTCGGCCTCCTAAAAATGCTGGGATTACAGGCATGAGCCACCATGCTTGGCCAACACAAAGATTTTTAAATGAATATAGGAAGGATCACTTGCTATTGCACTTACGTTCAAGGAAATTTATTGTGATTACTAATACATATGGCACCAAACCTAGGTGGCTTATAGCAAAGTTTCCCTTTAACTTCCAGTTTGCAGTGCCTGTCACAGGCCAGGTTCTCAGCTAGCATTTGTGGAGGGATGACTGGCCTTGCCCCTCCTCGTTTTGTGCTCACTACCTTGTTGACATAAAAAATGTTCTCAAGATCAGGCGTGGTAGCTCATGCCTGTAATCCCCGCACTTTGGGAGGCCAAAGGCGGGAGAATTGCTTGAGGTTAGGAGTTTGAGACCAGCCTGGGCAATACAGCAAGATCCCATCTCTACAAAAAATAAATATTAGCTGGGCATGGTGGCATGCACCTGTAGCCCCAGCTAATTGGGAGGCGTAGGCAAGAGGATTGTTTGAGCATGAGAGGTTGAGGCTGCAGTGAGCTGTGATCAGGCCACTGCACTCCAGCTCCAGCCTGGGAAACACAGCGAGACTCTGTCTTAAAAAAAAAAAAAAAAAAGAAACAGAATGTTCTCACCCCGTTTTTCTCCAGAGTTTCCAAACAGCCTGCCTCTGAAGCAGCCCTCTTCTCAAGCATAGTATTATGGGCTGAATTAGGCCCCCAAAAGTTTGTATGTTGAAACCCTAACCCCTAGTACCTCAGAATGTGACTGTATTCAAGGTCTGGGTGTGGTGGCTCATGCCTGTAATCCCAGCATTTTGGGAGGGCAAGGCGGGCACACTGCTTGAGCCCAGGAATTTGAGTCCAACCTGGACAACATGGCAAGACCCAGTATCTGTAAAAATAAAATAAAAAACAACAGCCAGGCATGGTTGTATGCGTCTGTGATCCCAGGTAGTCCAGAGGCTGAGGTGGGAGGATTGCTTGAGCCCGGGAGGTGAAGGTTGCCGTGAGCCAAGATCCTGCCACTGCACTCCAGCCTGGGTGACAGAGCGAGACCCTGTCTCAAACTTTTTTTTTAATTAAATAAATGAAAAATAAAAATAAATAAAACTACAAGGGCAACTGAAACCCCAAGTGAGATAATACATTTGCTCTTCATGGAAGAGGACAAGTGAGTAAACCCTGCTCTTCTGTGGTGGGGAGGCCATAGTTAGAATTGAAGGGGCCCCACCAGAAACAGAAATGGTGGGAAGTGGTGGCCTCTGGAGGCAAAGCTTTGGGGGCTGTGGACATCTGCTGAGACCCTGGCTGCAGACATGGCTTCCCTTCCGAGGGAGTTCATGTGAAAGTCGAGGCCCCCACCGGTATTAGAGGAGCAGCCATCTCTTTTGCTCGCAGTTAAACAAGTGCTCTCGCAGTAGGATAAGCCACAAAGGAGACACTGTAGGAGAATAAAGAGGAATCCTTCTGGAAGCCAATAGAAAAAAAAAAAAAACAATGTGGTCAGCCCTCATAAGGCTAGAACCAGAAACTTAGTTCTCTGAAGCCAAGGCACTGTAATTTCCCTCCCTCTGATGACAGTCACACCACAGAAAGGGAGCTGTCGGGAGGAAGAAGAAGGAGCCCAGAGGCACGGCTCATACCTCCCTGCTGGAAGGAGGGGTAAAGGGCACGAAAGTCCTTTGAGAAGAGAGGAAGGAGAAATAGAAATGAATAAGACAGCACCCTACACCAACCAACTTAGAGTTTAGATAGGAATGGAGACATATTTCTGAAAATACTGGAAACAATCACAGCCAAATAAGAAATCCAGTTCATTTCAACACTGAATAGTTGGGCACTGTAGCGTATTCAAGGATAATTTTTAAAAATTAAAAAGTTAAATCAGGCTGGGCGAGGTGGCTCACACCTGTAATCCTAGCACTTTGAGAGGCGGAGACAGCAGGATCATTTGAGCTCAAGAGCTTGAGATCAGCCTGGGCAACATGGGAAAACACCGTCTCTACAAAAAATACAAAATTAGGCTGGGCCCTGTGGCTCACGCCTGTAATCCCAGCACTTTGGGGGGCCGAGGCAGGTGGATCACGAGGTCAGGAGTTCGAGACCAGCCTGGCCAACATGGTGAAACCCTGTCTCTACTAAAAATACAAAAATTAGGGGAGTGTGGTGGCGGGTGCCTGTAACCCCAGCTACTCAGGAGGCTGAGGCAGAATTGCTTGAACTCGGGAGGCGGAGGTTGCAGTGAGGCGATATCGCACCACTGCACTCCAGCCTGGGCGACAGAGCGAGACTCTGTCTCGGCAAAAAAAAAAAATTCATATTAGCCCCCAGAGAAACCCCACACCCTTTAGCTGTCACCTACCTAACCTCCCATGTGGATTTCACGGAATCATACAATACTGAGTCCTTTGGACCTGGCTGATTTTACTTAGTAAACGTTTTCAAGGTTTATCGATGTTGTAGCATGTGTGACTACTTCATTCCTTTTTACGACTGAATAAAACTCCATTTGGTGGATTTATGACAGTTTGTTTATTCGTGCAATGGTTTTTAATGGATGGACATTTGAGTTGTTTTCACCTTTTGGTTACTGTAAATAATGCTGCTATAAACATCTGGTGTAAGTTTATACATACGTTATTAACTTTTGTTTTAGAGTTGGGGTCTCACTATGTTCCCCAGGCTGGTCTTGAACTCCTAGGCTTAAGTAATCCACCCACCTCTGCCTCCCAAAGTGCTGGGATTACAGGCGTGAGCCCACTGTGCCCGGCGGATTTTTGTGAGGACGTATGTTTTCACCTCTTTCAGGTGTTAACTTAGGCCTCTTTTACGGATGTTCAACAAGCAAACAGCTTTTACACACGTGAGTCAAGGCCTCTCTGTAAGTTCTGAGAGCTGTTCCCCAGGCCCTGAACCCTGACCCCCAAATCTAGCAGGTTAAGCCAAAATTCTCCTCAACTTCAAGGCCTACTTCATTCATTATGCATCCACTCAACTCACATTTCTCTATCCTCTGCTATGGGCCAGACACCCTGCAATGAGCTGGGATGAAGCAGGGGAACACCGCAGGTAAAAATGCTTGCCTGGGTGGGGCTTAAGATCCAGTGAGGGCAGGAAGGAACATATACAAGTAAATATGCTGTATGTTCCTTTCTCCATGAAGCTTTCCTGGATGTTCCAGGAAGGGACGAATTCTACTCTGGTAGTAATATATTTCTTTTCTTGTCTTTTGAGGAGTCTTGCCCATGTTGGAGTGCAATGGCGTGATCTCGGCTCACTACAACCTCTGACTCCCTGGTTCAAGGGATCCTCCTGCCTCAGCGCTCGAGTAGCTGGGATTACAGGCCCGCAATGCCACACCCAGCTAATTTTTGTATTTTTAGTAGAGACGGGGTTTCACCATGTTGGCCAGGCTGGTCTTGAACTTCCAACGTCGTGATCCGCCTGCCTTGGCCTCCCAAAGTGCTGGGATTACAGGCGTGAGCCACTGCGCCTGGCCTATTTCTTTTTTTCTTTTCTTTTCTTTTGAGATGGAATCTTGCCCGGGTTGGAGTGCAATGGCGTGATTTTGGCTCACCGCAACCTCCACCTCCCGGGCTCAAGCGATTCTCCTGCCTCAGCCTCTCAAGTAGCTGGGATTACAGGCGCGTGAACCACCACGCCCAGCTAATTTTTGTATTTTTAGTAGAGACTGGGTTTCACCATTTGGGCCAGGCTGGTCTGGAACTCCCGACCTCAGGTGATCTGCCTGCCTCAGCCTCCCAAAGTGCTAGGATTACAGTGGTGAACCACCGCGCCTAGCCTGTTTCTTTTGTTTCAAAAGTGATTTTTACCTCTCAAAAGTGATTTCTATAATGACACTGATGGAAAATTCCATCAAATAGCCATAACGCATGTCAAGCACTCTGCTCTGCATACCTTCTGTCACACTCTAAGGATGAGAGAGGGGAGAGTTATCCTGGTTCTGGCTGTGTCCTCCCCATTTTGGCCATCTTATGAGCTCCTTATAGAGGTCTGAAATGATTTGGAGTCCAGAGTCCATGGCTGTCAGGATATGACTAGGGTGAGCAGGCAGTTGGGACCACCTTGACCTCCAGCCTCCTGGTCCTCAGTTCCTCGGGTATCCCACTCTGCTGGGGGCTTAGTGACCATGTTTGGGCTCCAGAGATTATTTTTTCCTTCCACTCCTATCCTTAGTTTGTTACTAACCAGGCGGGAGTACAGGCATGTCTCTGAAGACAGGCTCAGGGCTGTGTGACAGCTGACGACCAGGCTGCAGGGAACCAGGTCCCATGCAGTCCTACTGCCTTTTTTTTTTTTTTTTTTTTTTTTTTTGAGGCGGAGTCTCGCTTTTCGCCCAGGCTGGAGTGCAGTGGCACGATCTCAGCTCACGGGTTCACGCCATTCTCCTGCCTCCGCCTCCCGAGTAGCTGGGACTACAGGCGCCCGCCACCACGCCCGGCTAATTTTTTGTATTTTTACTAGAGACGGGGTTTCACCGTGTTAGCCAGGATAATCTTGATCTCCTGACCTCGTGATCCGCCCGCCTCGGCCTCCCAAAGTGCTGGGATTACAGGCGTGAGCCACTGCACCCGGCTACTGCCTTCTTACTGTCGCCACAGCCTGGATAAAATACGATTCTTCTGAGCCTTTTTTTTTTTTTTAATACAGAGTTTCACTCTTGTTGCCTAGGCTGGAGTGCAATAGTGCGATCTCTGGTCACCGCAACCTCCGCCTCCCGGGTTCAAGCGATTCTCCTGCTTCAGTCTCCCGAGTAGCTGGGATTACTGACACGCGCCACCACGCCCGGCTAGTTTTGTATTTTTAGTAGAGACGGGGTTTCTCCATGTTGGTCAGGATGGTCTCGAACTCCCGACCTCAGGTGACTCACCGGCCTCGGCCTCCCAAAATGCTGGGATTACAGGCGTGAGCCACCGAACCCAGCCCCTCTGAGCCTCTTGAATACAACTGGGGTCATGCCTGCTTTGCAGGTTTGTCTTAAGGATTAAAGCTGTTTGGGGAGTGTCTGGAGGAGGGTGAGTCTTGAGCCAACCCCTGCATCTCCCTTCCAGGGCCTCCCGGTAATAAACCCCAAGTAAATGTGCACTTTGTCCGTCCTCTCGGAGCAGGTCTCCGGGTACTCCTGTGCCAAACCGATTTCCGCCCCCAAGGTCCTTCTCCTCTTAGAAATCCTGACGCAGCTCCTAGGTTCCTTCGCAGTGACAGCCACTCTTTTCTATTTGTACGTAGCTGTAGTGTTTTGTGGGTACGTTCTCTGAACAACAAAGTGGCCCTTCTAAAGGCTGTTCTGTGGGGTCCACAGCCTCGCCACCCCCAGCCTCTGCAGCGGCTTCTGAATGAATGAAATAAGCGACGGCGCCCTCTCCACCACCCCACCCCCGCCAACTCGGCAGGCAGGGATCCCAGGCGCGGGTTCTGGCGGAGGCGGTCCCGCGAGGCGGGGGGACTTTTCTAGGCGGGGTGGGGGCCTTGGGACCACCTTTAGGGGCTTTTTCCCCATCCCCTGGCCCCAATTCGCAGCGTTTCGCCACCCAGGGCCCGCAGGGCTCCAAGCCCTTCTTCCCCAGCCCGCGCGCTCAGGCCCCCGCCCGCCCCCGGCGGTGGCCCCGGACCCCGAGCGGAAGGGGGCGGGGGGTGTGCGGGGCCGGGAAGCGGGGAGCGCGGGCGGCGGAAGGTGGCGGGAGGGGGTGGGGGCTGGGAAGCACCGTGCGCGGGCGGCGGGAGGGCCCGGGCGGGGCTGCGCGGTGGTCACGTGGGGCGGGGCCGGGAGGGTACTTAGGGCCGGGGCTGGCCCAGGCTACGGCGGCTGCAGGGCTCCGGCAACCGCTCCGGCAACGCCAACCGCTCCGCTGCGCGCAGGCTGGGCTGCAGGCTCTCGGCTGCAGCGCTGGGTGAGTGCTGGGGACCCGGGGCCACCGCAGCGTAAGTGACCTTGGCGGGGACGGTGCTACCCGGCCGCCGAGACGGGTTCCTCTGCGCCCTCAGTCGGGCCCAGGCGCGGCCCCGCGGCGTCCCTGGGGGCCGGCGGGGAGCCGGGACCCTCGGGACTGTCCCTGACGGGCGGGCTGGGGTGGGAGTCCGCGCGCTCCGAAGCGTCGGCGAGAAAAGCAGAAAACAGCTCCGCCCGCCAGCCCTCTGCCCTCCGCTCCCCTCCCCGGGCTGTGCGCCGGACCCCGGCCCTCGGAGCGGGGACGCGGCCAGGACCGCCGAGGGAGGCGCCTGCGAGGAAGAGCTCGGCCGGGTCCGGAGACTGCTGCCTGGGACCGCGCTCCCAGCGCCTGGGCCTCGGTGTCTCCGGGCCAAACTGCCGACATAATCGCATCTGCCGGCATCTATTTTCGGTTTATTTCCCCCTCATTGCGAAGGATTTGCCTGGCCAACTTTCTGCGCAAGATCCCACGCAATTCCTGGGACCCCAGAAGACAGGTCCTGTTGAAGAACAGGAATCTGGCACTGGGTGGGCTGGGGAGGAAGCCGCACGGTGTTAAATCCATAAACAGGAAGAGAAACCAGACAGCGAAACCAAGAGGCGAATGGGCGATTGGATGCCGGTGGGGAGAAGGCCGGGGGCGCACCCTGCTCCTGGACTCCAGTAAAGGGAGGCCGGGCAGAGTCCCTGGGGCGCCACCTCCCCCTCGGTTAGTAGCCCTGGAGGCCGGGGGGAGTTGGCCTCTGGGGAGCAGTGGGTGCTGGGTGTGGGGCGTTGCAGGCAGGCTGGGGTGGGCGACCCAGGTGGAAGTGAATTGCACTTGGCTTCCTGGTGGGCCTCTGTCACCCCCTTCCCAGGCGCTGAGAAAGCCAGCAGGCTGGCAAAGAAAAGGACCCTAGCGCAGGCCCCACACTCCTCCTCCTAACGGACGAGAGACCCCCCAAACCCACTGGAGAAGTGACGCTGTGGGGTTCAAATGCAGACCTGGCACCTTTTTGTAGCCTGGAAAAACATTCCCACTGCCTGCTGCCGGAGGAGAGGATAGCTGAGATGCACTCTCTTTGAATCCAAACGTTCAGGAACGTAAGGCGAAGAGGCCTAAGAGGGCGTTGGCTGGCTCTGTCTCTCAGGCTGGAGCACAGTGGCGCGATCTCGGCTCACTACAACTTCCGCCTCCCAAATTCAAGCTATTCTCCTGCCTCAGCCTCCCGAGTAGCTGGGATTACAGGTGCCCGCCACCACGCCCAGCTAATTTTTGTATTTTTAGTAGAGATGGGGTTTCACCATGTTGACCAGGCAGATCTTGACCTCCTGACCTCAGGTGATCCGCCTGTCTCGGCCTCCCGGTGAGTCACGGTGCCTGGCCAAGAACTGTTTCTTGTTGGCTCTGGTGCTGGTGACTTAGAACCCGCCAGCTCCTGGAGAAAGGGGCTGGGCCGCCCACCCTGTGTAGCTTTCCCAAAGACAGAGTCAAACGTCTCCTGGAGAACAGAGGCTTCCCTTCGTCTTTGGTCATTTGTCCTCTAGCTGGGGGTACCCCCTGGTGGAAAGGCACAGGTCCCTTGCTCCCCAGGTGGCAACGCAGGCCAGACACGGCCCTGGCACAGCTCTCCTGGGTGTTGGCTCAGGACAGCCCTGTTTCCAACTGGTTAGGCGGTGAGGGGTGGTGGCCCTTTGGTTCCAGGTTGAAACTGCCCATGTGGTGCTGATTTAGCAGACTGGGGAGGCTCTTTTTGTAGGCAGGTTCTTTTCTTTCCCCAGCTGCTGGACCTGGGAGTTGGAAGAGAAGTTGCACCCATTTTAGGGGTAACAGATATTTTCTGTTGCTCTTGGTTGGATTGGGAAGTGAATTGAAGGGAGGTCACGTTTCAGGGGTGCCTTGGGATGTCTGTCAGTGATTTTCTTTTCTTTCTTAATTTCTTTTTCTTTCTTTTTTTTTTTTTTTTGAGACACACTCCCTCTATCGCTCAGGCTGGAGTGCAGTGGTGCGATCTCGGTTCACTGCCACCTCCGCCTCTCATGTTGAAGCAATTCTCCTGTCTCAGCCTCCCTCCCAAGTAGCTGGGATTGCCAGTGCCCATCACCACACCTGGCTTTTTTTTTTTTTTTTGTATTTTTAGTAGAGACGGGCTTTCACCATGTTAGCCAGGCTGGTTTTCGAACTCCTGATCTCAAGTGATCCGCCTCAGCCTCCCAAAGTGGTAGGATTACAGGCATGAGCCACCGCGCGGTGGAGGGGTAATTTTCTTAAATCTGGTAATGAGTTGTGGTTGTGTAGAGTAACATACCGTCCTTTCGAGATATGGACTGAAACATTGAGAGGGAGGAGTTACAGGTATGTCGATTCTTCTTTTCTCTCTCTCCTTTTTTTTTTTGAGGTGGAGTCTGACTCTCTCACCCAGGCTGGAGTGCAGTGGCAAGATCTCAGCTCACTGCAACTCCGCTTCCTGTGTTCAAGCCATTCTCCTGCCTCAGTCTCTCAACTAGCTGCGATTACAGGCATGTGCCTCCACACTCAGCTAATTTTTTTATTTTTAGTAGAGATTTTTTGTCTCTCCTAAAAAAATCCAATGTAAAAAAATCCCAATGTGGGGGTTTTGCCACGTTGGCCAGGCTGGTCTCGAACTCCTGACCTCGTGATCCGCCCACCTCGGCCTCCCAAAGCGCTGGGATTACAGGTATGAGCCACTGCGCCCAGTCTGCTGCCTCTTTTCAATGGTCTGGCCTAAGGAAATTATTGGAAACATGTGCGGTTGAGTGATATTTACTGGGCACTTCCACATGGTCCATGTAAAGGGAGATGGTTGGGGTGACAGGCAGTTGAGTCTAGGGGAGGCATGTACAGATGTGCTGTGCCTCTGGGATATCAGGGTGGCAGGCAGCAGTCTCTACGTCTGGTCCCAGGCTGCCTGAGAAAGAGCATGTGGGAGGCAAACCTTGCGCCCTGGCATGGTTGTTAATGTTTATATTTACCCTAGCTTGTGTGGGGTAGGAGGTTTAGGGATCAAATTCCACTCTGTGTTTAGACATTTTTTTCTTTCTTTTTTTTTTTGAGACAGTTTCACTCTGTCACCCAGGCTGGAATGCCGTGGCACAATCTCAGCTCACTGCAACCTCACCTCCCAGGTTCAAGCAATGTTCCTGCCTCAGCCTCCGGAGTAGCTGGGATTAGAGGCATGCACCACCATGCCTGGCTAATTTTTGTATTTTTAGTAGAGACCTCAAATGATCTGCCCGCCTCGCCTCCCAAAGTGTTGGGATTACAGGTGTGAGTCACTGTGCCCAGCCATGTGTTTAGACTTTTAACTAATCTCTTTTTTAGTTTCAAGCCTTATCGTCCGCCTCTGTAGACCACTCCTGTGCCTGTTTCCTGATCCTTCCAAGGGCCATTGTATTCCCTGTCTGCTGCCCCTCTTTTGGATTCTTCTGCACATTTTTTTGTTCATGCATTCATTCATTTATTGTTTGATTAATGACAGGGTCTTGCTTTGTCTCCCAGGCTGGTGTGCAGTGGTGCGACCACGGCTCACGGCAGCCTCAGCCACCCAGATGTAAGCGATCTGGTTCCCACCTCAGCCTCCCGAGTAGTAAGTAGCTGGGACCACAGGCGGTGCCCAGGTTTTTTTTTTTTTTTTTTTTTTTTTCGTTGGTAGAGACAGGGTCTCACTGTTGCCAGGACTGCTCTGAAACTCCTGGTTTCAAGTGATCCCCTTGCCTCCTCCCACTTAGGCCTTCCAAATGCTGGGATTACAAGGCATGAGTCACCTCCAGGCCTTTTTGTACTTTTAAAACTCTGCATCAGTGTATAAACAATGTTATTAAAGTTTATATGACTTCAGTTACACTACATGGATCCTTTTTCACTCACGGTTGTGAGATTTATTTCTGTTGCTACATCCAGTTCTAGTCCATTTGTGTTAAGTGCCCAGTGTGTTTATCTACTGAGGGACAGTTATGTTATTTCGTGTTCACTATTATCCCATGCTACAATAAATATCCTGTGTCTCCCAGATACTTAGAAGAGTTTCTGCAGGGCACATGTGGGAGAGTTTGTTTCTGGGTCATGAGGTGTGTTCATCTTCCATCTTGCTAGATGCTGGCAAAGGGTTCTCCAGTGTGGTTGCATCAATTTACTCGCCCAGCAGTGTGCAGAGTTCCTGTTCCTCACATTTACCAACACTAGATAGTACCAGACTTTGATTTTTGCCAATCTGATGGGTTTGAAGTGGTACCCCTGTTTTAATTTCATGACCAGAAATTCAAATTTAATCTTTGCTGTAGGACAACAGTAACCCACTTATGCCTAGTGTTCCATTATTAGAACGCTAAGCATGTGGGAGTTTTTACATCATACTGCTCAAGGTCATCGCCAAGGTCTGATGTTTTTACTCGTGCAAAAATTTAAAAAATTGCAACCTCTGGCATAAATGGGTTGAGTGACACTTTTCCTGTTTTTATTGTTGGTCAGTGATGGCATATTTGCTGGGTTTTTTTGTTTTTTTTTTGAAACGGAGTCTCACTGTGTCGCCAGGCTGGAGTGCAGTGGTGTAATCTCGGCTCACTGTAACCTCCGCCTCCCGGGTTCAAGTGATTCTCCTGCCTCAGCCCCCTGAGTAGCTGGGATTACAGGCGTGTGCCACCACGCCCAGCTAATTTTTGTATTTTTAGTAGAGACGGGATGTCACTATGTTTGTCGGGCTGGTGTTGAACTCCTGAGCTCATGATCTGCCTGTCTTGGCTTCCCTAAGTGCTGAGATTACAGGCCTGAGCCACCGCTAGCCTATTTATTTTTTATTTTAAATTTTAATTTTCTATATAGAGACGAGGTCACTATCCTGCCCAGGCTGGTCTTAATCTCCTGGGTTCAGTCAATCTTCCCACCTTGGCCTCCCGAAGTGTCAGAATTATAGATGTGAGCCACTGTGCTCAGCCCAGAACTGATGTTTTCTAAATGCTGGGTGCTGAGAAGGATGTGTGGCTGGCAGTCTTGACTGTGTTATCTGTCTTTACCAGGCCAGTAACTTCTTTGGTCTGGTCATCAAGATAATCTAGCATCACCAGCAAGCATGCATGGAGAAGGATGGGCCCAATGTGGCCAAGATGGTAACGGGACCAGTAGAGAGCCCTGTAGAAGACATCTAGATATTCTGCCCTAAGAGCCCGGAGGGCCGGGCTGTCTCATGACCCTCTGACGTGCTGACCTGGACTCTGGCAGAATGTGCACACACACAGTCACACAGCTTCCTGGCTTGCGCAAGTCCCAGGAGGGCGGTGCCAGCCACAGGCTTTTCCCATTCGAGGGTTGGAAGCGTATCATCAAACCACATCAGAGTGCTGGGGGCCACCTGCCACCCATTCCCAACCCACTCAGCCTTCCTGGTGTTTGGGACATGCTTTGCTTTGGCAGTCAAGACAGCAGAACAAATCAACTTTTAAGGCCTTGTCACTGATAGTACAATTTCCATTATTTTTCATCCAAATTAGGATACTTCTGAAAATAGAAATGATGACTCTGGGATGCAAACGTTGGCTGTCCTATGTATAAGGAGATGGCTTTTCACGCTCCCAGTGACTGAGGAAGTTTCTCCCAGATGGCGCTGCTCTGAGCCTGGTGCAGGGTAGGCACTTTCAAAAGAGTGTCTCCTTGTATCTTCCATCAGCCTTGCGAGATGGGTATCTGTTCCCAGGGCCCCAAGGGAGGAAAACAGGACCTAGCTGGATCCAAGAGCTAGGCCTTTCTTTTTTTTTTTTTTTTTGAGATGGAGTCTGACTCTGTCGCCCAGGCTGGAGTGCAGTGGCGTGATCTCGGCTCACTGCAAACTCCGCCTCCCGGGTTCACGCCATTCTCCTGCCTCAGCCTCCCGAGTAGCTGGGACTACAGGCGCCTGCCACCATGCCTGGCTATTTTTTTGTATTTTTAGTAGAAACGGGGTTTCACCGTGTTATCCAGGATGGTCTCGATCTCCTGACCTCGTGATTCGCCCACCTCAGCCTCCCAAAGTACTGGGATTACAGGCGTGAGCCAGCATGCCCGGCCCAGAGCTAGGCCTTTCTGTGGCTGGCCTTCGCGTCAGCCTCAACTACCCTGGTGTAATCTCGCCTGCGGTTGAATTAGGGAACCGCCGTGTTCTGCAAGCTGGAGAGGCAGAACACTAATGAGCAGAACACTAATCTCATTGCAATCTCAAAGGATCTCTAAAAGCTTTTATAAAGCAGGCCCAAGGTCCTTTGGTATCCGATGCAGACGTGGTGAATGCATTGGCTCTGTCAGCATCTGAGCAAGTCAGTAACAGAAATGGGGAGTAAAAGCTTTCAGAACTTTCCAGAATATTGACTAAATTGTCTTGTTTACAACCAACAACGACAACAAAAAATAACTGCTGAGGGCCTTCGTAGTGTCTGCTGTTTCAAGTGTACAGTAGTCATTTTGTCTGCAGGATGTGGGGTTGCTGTGGCTGACCTTGTACAATATTCCACTCATAGGTGTCTTCAGGCCTATGGAGAGCAGCTTGCGTGGGCTGGGCCTGCAGTACCTGGTTTGCATAGATGATTGGCAGGTGGGCAGCACGGGGAAGGACCTGTGAGTGGCCAACCTGGTTCAGGTGAGGGAGGTGGAGTGGGGCTTCTCTGCTTCCCCTGGTTCCCTGGAAGCCTCCAAGGCTGGTGAGCATCACTGCTGCCTCTGCACACCTGTGTGCTGGGTGGGTTTTCTGACAGGTTTTCAGTTGCTTCGGGGCTACAGCTGCAGGGAGCCTGCTCCATGGGACAGATGGGCCTCTGGTGCCCGTTCATCAGGGGACTGATGAGACCGAGGCCTGAGAGCCCTTTGGATTTTGTTTTTGTCCTTAATTTAATCATAAGCCAAGAATCTACTAAACACAGTTCCATTAGGGGCAAAGACGTAACACATCAGAGGCCACAGCAAGGCTGTGATTCATACTCAAAAAGGAAAGGTCTCTGGGTCACAACAGAGCATAGTTGAGGTCAGCACACTCCCACCCAGTGCAGGGCTGCTCCAGCATTGAGGTGTGTCTGGCAGGTTGAAGTAGGGGAAGATGAAACTCGCCGAAGTCTTGTTTTGTGGTTGCACTTAAGTGGTCAAAACTTCAGGAGCAACTGCCGTTATTAGCGGTGAGTGCCAAGACTAGTTTTTATAGAAGAGAAAGAAACAAAGTACTCTGGGAAGGTCTTACTGAGCCTTCACAGTCTCCCCACCTTTCCACTGTTCCCGTGCTCTTAGCCGCTCTGCTGGCCTATAAGGCACAGTCTTCATTTGTGGCTTCTGGCAAAATGTAAGCACTTGACTTTTGTTTTTGTTTTGTTTTGTTTTGTTTTTTTGAGACGGAGTTTCCCTCTTGTTGCCCAAGGTGGAGTGCAATGGTGCGATCTCAGCCCACTGCAGCCTCCACCTCCTGGGTTCAAGCAATTGTCCTGCTTCAGCCTCCCGAGTAGTTGGGATTATAGGTGCACAACCACCACGCCTGGCTAATTTTTTGTATTTTTAGTAGAAATGGGATTTCACCATGTTAGCCAGGCTGGTCTCGAACTCCTGACCTCAGGTGATCCACCTCCTTGGCCTCCCAAAGTGCTGGGATTACAGGTGTGTGCCACTGTGCCCGGCCAACTTTCAATTCTTTAGAGCTGACTATGAGAGGAGCCAGCAGTATAGCCACAGCACCAACGAATGAGGAAGAGCAAAATACTGCATGACAGCTTTGCTAAGAATTCTTTCACTTTTTTTGTCTATCAGCCAGGAGCTAGCAACTTGGCTTATTTGGAAATTTTAAGTGTACATATCCTGTCTCCTTAAATCCTTTACAGATTTAAAGTGCAGTCTACCTGAGGGCTCTGTGACCATGTAAGAAAGCTTTTTCTTTCTTTTTTTTTCTCTGAGACAGAGTGTTGCTCTGTCGCCCAGGCTGGAGTGCAGTGGTGTGATCTTGGCTCACTGCAACCTCTGCCTCCTGGGTTCAAGCAATTTTCCTGCCTCAGCTTCCTGAGTAGCTGGGACTACAGGCAGCACCACCATGCCCGGCTGAGTTTTGTATTTTTAGTAGAGACAGGGTTTCACCATGTTGGCCAGGCTGGTCTTGAACTCCTGACCTCGTGATCCGCCTGCCTCAGCCTCCCAAAGTGCTGGGATTACATGCGTGAGCCATTGTGTCCGGCCTTTTTTTTTTTTTTTTTTTTTTTTTGAGACAGAGTCTCGCTCTGTTGCCCAGGCTGGAGTGCAGTGGTGTGACCTCAGCTTACTGCAACCTCCGCTTCCTGGATTCAAGTGATTCTCCTGCCTCAGCCTCCCAAGTAGGTGGGATTACAGGCACCCACCACCGTGCCTGGCTAATTTTTGTATTTTTAGTAGAGACAGGAGTTTCACCTTGTTTAGTAGAGACAGGCTGGTCTCGAACTCCTGACCTCAGGTGATCCGCCTGCCTTGACCTCCCAAAGCGCTGGGATTACAGGCATGAGCCACTGTGCCTGGCCAGAAAGCCTTCTTTATTGAGCTTGGTGGCAGCCCAAAACTGATTCTTTAAGGGTGTCAGGACTTAACACCTCCTGTGACTTAGCCGCACCTCCTCTCCTTTGACTTTCATTCCACCTCCTTCCAGGATCGCAAGGTCCCTATTTGTCCTGGAAACGGCTTCAAGGTAGTCTAGGGTGCCGTTTGCCGGGGGAGGAAGGTGCTCTGGTTGATAGAGTCGCCTGGCCGCACACTCTTTTTGGCACATAACAACGTTCTACAGAGCCGGGGTGGAGCGTGCTTTCTCATAAGTGCTCTGCAGGTTTGGAGAGAGAGGATATGAGGAGCACCCTTTTCTGTTTTTTTTAACCCAAAGATTAGCTTGGAAAAGGGGCAGAGGGGTGCACTGGAACTCAGGTCTGCCTAAGCAGCACAGCAGACCAAGGTCTAGAGATGACATCTGCTCGCAGCTGTTCTTCCACCAGCCCGCATCCTGGAAAGGGGTCTTGTGGCACACAAGAGTTCACATCCTTCCCTCGTGAAATAAGGACTTTGTGTTCATCATCTCTTGTAAGAAGCAGAGCAGAAAGCACAGAATTAAGAAATAAAAGGGAAGTGGGTGCCTATATAAAGGGAAGTGAAAATGGGTTGCTGTCCCATGCAAAGACCCTGGAAAGCTGTTAACAGCTCAGCTTGTCACTTTCACCATCTGCATTTGTCCAGAGTGATTGAGATTTGCGTTGTTGTGGAGAGAAAGGCGCCTGTTGCACAATGGAGTGAGATTGCCACTGCTGTCAGGACCTCTGTGTTTGGCTTGACACTTTTTGAGTTCTCAGCAGTCTCGGGACCCTCAAGAGTGGAAGCATTTTTGGATGTTAAATGCTGGGGTTAATTGAAGTTAAGAGCTTGTTTTACTGGGCATGGTGGCTCACACCTATAATCCCGACACTTTGGGAGGCCAAGGCGGGCAGATCACTTGAGTCCAGGAGTTTGAGACCAGCCTGGGCAACATAGCAAAACCCCATCTCTACAAAAAATACAAAGCTGGGCGTAGTGGTGTATGCCTGTAGTCCCAGCTCCTTAGGAGGCTGAGGGGAGCAGATCTCTTGAGCCCAGGAGGCAGAGTTTGCAGTGAGCCATGATCGTGCCACTGCACTCCAGCCTGGGCAACAGAGTGAGATCCTGTCTTAAAACAAACAAAAAAAACAAACTTGTTTTCATTTAGACTCTTCCTGGCGTTGGGGACCTATTGGAATAGGTTTAGTGTGAACTGAGAGCTAGAAGTGTTAGAGGAGAGAGGGAGGGAACAGAGCCCGCTGGAGCGAGTGCCCTTCCTACCTTATCACTGCATGCCAGGCATGTGCCGGCGCTTTGGTCCTCCTCATTTCATTCTTGACTGCCACCTGAGACACGATGGTTACTAGCTCCATTTTATAGGTGGTGAAACTGAGGCTTGGGGAAGGTCAGACCCCAAGGGTGCCATTTAGTCAGTGGCAGAGCCAGATCCAAATGCAGGTCTCCTGACTCCAAGTGCAGGGCTCATTTTATCGTCCGGTTGCAGCACGCTGGCGGCCCCTTGAGCCCCAACCTGGATACCATAGGGGAGGAGCAGAGAAGCCAGGAACACCACAGCCCTGGGCCAAGGTGCGGGGCTGAAAGAACTTCCCAGCGCTCAGCCTGGGACTAGTGGAATGGGCTGGGCCCTGGGGCTGGCAGCGGTGGCCCCGGGGAGCCTGGGAATGAGTAGGGAGCACAGGGAGGTGTGGGAGGGCCTGGGAACCATGAAAAGGAGGGCGGGTGCAGGGAAGTCGCCTGCTAGTGAAGTGGCGAGGGGGCCCTGTGGGACTCCAGGGAATGGCCACGGCAGGTTGTCCTCCAGGAGTTGAGAGCCACTGGACATGGCAGCTGCCTGTGTTCTCAGCCACCACAGTAACCAAAGAAATCTTGGTTTTAAAATTCAAGTTGCCATGGAAACGCTCCCATCCTCGACTTGGCTTATTATTTAAAATAACATCTCTACAGCACAAAGCCCCCGGGTACATCCAAGGACACTGCTGTCTGCCCACGAGACATGCTAACCTCACAGTGTGGAGGCTGTGTGGGTCACTGACATGCATGGCCACGTGAGACGCTGCCTACCCACGAGTCACGGAAAAGGGGAAGATTATTAAGAAAGTCACTAGGGGCCAGGTCCAGTGGCTCATGCCTGTAATCCTAGCACTTTGGGAAGCTGAGGCAGTTAGATCCCTTGAAGCCAGGAGTTCAAGACCAGCCTGGCCAACATAACGAAACACGGACTATACTACAAAAATTAGCCAAACGTGGTAGCACAGGCCTGTAATCCCAGCTACTCAGGAGGCTGAGGCACAAGAATCACTTGAACCTGGGAGGTAGAGGTTTCAGTGAGCCAAGATTGCGCCACTGTACTCCAGCATGTGCCACAGAGCGAGACTCCCATCTCAAAGTCACTAGGGAGGAAGCCTCATTGGTGGGAAGGAAGACCAAATTGGAAATGCTCTGAGGAATCATTAAAACAAATGTCCTTTTATCAGTTTGGTGGCTCAGGGCCTTTAGTAATACTGCCAACTATTTTTCCTAGAAGAAACAAAACTGAAATAATAGGAACATACTCACTTTTTTTTTTTTCTTAAAAGTAAGGGTATGTTGTGAAAAAAAGTCTCCCCACCGTAGTGACCGACTGCCGTGCATCTTCCTTGGCATTTTGCATGTAGTGGCAGGAGTGTTCCTACATGTGTAGATTGCTGAGAGGGTCAGATGCTTATGGTCCTCAGTCACCCACAGCTTGCTTTTTCCCCACTTAACATTGGGACTTGGGGCATTTTTACTCTGTTAATACAATAGAATTCACTTCAACTAGTTGGTTTTTTACTTTTATTTTATTATTATTATTTTTAGATGAAGTCTCAATCTGTCGTCCAGGCTGGAGTGCAGCCTCTGCCTCCTGGGTTCAAGTGATTCTACTGCCTCAGCCTCCCAAGTAGCTGGGATTACAGGCATGCGCCACCACGCCTGGCTAATTTTTTGTATTTAGTAGATACAGGGTTTCACCACCTTAGTCAGGCTGGTCTCTAACTCCTGACCTCAGGTGATCCAACCGCCTCGGCTACAGGCATGCGCCACCGTGCCCCACCAACTAATTGCTTTTTTAATGGTTGCTTCATATTCTATTTAACCACTTACCGTAATTTAACAGTTACTCTGTTATTGGATACTTGATTCATTTCCAGGACATGCAGATTTAGAAACTGGTGGGCGTTGCTGGTTGATGTCTCGGTGGTTGTGCCCACCCACCCCAGGCACTCATTATCATGCCTTCCGTTTCCCCACTTCCTAAGCCCTGCAAGAAGTGCCAAACTGTCCAGCCCTTGCCAATCTGATACATGCTGAATACCTCCTTGATTTTATCTGCACCTCCCTGAGGTTGAACTTATTTTACTTTATTTTATTTTATTTTTGAGGCAGAGTCTCACTGTCACCCAGGCAGGAATGCAGTGGTGAAATCTTGGCTCACTGCAATCTCCACCTCCTGGGTTCAAGTGAGTTGAAGCAATTCTCCTGTCTCAGCCTCCCAAGTAGCTGCGATTACAGGCACCTGCCACCACACCTGGGTAATTTTTGTATTTTTAGTGGAGACGGGGTTTCACCATGTTGGCCAGGCTGGTCTCAAACTCCTGACCTCAGGCGATCCACCTGCCTCAGCCTCCCAAAGTGCTGAGATTACAAGCTTGAGCCACCATGCCGGTTGAACTTATTTTTATCTGTGTTGGCCATTTGTAGTTTTTCTATTATGCTGGTTCCATTTTTCTGACTTTGAAGAGCCTTTTGTGGAAACGAAGCCTAAAGTATATGTGAGTACTGCTTTGTTTCGTCAGTTTTTGTTTTAAAGAGACTTTTCAGTGTAATGCAAGCATTTTCCCTTGAAGGCTGTGTTTCCTGTCAATCCTAAGCTTTCCTCCAGCATTACCTTTTTAAAAAACTTTATTTTCTATATTGATGGGGTCTCACAATGTTGTCCAGGCTGGTGTTGAACACCTGGCCTCAAGTGATCCACTTGCCTTGGCCTCCCAAAGTACTGGGATTATAGGCATCAGCCACCGCACCCAGCCTGTTTTTCAAAGGGCATTGATTTTTTTCATAAAACTTTTTAAATTAAGATCTGTGGGCCTGGTGCGGTGCCTCACGCCTGTCATCGCAGCACTTTGGGAGGCTGAGTCAGGTGGATCACGAGGTCAGGCGTTCGAGACCAGCCTGGCCAAAATGGTGAAACCCTGTCTTTACTAAAAATATGAAAATTAGCTGGGCATGATGGCACATGCCTGTAATCCCGCTGCTCGGGAAGCTGAGGTAGGAGAATAGCTTGAACCCAGGAGGCAGAGGTTGCAGTGAGCCGAGATCATGCCATTGCACTCCAGCCTGGGGGACAGAGTAAGACTCCGTCTCAAAAAAACAAAACAATTCTGTGTTGCATGTGGTACTTTTTGTGTGTGAGGAGTCCAGTGTGAAGATTCAGACTTCAGGCAGCCACTTGTACAAGCACTGTCCTGTTTCCTCTCTGGCCTCACCTAGGTAACGCTGATTCCTCCACGGAGGATGTGCTTCTGAGTGGTCCGTTGGGTGCTGTGCTGATGAGCATCACCCAGCATTTTACGACACATGTGCTGCCCCAGAGGGCTGGGCTCCCGTCAGAGCTCTTTTCCACTGGCTGGGTGCGGTGGCTCACACCTGTAATCCCAGCACTTTGGGAGGCTGAGGCCAGTGGATCACCTGAGGTCAGGAGTTCGAGACCAGCCTGGCTAACATGGTAAAACCCCATCTCTACTAAAAATACAGAAATTAGGTGCGTGTGGTGGCGCACACCTGTAATCCCAGCTACTTGGGAGGCTAAGAACCTGGGAGGTGGAGGCTGCAGTGAGCCAAGATTGTGCCACTGTACCCCAGACTGGGTGACATGGCCCACAGACCAAGACCCTGTCTCAAAAAAAAAAAAAAAGCTTTTTTCCAGAGCCATCTTGCTGTCCTCATATATTTATTCTCCTAGATGAATTGTTGCTTAAGCAACAATGAAGTTTAAATTGTTCTTCAGATAGAACCCCTAGGTGCCAGGCAGTTTGTTAAGCACTGACACCGCAGTCCTGTGACTTTCATGACGACCTGTGACCTGTGGGAGGTAGAACACCTCACCCACCCGTGGGAGCCCCTGGAGTGACTGACAGGAACCCCTGCCTCACCCAGCTCCCCGCGCCGCGGCTCTCCCCAGCCCTGGATGCAGGCGCCCAGGAGACATGTATTGCTTTTGTTGAGCTGCTCACTTAGGAGGGTGACTCAGAGTTCAAGCTGGAAAGCACTGGCTTGTGACTCATGAGCCAGTGCAAGATCAAACGGCTGGGGCATCGAGGTGAGAGTTTTCCTTCTCAGAAGCCTCATCTCCGCAGCCGGAAGCAGAGCCCTTGGCTGACTGGAAAAACCAGAGAGGCCCCGGGAGTGGGTGGATGGCCAGCCCAGCCCCACCTCTCAGCCTCAACCTCCACCAGCCCACACCGAGCTTGTTTGTCTGTGTCCTGTCGAAACTAGGACTCCTGGATTGTAACTTTTCTTACATTTCCCTGTCCCCTGGGTCCTCCACTTAGGGTGTAATCACACAGACAGGCTCTTAACTGTTTCATATCACTCACTTGGGAAAGTGTCTCAAGCTGTTCTACAAATCCATGCAAAGGCCGTTTAAAAATAGCAGCGAAGGCCCTGGACTCGGTCTCGTCCAGCACAGCCCCTTGGCTCTCTCTCTGGGCTCTGGCCGCCTGGCCCCCGGGGACCCACACGAGGTCATGGCGTGCTTCGGGCAGGGGGGCGGGGATCCCATAGACACCTCAGCTCCTTAAGAGTTCTCCGCCTGGGCCAGGACGAGCATGGGGGTCCCCACTGATGCCCGAGACGGTGCCCCTGTGTGTGTGAGCCCTCGACCCACATAACAGAGAGGTGTCCTGATGCCCTCTGTCCTCTCCAGGTGGATCTAGGATCCGGCTTCCAACATGTGGCAGCTCTGGGCCTCCCTCTGCTGCCTGCTGGTGTTGGCCAATGCCCGGAGCAGGCCCTCTTTCCATCCCCTGTCGGATGAGCTGGTCAACTATGTCAACAAACGGAATACCACGTGGCAGGTAGGCTGTGGGGCTGCGTCCTATGTATGTCCCCTCCCAGGTCGGTCTGTGCACACTGACTCCAGGAATGGGAAGCCAGCCCTCACTGTGGCCCACAGAACATTGTCCTGGACTGTTGAAAAATGGCCCTGACCCTGAGTCATGTCGGCTCTGGACCACGCCTCCCTCCTTTGTCCCATACCCCACGTGTGTGCATGAGTGTGTGTGCATGTGTATGAATATATGGTTGTGTGCACGTGGAGGTGTGTGGGGGAGTAAGTGAGCTTCGGAAGTGTTCAAAACCAGCTAGCCCCTGTGACGCCCGCCGTGGCACAGTGGCAGTTTATCAGTCCCGCCCCTGATTCCCTTTGTCTCTGCCCAGCCCTGACCCTCGGACTGAGAACCAAGAATGAGGAGTGAGCCATGTTGAGGGCTGGAGAGGGTCTCTGATTGTCAGCAAATGGGAGCAGATCAGGGGAGACACCCACTCTGCCCGTGTGTCACTCTGGGCTGTTCCCCAGTGCCCCCCAACCCTTGGGCCCTTGAATTGGGTAGGGTCTCTGGTTTTCCCTGGGTTGGGCTTCGTGTGTGGGCAGCGTGCCCATCCACCGCCATCCCGGGAGACCCTTCAGTCAGTGGGTGACTCTCTTCCAGGCCGGGCACAACTTCTACAACGTGGACATGAGCTACTTGAAGAGGCTATGTGGTACCTTCCTGGGTGGGCCCAAGCCACCCCAGAGGTGAGTGCCTGCTCCTCTGCACCGCTGTAATGTGAGTGGCAGGCGTTGGTTTGGGGCAGTGGGAAGTGGGAGAGTGAAGGCCTCTCTGGCGTCCGCAGGGCTCATGCTGCCCAGGGCTGCCGACACCGCTTGAGGTACAGTACTTGTTTCTTTTCATTTTTATATTACTTTCTCTTTTTATTTTATTTTTTCCTTCTCAAGTTATTAGTAGAGAAGATGCTGGTGCTTTTTTTTGGTTTTTGAGAGAGTCTCACTCTGTCACCCAGGCTGGAGTGCAGTGGCACGATCTTGGCTCACTGCAAACTCTGTCTCCCGGGTTCAAGCGATTCTCATGCCACAGCCTCCTGAGTAGCTGGGGCCACAGGCTTGCACCACCGTGCACGGCTAATATTTGTATTTTTAGTAGAGACTGGGTTTCGCCATACTGGCCAGGCTCGTCTCGAACTCTTGGCCTCAGCAAGTCATCTGCCCAACTCGGCATCCCAGAGTGCTGGGATTACCGGCATGAGCCACCCCCAGTGTTTTCTATTGTGCTTCTCCAAGGTGTCTCAGCCGCAGATGTGACAGACAAGGTCTGGGTCCCCACTATGTGGGCAGACTCAATCTTGAGTAATTTAAGGGAAATCTAAGAAAAGCCAGATGAGGCCAAGTATGGTGGCTCACGCCTGTAATCCCAGCACTTTGGGATGCCAAGGCAAGCGGATCACCTGAGGTCAGGAGTTCGAGACCAGTCTGACCAACATGATGAAACCCCGTCTCTACTAAAAATAAAAAACTTTGCCAGGCGTGGTGGCGGGCGCCTGTAATCCCAGCTACTCGGGAGGCTGAGGCTAGAGAATCGCATGAACCCGGGAGGCAGAGGTTGCGGTGAGCTGAGATGATGCCACTTCCCACGTGAGGATGGGGTAGTTAAGTTGCACGACACTGCCTTCTGCACAATGGGGATGATATGAGAAATGATGAGAGGATCCTGGGCAGAGGTTGAGGCAGGAGAGCAGGGCAAGAAACACTATCTGGACTGAATAAACTTATTTAAAAATGAGTTTATAATTTGTGGATAAATTCATCTTAAAAAATCCATTACATAAGCCTAGAAAGAAGCGTACAATATCGCAAGTCAGGCCAGGTGTGGTGGATCATGCCTGTAATCCCAGCACTTTGGGAGGCCAAGGCAGGCAGATCATTTGAAGCCAGGAGTTTAAGACCAGCCTGGCCAACATGGTGAAACCCTGTCTTTACTAAAAATACAAAAATTAGCCGGGTGTGGTGGTGCATGCCTGTAATCCCAGCTACTCAGGAGGCTGAGGCACGAGAATCGATTGAACTCAGGAGGCAGAGGTTGCAGTGGGCAGAGATCTCGCCACTGCACTCCAGCCTGGATGACACAGTGAAATTCTGTCCACTCCCACCCTCCCGTCCCACCCAAAAAAAAAATCAAAAGGTGCATTGAGCAACAGAATTTCCTTTTGTTTTATGAAATTACCAAGGACACCTGTCTGCAGCCTTCTTCGGCATGTCTTGTGCTCATTTCCTTGTTAGGGGAGTGTGGCCCAGCCAAAGTGGCCTTTGCAGGGATTGGGGAGGGAGTTGTGGGATCAGAGCTTGTAATGAAGACCTTCCTTTATCCAGAGTTATGTTTACCGAGGACCTGAAGCTGCCTGCAAGCTTCGATGCACGGGAACAATGGCCACAGTGTCCCACCATCAAAGAGATCAGAGACCAGGGCTCCTGTGGCTCCTGCTGGGTAAGGCCCTGCTGGCTGGCGGGGAAGCGCTGGAGAGAAAGTGGGAGCAACACTGGAGAGTCTTGGGGGATTCGGGGTGGGGACAACTCTGACAAGGCAAGTTATAGAAACTTTCTGAGTCCCAGTTTCCATCAGTACAAAAATCACAATCCCTCTGGCCATGAATGATGGCGAGGATTAGGTGGAGTGGCGGGCAGAGCATCCAGCAGATTGCAAGTCCACGTGTACAGGTGGCGAAGCAGCTCCCTTTCCCTGACATGCTGGCCCGTCCGCAAATACCAGGAGCTCTCACTGCTACTCTGCTTCAAGAAAGCATCCCTTTAGTGTCAGTGAGCTGTCTTAATTTTGTCATTTAATTGTGGTAAAATACACGTAACAGAAATGTAATAATCTTAGCAATCTTCTTTTGTTTTCTTTTTCTTTCTTTTTTTTTTTTTTTTTTTTTTGGAGATGGAGTCTTGCTCTGTCACCCAGGCTGGAGTGCAGTGGTGGGATATTGGCTCACTGCAACCTCTGCCTCCTGGGTTCAAGCAATTCTCCTGCCTCAGTCTCCCCAGTAGCTAAGACTACAGGCATGTGCCACCACGCCCAGCTAATTTTTGTATTTTTAGTAGAGATGGGGTTTTGCCATGTTGGACAGCCTGGTCTCAAACGCCTCACCTGTTGATCTGCCTTCCTCGGCCTCGCAAAATGCTGGGATTACAGGCGTGAGCCACCGTGCCCAGCAACTATTTTCAAGTGTACAGTTCTGTAGCATTAAGTACATTCACAGTGTTGCTCAGCCACCACCACCATCTGTCCCCCGAACTCTTTTTCAGCTCGCAAGACAGAAACTCTGTCCCCATTAACACCAATATTGTAGCCCCTGGTAAGCCCCACTCTACTTTCTGTCTCTATGAATTTGACTCCTAGGGACCTCATACAAGTGGATCACAACAGTATTTATTTTCTGGGTGAGCTGTGTTTTTTGTTAAGAAAAAAACACAGCCAGGTACGGTAGCTCACGCCTGTAATCTCAACACTTTGGGAGGCTGAGGCAGGCGGATCACCTGAGGTCAGGAGTTTGAGACCAACCTGGCCAACATGGTGAAACCCTGTCTCTACTAAAAAGACAAAACTTAGCTGGGCCTGGTGGCAGGCACCTATAATCCCAGCTACTATAGAGGCTGAGGCAGGAGAATTGCTTGAACCCAGGAGGCGTAGGTTGCAGTGAGCTGAGATTGCGCCACTGCATTCCAGCCTGGGCAACAAAAGTGAAACTCCGCCTCCAGGAAAAAAAAAAAAAACCACACACACACATACAAACTAATACTACACATTTTGCAGATTTCAGAAATGAACCCAGTTTCCAGGCAGAGGTTCACGGGGGTGCTTCTCTTGCTTTAAAAGCTGAGTTGGGCAAATCGTTGAGGCAGGAGAGTGGGGCAAGTGGCTCATCACGCCTCTAATCCCAGCACTTTGGGAGGCCAAGGTGGGCAAATCACTTGAACCCGGGAGTTCAAGACCAGTCTGGCCAACGTAGCAAGACCCCATTTCTACCAAAGAAAATAAAAGCTGAGTTTGAGCCCCAGGAGCGTCCCCTGGTGTTGAGAGATCAGTTGCCTACAAGGTCTGAGGTGCCCCTGTGGCCCTTTGAGGGGACTGCTGCAGAGGGCCCAGCCCGGACATGGCAGCCTCACCCGGTGGGGCTCGTTCCTGCAGGCCTTCGGGGCTGTGGAAGCCATCTCTGACCGGATCTGCATCCACACCAATGCGCACGTCAGCGTGGAGGTGTCGGCGGAGGACCTGCTCACATGCTGTGGCAGCATGTGTGGGGACGGGTGAGTCAGGCTGTGCTTCCACAGCGGGTTTAGTGCTGAGAGACCCTGGGCCCCAGCTTCTCAGTGGAGGGGACTTTGAGGACTTCCTGGGACTGCTGCGAGTCAGAAGTGTTTCGGGGAGACTCCGAGAGTCTGGCAGGCAGGGCCTGGCAAGGCTGCTGCTTCCTGGGAGGTGCCTGAACCAAGGCTGGCCCGGCAGAGCTGTCTGAGGGGTGGCATCCCAGCAAAACAGTCAGTTTCAGAAAATGTGGTGGAATGTCTGGCCCCTGGTCTGGTTTGTGTCATCGCATGTTCCTTTTTCCTGCTTGGGGAACCAGTTTGGGGCATTTCCTTATGTGTAGTTAGCGGGGATGGCTCCACCTTAACAACAAGGTGGTGGCACAGAACTTTCTGCTCCAGCTGCCTGCAGCCTCGCCTTGGTTCCGCAGTAGCGGTGTTCACTGGCGGCTGCAGATCCGAAATGCCTGAGGGCTTAAAAAAATGCATGGGCTTCTCCCCTAACTAGTTAAATGGGAATCACTGGCGATTCTCATTTCAGAGAACTGGTGGTGTTTTTAAGTACCTTAGGGAAGTTTAGCGTCTGCTCAGTTGAGAATCAGTGTTCTACCCGGAAGGGCACTCGTAGCCTGGTCTGGTATGGACATGAACAGGAGAGCCTCCTGTCTTCTCCCGGATCTTTGTGGGCAGGGGTGGGGCTGGCGGTTATTCCCTGCAAGCTGTGCTTATCTAGGGAGCGTCCCTTGGAGGGTTTGGGGTCTGGGAGGTCTGCTCGCACCACTTGCTGCAGCTGGGGGTGGGTCCACGAGTGGCCTCGGGCACTTGGGTAGCACACAGTGGTCTGGAGAGCTGGTGGTGCTTCTCTCAGAGGTTTTCATTAGAGGCTGTCTTTTCAGCTGTAATGGTGGCTATCCTGCTGAAGCTTGGAACTTCTGGACAAGAAAAGGCCTGGTTTCTGGTGGCCTCTATGAATCCCATGTAGGTAAGTGTGTCCCCTTGGCCACTTTCTGGCCAGATGGATTGTTTGAGCAATTAACCATCATGGCTTTATTTGCCTTTATAAACTGGGGGTTGAGACAGAGGGGCTGCTGAGAGGTGCTAGCCAGGTGCACAGGCCTCTGGCAGGACCTGCCTGGCGTCCATGCTGCAGGCACGAGGCTTGCCTTGCCCCAGGTCTTCTCCGTGGGGGCTGTAGGTTGACTCCGCTTTCTCCCGCGTCCCATCAGGGTGCAGACCGTACTCCATCCCTCCCTGTGAGCACCACGTCAACGGCTCCCGGCCCCCATGCACGGGGGAGGGAGATACCCCCAAGTGTAGCAAGATCTGTGAGCCTGGCTACAGCCCGACCTACAAACAGGACAAGCACTACGGTAAGGGGCCTGGGGCCTGGCCACGGCGCACGTGGAGGCTGGGGAGCTGCTGCATCCCTCCTCACGCTGCAGCGAAGAGGTCAGGGCTGAGGAGCCTTGGGGTCCCGGAACTCTAGGATAGAGGAGGGGGAGTGATGCCCTCTTGCCAGGAGAAGCAGCACACTCTCCACTTTCTGCCTGTTCCACCCTGAACTCAGCCTCAGCCCTTCCAAACTGGAAGGGACCAAAGCCCTCCTTTTACAAGGGAGTGGCGTGTCCTGGAGTCTTGAGGTATCCTGGCCTCTTCCGGGGCCTCGTGCTCATTGCTCCGTTCTCCCATTTCTGAGCTTCCAGCCCCAGCCCTGTCCTTAGTTCTTCAGGGGAGCCTTCCTTGAGCTCCCCTGGCAGGGCAAGTCCCCTTAGATGCAGTCTTCCCCTGGAGGCCACCAGAAATCAGTGACTGGCTGACCGTGGCGTGCCACGAGGCACGGTCACTGCCCTCCCCAACCCCGAGCTCGGTTCATTTTCCAGGATACAATTCCTACAGCGTCTCCAATAGCGAGAAGGACATCATGGCCGAGATCTACAAAAACGGCCCCGTGGAGGGAGCTTTCTCTGTGTATTCGGACTTCCTGCTCTACAAGTCAGGTGCGTGCTGATGGCTGATGGCAATAGAGGGTGGGGGTCGGGAGGGGAGCCTGGGTGCCAGGATGGTTCATGTTGACCAATAGGGCTGGATTGGGCAGGCAGGTGAGGGGCTGGGGAAGAGGGCTGTGTGGGGCCTTCCATATAGGCTCACTCCTCTGTGGACCAGCCTGGCACCTGACTGTCTTTGTCCAGGTGTTGTGCCAACACACACAATTCCAGAGGCCTCTCCCAGAGCCTCTGGGCTAGTTCCTTCCCATCCATTAGCGTCCAGCTCATACATGTTCTCTGTGGGAACGCCCCCCTCCCTGGTGGCTGGCCACGCCTGCCCTCGCCTTCCTGGCTTTGCATTGCTTTACCAGCATGTTTCTGTTATAATGGCAGGCCGTTCGTGTTTGCACTGGCTGACACATTTTCTTCATCTTTCTCTTTGCAAAGGCCTAGATCGTGCCTCACACCAGTGGATGAACACACAGGGAGGACCTTGCCCTGGGTAGTGCCATAGGGACTCCAACCAAGGAATCTGGACAGTCCCCATCCCCAAGTCCTGTCTTAGAAATCCCTTGCTCCAGATGAACAGTCTTTGCTGACTGCATCTATCCCATTAATATTTTGCTAGATTGGAAACTTGTAAAACAACAGTTTGACAAAGGAAGATGATTCTGGCAAGAAAAAGTTTCTGTGAAGATGGCACTTCTTAGCATAGTCCTCGCCCTTATTATTAAAAGATGCATTTCCACTTTGACAGTGATTTCCCCACCCGAGAGCCTGGTTGGGCAGCCCTGAGCCCCTTAGCCAGTATCTTTCCCATCAGCTAGCATTAGCTGCCACCAGTCCTCCCTTCTCCTCCCTCACCTCTTCAGGGTGTACCTGGAGCAGCTATTAAAACTCTTTAAGCCGTGTAACGCTTTTGACAAACCCTTACTTACATGGAATCCCAGTATAAAGAACAGATGAATCAGTCATCTAGCATTAAATGTTTTATCAATTAGAATGTATTAGAAATTCTATTTTTAAAGCCAACAAGCACATTTTGTAGGAATCTATTTCAATATTTACTCAACAACTTTGAGTGTGTTGGGCCTTCAAAAATATATTTAATTCCCCAGTATTGTGGGACCCCCCCTGGAGCCTCCTGGTGGAGCAGCAGGTTCCCTCTGGAAGCTGTTTCTCCTTCCCGGAGCATGACCAGCTGAGTGTGGGGGGTGCTGTGGGGCGTGGGACAGTGGCCCGGTCTCGGTCTCAGCCAGTTCTTCCCTTTTCAGGAGTGTACCAACACGTCACCGGAGAGATGATGGGTGGCCATGCCATCCGCATCCTGGGCTGGGGAGTGGAGAATGGCACACCCTACTGGCTGGTTGCCAACTCCTGGAACACTGACTGGGGTGACAATGGTGAGTGGCTGCCCCCTTCCTGCCAAGAACAGTGAATTGTGAGCCACACCCCGTGGCCATCTCGGCTTTCTCTGTTCTACCCACCGCACAGCCTTAAACCCTGGACCTACGGCCAGGCTGTGAGCTCCTCCTAAGTGCCAGGCAGTCAGGAGTTCCCTTTTGCTGTGAGGGCAGACTCTGAGCAGCTTCAGAGCCAACGCCTGCAACAGTTCCCACAGCATCGCGCCAGATCCTGTGATGGGAAGGGTGACCGGGCAGGGGGCTTGCCCGTGGAGGTGTGCCCCACGGCTCCAGAAGCCTTGTGGTGTTGAGGACTGTGCTAGTGGGCCAACAGCAGGAGTGGCCAGGGATGAGTGACTTAAGGTCTTTTAAGGATGAGTCTGACTATATTGGTTGACCCTTGTCACACTTTAAAAGCACCTTACTTTTTATTCCCAGGCTTCTTTAAAATACTCAGAGGACAGGATCACTGTGGAATCGAATCAGAAGTGGTGGCTGGAATTCCACGCACCGATCAGTACTGGGAAAAGATCTAATCTGCCGTGGGCCTGTCGTGCCAGTCCTGGGGGCGAGATCGGGGTAGAAATGCATTTTATTCTTTAAGTTCACGTAAGATACAAGTTTCAGACAGGGTCTGAAGGACTGGATTGGCCAAACATCAGACCTGTCTTCCAAGGAGACCAAGTCCTGGCTACATCCCAGCCTGTGGTTACAGTGCAGACAGGCCATGTGAGCCACCGCTGCCAGCACAGAGCGTCCTTCCCCCTGTAGACTAGTGCCGTAGGGAGTACCTGCTGCCCCAGCTGACTGTGGCCCCCTCCGTGATCCATCCATCTCCAGGGAGCAAGACAGAGACGCAGGAATGGAAAGCGGAGTTCCTAACAGGATGAAAGTTCCCCCATCAGTTCCCCCAGTACCTCCAAGCAAGTAGCTTTCCACATTTGTCACAGAAATCAGAGGAGAGACGGTGTTGGGAGCCCTTTGGAGAACGCCAGTCTCCCAGGCCCCCTGCATCTATCGAGTTTGCAATGTCACAACCTCTCTGATCTTGTGCTCAGCATGATTCTTTAATAGAAGTTTTATTTTTTCGTGCACTCTGCTAATCATGTGGGTGAGCCAGTGGAACAGCGGGAGACCTGTGCTAGTTTTACAGATTGCCTCCTTATGACGCGGCTCAAAAGGAAACCAAGTGGTCAGGAGTTGTTTCTGACCCACTGATCTCTACTACCACAAGGAAAATAGTTTAGGAGAAACCAGCTTTTACTGTTTTTGAAAAATTACAGCTTCACCCTGTCAAGTTAACAAGGAATGCCTGTGCCAATAAAAGTTTTCTCCAACTTGAAGTCTACTCTGATGGGATCTCAGATCCTTTGTCACTGCCTATAGACTTGTAGCTGCTGTCTCTCTTTGTCCCTGCAGAGAATCACGTCCTGGAACTGCATGTTCTTGCGACTCTTGGGACTTCATCTTAACTTCTCGCTGCCCCAGCCATGTTTTCAACCATGGCATCCCTCCCCCAATTAGTTCCCTGTCATCCTCGTCAACCTTCTCTGTAAGTGCCTGGTAAGCTTGCCCTTGCTTAAGAACTCAAAACATAGCTGTGCTCTATTTTTTTGTTGTTGTTGTGACTGACAGAGTGAGATTCCGTCTCCCAGGCTGGAGTGCAGTGGCGCCTTCTCAGCTCACTGCAACCTGCAGCCTCCTAGATTCAAGCGATTCTCCTGCTTCAGCCTTCCGAGTAGCTGGGATGACAGGCACTCACCAATATGCCTGGGTAATTTTTGTATTTTTAAGTACATACAGGATTTCACCATGTTGGCCAGGCTAGTTTCAAACTCCCGGCCTCAGGTGGTCTGCCTGCCTCAGCCTCCCAAAGTGTTGGGATTACAGGCGTGAGCCACTGGGCCCTGCCTGTATTTTTTATCAGCCACAAATCCAGCAACAAGCTGAGGATTCAGCTCATAAAACAGGCTTGGTGTCTTGGTGATCTCACATAACCAAGATGCTACCCCGTGGGGAACCACATCCCCCTGGATGCCCTCCAGCCTTGGTTTGGGCTGGAGTCAGGGCCTGTATACAGTATTTTGAATTTGTATGCCACTGGTTTGCATTGCTGGTCAGGAACTCTAGTGCTTTGCATAGCCCTGGTTTAGAAACATGTTATAGCAGTTCTTGGTATAGAGCAAACTAGAAGAACCAGCAATCATTCCACTGTCCTGCCAAGGTACACCTCAGTACTCCCCTTCCCAACTGAAGTGGTATGAGGCTAGCTCTTTCCAAAAGCATTCAAGTTTGGCTTCTGATGTGACTCAGAATTTAGGAACCAGATGCTAGATCAAATAAGCTCTGAAAATCTGAGGAACATTGTAGGAAAGGTTTGTTAAGCATCTCTTAAGTGCCATGATGAGCATAACAGCCGGCCGTCGTGGCTCACGCCTGTAATCCCAGCACTTTGGGAGGCCAAGGTGGGAGGATGACAAGGTCAGGAGTTCAAGACCAGCCTGGCCAACATGCTGAAACCTCACCTCTACTAAAAATACAAAAATTAGCTGGGCATGGTGGCACATGCCTGTAATCCCAGCTACTTGGGAGGCTGAGGCAGGAGAATCGCTTGAACCCGGGAGGCGGAGGTTGCAGTGAGCCAAGACAGTGCCAGTGCACTCCAGCCTCGGTGACAGCGCAAGGCTCCGTCTCAATAATTAAAAAAAAAAAAAAAAAAAAAAAGGCCGGGCGCAGTGGCTCAAGCCTGTAATCCCAGCACTTTGGGAGGCTGAGGCGGGCAGATCACCTGAGGTCAGGAGTTTTGAGATCAGCCTTGGCAACACGGTGAAACCCCATCTCTACTAAAAATACAAAATTAGCCAAGCATGCTGGCACATGCCTGTAATCCCAGCTACTCGGGAGGCTGAGGTACGAGAATCGCTTGAACCTGGGAGGCAGAGGATGCAGTGAGCCGAGATCACGCCATTGCACTCCAGCCTGGGGGACAAGAGTGAATCTGTGTCTCACCAAAAAAAAAAAGAAAAAGAAAGATGCTTAACAAAGGTTACCATAAGCCACAAATTCATAACCACTTATCCTTCCAGTTTCAAGTAGAATATATTCATAACCTCAATAAAGTTCTCCCTGCTCCCAAACTGAGTTGATTCATTCCATGCGCACTGTCTCCCTCACCTCCATCGTATACGCACCTGCAGCTCCTTGCCTGCTTCTAGCATGGAGCCAGCGGGGATGTGCTGGTGAGTGACAAGGAATTGTGGGGCATGTCGACATCAGCTTAAGGCTTTGTTAGAAACACCTGCCTTGCAGTGTTTGTGACTGGGAAAGAGCTCAGTGTTTTAATACACCTCAGATCACCACATTGATCATAACTTTGTCACCTCAGTTCAATAGTTTCTCCTGGATTCTTGTCCAAGTGAGATGACAGGTGGACGTAACAATGCCTTTTCAGTCTTTACCTAGCCTCTCCAGAGAATCACTCCAGAATAGAAATTAGAGTATAGGTAGGCAGTCCAACCTCTGCATTTAAAAAAAAAAATTTTGAGATGGGAGTCTCTCTCTGTCACCCAGGCTGGAGTGCAGTGGCATGATCTTGGCTCACTGCAGCCTCCGCCTCCTGGGTTCAAGGGATTCTCCTGCCTCAGCCTCCCGAGTAGCTGGGATTACAGGCACCTGCCACCACACCTGGCCTAATGTTTATATTTTTAGTAGAGATAGAGTTTCACCATGTTGGCCAGGCTGGTCTGGAACTCCTGACTTCAAGTGATCCACCTGCCTTGGCCTCCCAAAGTGCTAGGATTATAGGCGTGAGCCACTGTGCCCGGCTGCCACTCTTTTTAAAGAAAGCAGTAATTTGCCCTCTTTTATTGTGCTTCAGCCATACTGAAGTGGTCCACAGACCAGGAGCACGGCCGTCACCTGAGAGCCTGTTAGAAATGCTCATCAGAGTGTCAGAGGGCCAGACCTCTGAACCAGCATTTGCATCTCCCAAGACCCCAGGTAGTTTCCCAGGTACATTCAAGCTCACAATACCTTTCCAGCTGCTCCCTGATTAGAAAACTGCATGAGAATTTAGGAATGCAACCTCTTGGGCACCCCATCAGACCTACTGTATCAGTCTCTGTTCCCAGCAATCAGGCAATTCTGATATAAAGTCTGAGAACCACAGCCTTAGAACTGTTTCCAAAACTGCCAAGAATAACCTAGAATGTTTGTTAACATGCCTGACTCGCCCTCTTCCTCCTATACACACCCGAGCCCCTGGGAAATGGCTCAGTAGATGGAAGAAGGGGCCCTCCCTGCACTTGCCCACAGGGATCCGGAAGTTCCCATATGCAGATATAAAGCTCTTGCTCCCAAGCATTCTAATTGTTTATGGTCCTAGATTCACATGGGTCAGAGGCTCCTCTGAGGAAAACAAAATATTGCACCATTAGGTCGGATCCAAATAGACTGTATGCCAGAGATGCTATAAAATTATATTAGAAGTGGGGAGTAGAGGGTAGTGTTGCCAGAGTTACCAAACAGAAATACAAGATGGCCAACTACTTCTGAATTTTCAGTTATGCAAGTTTGTTTGTTTTTTGAGACAGAGTCTCACTCTGTCGCCCAGGCTGGAGTGCAATGGCGTGATCTTGGCTCACCACAACCTCTGCCTCAACCTCTTGAGCTCAAGGGATCCTCCTGCCTCAGCCCCAACACCCTCCGAGTAGCTGAGACCACAGGTGTGAGCCGCCATGCCCAGCATCCCCTATTATATCTGGCAACCTTAGTAGAGAAGATACTTAGAAGGAAAACAAGCTTTCAAAGAGCTTCAGAATGGAATGAGAGCGGATACCTTTCTACAACTCAGTGAGTAGAAAAAAGCACATAGCTTTATAGATAGAAAAAATCTGAGATCACCCAAACCACACAGCTCAGGAAGTGGTCCCACAGGTAATGACCAAGTCAGGAAAGAAGATTTCCACAGGCCCCACTCAGACCAAATCTCTTTCCAGCAGGTTGTTCTGTCTTAACGTGAACTTTGGCAGAATTAAATCTTAGATTTCAACACACAGATTTTTAACAACCTACCCTGAAATCTCAAACCAAGTTTTGAGGCTTTAATTCCTTGGAAAATACTGTCGAGTCTAGCTCAGTGGTCCCCAAGCTTTTTGGCACCAGGGACCGGTTTCATAAAGACAATTTTCCCAAGGACAGAGGGAGGAAAATGGTTTTGGGATGAAACTGCCACCTCAGATCATCAGGGACTAGATTCTCACAAGGAGCATGCAACCCAGATCCCTCACACGCGCAATCGCACCTATGAGAATCTAACGCCGAGTGGAGCTCACGTGATAATGTTCACTCACCCGCCGCTCACCTCCTGCTGTGATGCCCGGTTCCTAACAGGCCACGTAACAGAAGGTTTAGTGCCGGTCCTAGGCCTGGGGGTCGGGGACCCCTGGTCTGGCTGTATTCCATGTGGCAAGTTATCTTGGCTGGTGACAAATGAGTCCAGGGCTAAGCCTCAAATGAACCAATTAACTGAAGTCTCCCTGGGCCCAAACTAATTTTGGTGTCAGTGGTCACAGCAAGAAAGTGTGCTTACAACAATGCAAATCCAACGCTGCAGCTCGAAACAACTCAAATTCAATGATTAAGCCACCATCCACGATGGGCTGCAGAAGAGTAGACTTTATGAGTACCTGTAGCATTAATGGCTTCTAGAAAGTACCGAATGCCCTAGTACACCAATTCTCAACTCGAGGGTCCACAGGCCTCCTTGCTGCACTGAGCACCTCAGTGAGAGCACATCACAAGCTCTGCTGCACTGGAGTAGAGAGGAAGGTGAAACCCCGAGCAGAAGTACTGTTCTGCCCCCAAGCCAATCACCTGAAGACAGCTTTTGCCTTTCTTAAGACCTGAATATATAAACTGATAACTTTAGAAAACAAAAACTGCTGGGGGAAATTTTTTTTTTTTTTTTTTTTTTTTTTTTTTTTTTTTTTTTACAATTTTTTCCTTTTTTTGAGATGGAGTCTCGCTCTGTTGCCCAGACTGGAGTGCAGTGGCGCGATCTGAGCTCACTGCAAGCTCCGCCTCCCGGGTTTAAGCCATTCTCCTGCCTCAGCCTCCCGAGTAGCTGGAACTACAGGCACCCGCCACCACGCCTGGCTAATTTTTTTTTTTTTTAGTAGAGACGGGGTTTCACCGTGTTAGCCAGGATGGTCTCGATCCCCTAATGTCGTGATCCGACCGCCTCAGCCTCCCAAAGTGCTGGGATTACAGGCATGAGCCACCACGCTGGGCCATCAACTCCATTCTTGAGCTCCATCTTTTCCACAGTCAGGCAGGCTTTCAAGCGAACTGTACTTGACAAATGCAGAGCAATTAAATTCTTTATTATAAAAATCTCAAAAATGTCCACCTTTACTGGAGACCAATCTTCTAAAAGGTCAAAAGCAATCCTGCTGTTTCTCTCTGAAAGCTAAACTCCTTTAAATGAGAATACGAGAATACCCAGAATTTTATTCCCAGCCTTTGTGTGGAAAAGGCAGTTTGCATTCTTAGGAAACATCTAACTGTTACCTAAACCATAAATATTTCTATCTACTCCATTCAACCCAATTAAAGAAAACAAAATGATGAGAAAAATAGGAGCCGAACAGAAAGAAAATTCACATCATTTTCTACTATTACGAACATTCAAATGGTGCTTCAAATTAAATACTTTTAATTATCATTCTAGCCAGGATCATACTAAGTAGGATCTCATGACAGTCACATATGCAGCGACTTCACCTAAACCGTGGCACTGAATGCTCTGCCATGAGCCACAAGCAGCACAGTGATCATCACCCACAAGGACAGGTTGCTGGGATGAGGCACCCTTTCCTTTCATGTTTAGGTTCTTCTCACCTGCATTTCACTTTCCTAAAGGTCCCAGCCACACAGCGTTCTTTTAGGGATTAAAGTAGTAGGAAAAAAATAAAGAGAACACAACATCCATCCTTAAAGAAAAAAAGTAAATCCACTTTATGGTGGACTTCAGCTATGGACAAATTTGGGATCAGTGTTCTCCAGTCTGAACATAGTCTTCTGTTACCTGGGAGAGAGTGGTCAGGTACTGCCAGCTCAGGGCAGCCAAAAGCATGACAAACGACAGGTAGATGGGGGAGTAGTGGCTTCGGGAAATCAGCTGACAGTTGGGAAGATTCTGCGTCCGGATGGTGGAGATGATCTGCCTTGTTTTGCTAGAAGATGGGTCTGAGTCGGGGATTCTATGATAAATCTGTTAAAGACACAGGAAAAAATGATAAGTGCTATGTGCTTTACATTTTCCATGGCTACTTACAACAACCCTCCACTGGCAGGTATTTTATACCCATTTTACCAATGAGGAAAGGGAGGCTCAGAGAACATGAACATAACTTACCCAAAGCCATCCCAATGATAAGGTGGGGATGTCAGCCCCAGCTCATCTCAAAGCCTGTCTTCCTGAGCAAACAGGAGGCACAGGTGTGCATACTGCACCCAGAGGCCCTCGAGAGCAGCGGCTGAGCCACAATGATCTTCACATCCCCAGCACCTCACAGTGCCAGGCCCAATAAACGTCACCATAGTTCACGTAGACAGGCACAGACTAACATGACGAAAGGGAAATGCTGGAAAGACTGGGCAAAAGCAGCTTAGAAACAAGATGGAACACGCAGTACAGACCACAGCTTGACAAAGGGGGACAGGAACAGAAGCAGGGAGCCGTATGAACCACCCTGGAGTCCTCCCTGTGCCTCCCTCCCCACTCCTCCACAAGCCTCCCAAGTATGTGCAGAATCCATCTCTTCCCCTACATCCCTAAAATTACTGCCTGAGATTAGGCCCTGAGTGCCTCTCAGATGAGCTATCTCAGTCTCCAACGTGAGTCTAAGCTTAAATTCCCAAATCTACCTGTCTGCTCTACACTGTCACCAAGGAGATCTCAAACCTCTGCTTGATGCCTCAGTGGCACCAGCCCTCTCACCTGGAGAAAAAAAGCCTGAGCTCTGTAATGTGTAGCGCAAGGCCACCCATGGTCCAGACCTACTGCACCTGTCTAGTGTCACCAGCCCTTGCCCACCTCCCTCTCTACAGTCTAGTAACAGTTGCCGGGCCAGGCACAGTGGCTCATGTTTGGAATCCCAGCACTTCAGGAGGCTGAGGCACGTAGACTGCTTAAGCTCAGGCGTTTAAGACCAGCCTGGACAACACAGTAAAACCCTGTTTCTACAAAATGTACAAAAATTAGCCGGGCATCGTGGCATGCACCTGTGGTCCCCCAGCTACTTGGGGACTGGGGTGGGAAGATCACTTGAGCCTGGGAGGTGGAGGTTGCAGTGATCCGAGATCATGCCACTGCACTCCAGCCTGGATGACAGAACAAGACCCTGTCTCAAAAAACAAACAAAAACAAAAGAACAACTGTCTACTGTTGTTTCGCCCATGCGATGCTGCTGCACACCTCTGTTCCAGTCTCATACCACTCCTTCTCTCTGGAATGCGCCTCCCACGTCCCTTCAACTGGCTCCTACCTAGGCCCCCAAGTCTCAACTTCAGGATTATGCCTTCTAGAAAACCTGTCTGCAGCTCCAGGTTCAGCCAGGAGCCACCCTATTGTACATACCTTTACCTTTCCACTTACGTGGAAATGGACCATCTGTAGTTTTCACCCTGACTACACCGCACCTACTTACTCACCTTTTTATCTCCAGCCTAGCCCTGTGCTGGCACACAGCAAGCGTGCATCCCTGGCTAATTTTTGCATTTTTAATAGAGACAAGGTTTTACCAGTGTTGGTCAGGCTGGTCTCAAACTCCAGACCTCAAGTGATCCACCCACCTCGGCCTCCCAAAGGGCTGGGATTACAGGCGTGAGCCACTCCACCCAGCCAAGACTTTTCAATACAAGCATCCATAAAGTAAAATATATAGTGATGAGATAATTCTATTAGAAGTCATCCTTCTGCCTGCCCATGTTGCTTTACTGCTTGTCTTAGCCTTCCTCCTAAAAGCAGAACCTGAGGCAAAAGCTTGCATGCAGCCATTTATTTGGAAACGAGTGGAGAAGTGAAACAGAAGGCAGGAAGGCCTATCAAGGATGTGTTGAGTTGGCTTGATCTTGAGGGACCTTCAAGGAGCCTTATGAAAGGTGGCCCTGAGGAGCAGAGAGGTGGCCCTCACCTCCTCTGGGTTGTGGGGACCCACGTGCCAGGCAGTTCCTGCAGCTCGTCAGAAGCCCAAGGGCAGGAAGCGAGAGGTCTCTGGAGCAGAAGGCAAGGTCCAGCCCTACTTGGAAACTGGTTGCTACAGCAGTGGCCGAAGGCCAAGATGAGTGGCAGTGACACACAGGGTCTCACACACTACTCTTGTAAATGACCTGAGTGCCCTGATGCCATCAAAAGCCATAAAATAGGCATTCACTACAATGACCCTGAGAATAGTTTCTCAGGTAAGTAATGGTTTTGGTATATTGTAGATTTTTTTTTTTTTTTAAGATGGTGTCTCGCTCTGTCACCCAGGCTAGAGTGCAGTGGTGCAATCTTGGCTCACTGCAGCCTCCACTTCCCAGGTTCATGCGATTCTCCTGCCTCAGCCTCCCAAGTAGGTGGGATTACAGGCACCTGCCACCATGCCCAACTAACTTTTGTATTTTTTTTTTTTTTTTTTTTTTTTAGTAGAGACAGGGTTTCATCACATAAGTCAGGCTGGTTTCGCACTCCTGACCTCAAGTGATCCGCCTGCCTCAGCCTCCCAAAGTGCTGAGATTAGAGGCATCAGCCACCATGCTCGGTGACATTTCACTTTTGAAAATTTAAGACTTACCTTCTCAGAGCAACTGTACAAGCAATGTACAAATAAAGGATGATAACATCAGCACCAAACTACACACTTATTCATTCCTGGGTTAATTCTGTGGCTCCTATGACTTTATTTCTTCATTTTACTTTCTCATCTACTTGTACTTTGTTAGCCTGTTGTACTTATAACCATAAGCCATCTTACATCCTTTTGGGAAAAAAGATTTACTTATTTGGAATCAATCGCTGGCACCCAAGTGAATATACACAACCAACAAAAACCCTTTTAGAGAACTCCAAGAGCACTTCAATATGCCCTTCCAGGAGATAAGTAAGGTGAATAAATTAAGAGAAATCTTGGTTGTGACAGTCCCCGGTAATACAATTAGTGGCAAAACTTTTGAGTCCTTTGATGATCATTTCTAACATATAAGCATGACAGCACAACTGGAAGAGCTGCAGTCACTGGTACTCAGACGTGGACTTACCTAAAACAGAGCCGGTAAGGCCAAAGGGACCTTCTAGATGCTTCGTTGCTAGACCAAACCCCACTCTCCATTTACCTGAAGGCACACAGTAGGTTTCTGCAAACTCAATTATTCAGGTCTTAAAAACCTACTAGCCTCAATCAAGGAGTTACATCTGCTTGTCAAGGACAGGTCATAGCCGACTTTTCATCTACATGCCCGGCATAAAGTTGAAGCCAAATACTTGAGGGGTTTGAGAAAGGGCCTTCACCCTGTTGCCCAGGCTGGAGTGCAGTGGTGCCATCTCAGCTCACTACAACCTCCACCTCCCGAGTTCAAGCGATGCTCATGTCTCAGGCTCCGGAATAGCTGGGATGACAAGTGTGCACCACCACACCTGGCTAAATGTTGTATTTTTAGTAGAGACAGGGTTTTGCCATATTGGCCAGGCTGGTCTCGAACTCCTTACCTCAAGTGATCTGCCTGCCTCAGCCTCCCAAAGTTTTGGGATTACAGGTGTGAGCCACAGTGCGAGGCTTGATGATTAAATGACACAGGCTCCTATAAATGTTTACTAGACTGAAATAAGCTCTTGTGCAATGCTGTGCTACATACAGCAGCTCCTCTGTGAGTCCATGTGGTACTTCCACGTCTCAGCAGTTCTACTTACAACTGCGAATATGGAATCAGCTTGATCATCATTTAAAACTCTTGTCTATGAACATCTAAACTTCCATTAAAGCAAAAACATCATTTGGGAAAAAAAGGCAGATTCTGATTCGATACGTTTGGGTGGGGGCTGGATGTCTTAATGGGCTCCCAGGTGATTCCTGGCAGCTGCTGGCTGGGGACCATCCTTGAGCAGCTAGGCACCTGGGGCTCAAAGAGCCGGATGATTCTCTGACTTAACCACAGGAGGGCACAGGAAGTGTGCAGAGACACGAACAAGATTCTCCCTGCCAAGGAATTCACTTTGGCAGAGAGGGGAATGGGGGTTTCTGGCCGTTTGGCTGAGCATTTATTTCTATCCCAAAATAGCAGGTTGATCTTCTCCCCAGCTGACAAGCATCCAGGCTGGTTTGAAGCAGAGGCTGCTCCAGAGTGGGGTGAGGGCCCTGCAGTGTGGCCAACTGCTCGTGAAGACCTGGGGCTGCACTCCAAGCCCCCACTAAGCACTGGAGAAGCATGAGGAGGTCCTCTGGCAAGTCCCTTCCAGGTGCATGCTCGCTACAACACTAAGTCCAGAGATCGGACAGAGTCAACGTTTCTTCCTTTCTTACTACAAAGGACAGACTTGGTCAGCAAGGAGAAATAGGATCAGTGTTAATATCTGGACACCAGCAAGAGGCCAGACGACTTGTGGCTTCATACAAAATGTTTTCATTTAAAACTTTACTTGTAAAATGTCCTTACTGCTGAAACTAAAACCATTAACAGGTTCTACTGCTTAAGACTTAGAAATCTTCAAAGATTTCCCTAAATCAAATCAACTTAAGTATTAATATTAACATTTCTCCCCTAATGCCTTGAGTTTTACTGGGATAACAGAACAACTGATACCCTAAGTCAGAAGTCAGCAAACCTCTTATTCAAGGGCCAAAAAATATTTTCAGCTTTACAAGTCATCGCCTGTTGCAGCTCCTCAACTCGGCCGTCACATTGCAAAAGCAGCCACAGAAGACAAAGAAGCAAATGGGTGTGGCTGTGTTCTGATAACATTTATTCACAAAAACAGGGCTCAGCCAACTGTAGACTGCCCACCCTCGCCCTCAAACTATGAATTACAACCAGGATTTAATCCCAATAGTTAAGGAAAAACCAAATAAATCTGAATTTTAATATAGTAATGGAATTGGCCACAAAGTGTTTAAAAACTGGTTTCTAAAACTAGTGATCAAACTGCAAAACCAAAACACTCTCAACTACTTACTACATAAAATGTTTCTAGTTTATATAAAATGAATAAATAGTGCTTAATATAGCAGGATTCCATTTAGAAAGGGTAGTTGAACCCCTTAGAATTGGGGTTAACATCATGGATTCTGATGTCAGACAGACCTGGGTTCAAATTATGACCCTAGCCATGAGGCTGGGGCCTCAAGTTTCCCTGAGATTACTCCTACCCACCTACTTGGTCACTACCCCAGGCACATAGATCAAAGTAAGTTCTGGCTACATGGCAAAATGGAGAGTCTCATTGGTAGCAATTTTTTGGGTCACTGGCTGAATATTTTCATCTAGTGACTACAAAATTTTAGGGTTTTTAAAAGCGATGTGGTCTTCCCTTAGACTTCCATAGGTGCCTCTGATAGAAGTTCTGGACATACAGCATTTCTGTGTCAGATAAAGGTAGGGAGGAAGTATAAGAAGAATGTGCAATATGCAAGAGAAATCAGAAATCGCTATTTTGTATAATTCTATTTAGATGAAAACACTGTTGCAAACCATATTCCTGTAAACGCGTAACAGGGGGACTAGACGGATGCACAAAACCATGAACAGAGGTAACCTCTGGGGAGGGAGCTCAGGCAAAGGAAAAATGATGAGGGTCTTGTATGTTTTCATAAAGTCTACAGTGTTTCATTCTCAACAGGATCACACCTGAGGATCACAGCATCATCCTGGGCCTCTACTCACCAGATGCCAGTAGCACCCGATTCCTGCCGGTTAGGACAATCAAAAATGTCTCCAGACATTGTCCAATGTCCTCTGGGGGGAGGGGAGCAAATCACCTCCATTTACAAACCACTGCTCTAGGGCCTAGAGATTATTAGAGATTACAAAGACTTCTGGTCTCTAAGACTTTTTTTTTTTTTTTTTTTTTTTTTGAGACAAAGTCTCACTCTATCACCCAGGCTAGAGTGCAATGATGAAATCACACAGCTTACTGTAGCCTCGACCTCTCAGGCTCATGTGATCCACCTGCCTCAGCCTCCTGAGTAGCTGGGACCACAGGCGTGCACCACCATGACAATTTTTAAATTTTTTGTAGAAATGGGGTCTTGCTATGTCGCCCGGGCTGGTCTTGAATTCCTGGCCTCAAGTGATCCTCCCACCTTGGTCTCCCAAAGTGCTGGGATTTCAGGAGTAAGCTACTGTGCCTGGCCAGAAATAAACTTTTTGAACCTAGTCAAATATTAGAGATTTGACCTAAGAAGGTAAGTTTTCTTTTTATAGGATGGTTTTGGTATTTGAAATGAAATTTTCCAAAGAAAATTTAGGAAATAATTGCAACTTGATGGCTTTCCTTGGCCTAAATTCCCTACTGTGATTTTTCAATTGAGGCCTGTGGCATAATGAAAGTACCAGACTGGGTGTCAGGACACATGGACGGGAGCCAGAGATCCACTCAATCACGCACTGCATCAGCACAGACAAGCTTCAACCTCACATTCCTCACCAGCAACAAGAAGCTTGGTTGGCCTCCTGCATCATCTTGCAGCTCAAAATCTATGATTCTACTGAGGGGCTCCAACCTACAGCCTTGCTCCATTTATCTCCTCTCACCAGGGTACTACACAGCAGTGAGCAATCTGCTCGGCTCCTGTGAATAGACTTTTTTCCTTATAAAGGATATCAATTCCTGTCTCTTTAGGCCACAGGATAGTGAATTGTTAGGATCATCTAATATCCAAACCTGGTTAAACAGTGACATTACTAAATCATAAAAGTAGCTACAAATTATCCAAGTAGTTAAATAAAAACCCACCTCTTCCATATACTGATATATGATGGCTTTGACAGCTGGCATATTGGTGGCATCCATCATCAGGGTCACTGCTTGCCCTTTCCGAATCTTCACTGCCCCTTTGAACACCTGCTGGTTATTATAACAGGCAGCCAAAGTGGCAATGGCCATCACCTAGAGACAACAAGAAGAGAGGGAAAAAAGAAGAAATGATGTCGTTAGCTATCATTATCACAAAAAGGTAAGAAAACCTTCTGTTGAATGGGCAATTGCTAACTGCTAATCAACTAAGATGGAATCGCTCAAGAAAAAATACCCACGAAGAAAGTATGTCAAGATTTTTACCTTCCCCACTCCTCCCTTTCTCAACAACACACAGAATTAAGCAGTCTAAAACAATTCTATAATGTAGCCACAAAAGTTCCATTTTATTTGGAAAAAGCAAACACAAGTAAATCCAACATTTTCCATGCTAGAGCAATGGATTATCGGATCGGAAATATGTATTTCAAAATAATATATGGGAAGAATTTTCTATTGTAGTTGTTTTTCTATTTTTCCTACAACAAACATAATCATTATATATTTAAAACCAATGCCAGGGGGAGAACAACCAGAAGGGGATTAATTTCCTGTGCTCAAAGGTAAAGTATTTCTAGGTAAATGGAAACATAAGACGGCGATACAGATTTTACTTTCAACCACCATTCGAAGTTGGTCATTAGAACAAGATCAAACCAAGTTCCCAAATCAGTTAAATGCTGTTACTTTCTTCACTTATTTGCAGTAGTATCTGCAATACTTGGTAAAGGCAACTAAAAAGTGTAAGTTCCTAGCATACTGAGAGGCTAGGTCTACCGGACCAGGTTCTTTTTATGCCGGGTCTAGGAAAAGGACAGCAGTAATTAGGTGCTTAATGAAGACTTTTTAATGATAACAGCTTCACCCAGGTTTTACCCAGCACTCCCCATAAATCTAAGCCAAAGACCTTGACTTAACTGTGAGGAAAAGAACCTAACTAGTTTAGGATAGCTGTAGAAAATAGTAAATCCAGAAAGAAGGTTCTGAAAAGGAGCAGGCTTAACCTCAAGGCTGAGCTGAGTTTGGTGGCTGGAAGCAAAGGCGGGTGCTATGAAACTCCCAGCGTAATAAACTGGAGTCATCGTCTTTTTAAGGAATCATATCCTTGAATATAGCACAGCAAAATCCACCCTTACTCCTACCCCACTCCCTTTAGCCCCGTATCCACCCAGAGGAGCCCCCTTCCCTACCTGTGGAATAGCACAGAAGTTAAACACACTCTGGTTTCTGAGTCTCGAAAGGTAGGTGATGACATCTGGGATGTGGTGCAGTGCATTGGTTATAAGTTCATTCAGGCACTGCACGGCCAAGTCAATATTCTCCGGCTTAGCAAAATCCCCTAACTTCTTAACATACCTGCTCCAAACCTAGACAGATAAGAAGATTAAGGAACAGGTCAGCGTGTGCATAGGGGAGAATTTACAAACAATATTAAAGGGTCTTTGTGCATAAGAACTATGATACAGGCTGGGCGCCGTGGCTCACGCCTGTAATCCCAGCACTTTGGGAGGCCGAGGAGGGTGGATCACGAGGTCAGGAGTTCAAGACCAGCCTGGCCAAGGTGGTGAAACCCTGTGTCTACTAAAAATACAAAAACTAGCCGGGTACGGTGGCAGGCGCCTGTAATCCCAGCTACTCAGGAGGGTGAGACAGAAGAATTGCTTGAACCTAGGGGGCGGAGGTTGCAGTGAGTCAAGATCTCGCCATTGCACTCCAGCCTGGGTGAAAGAGTGAGACTCCGTCACAAAAACAAAAACAAAACAAAACAAAAAAAAACACTATGATATACAGTAAAGTCTCTTAGCTGCAGACTCATCTTTCACGAAGATCAAGTTCATTTTAAGCTCCATGCAATAGCTATTTCTGACTACCAGTAAGTGTCCAGTTGCAACCTGGAAGTGAGTTACGTATTGGGGAGCATGTCCCGAGGGACAACTAGTGCAACACTGCACTACTTGGACGAATTCAGGCTAAAGAGGCTCCTGTTAGAGCTACTGGCCTACTTCTGAAAAAAATAACCCAATATACAAAAACAGTTATAATTGTACTGCAGACTAAACAGTAAACCTTCTCAAGATGGCCAGGCCTCTAAATAATGACTAACATTATATTCCTACTCTGGTAAGAAAGCTGCTGAAAGGCATAGCTGGGAAATGAGCTGAGTCTATCCTCTAAGTGTATTACACCTCCCTGGATCCTGATAACTTGAAAGTGAAATAAAACCTTTAATTCTAACAGTGGGATTCGGCTTGATGATTTTTAATGATATTATTTAGAGGATTCTCTGAAGCTAGCGAAAGTTCTGGAAACATAGTGTTGATGGTTATATAACATCATTAATGTACTTAATGCCACTGAATAATAGACTTAAAAATAGTTAAAATGGCAAATTCTCTATTATGTACATTTATTATAAATAAAATGTTAAGTATATATACATACAGTTAAAAAGAGATAACAACAAGTGCTGGTGAAACTGGGACTCTCACACTGCTGACGGGAATGTAAAATGGTGGAGCGACCTTGGAAAAGCGTCTGGCAGCTCCTCACAAGGTTCGAGCTGCTGTATGAACCAGCAATTCCACTTCTCAGCATAGACCCAAGAAAAAGGAAAACACACATCTACACAAAAACTTATATGCAAATGTACACAGTACTATTCACCATAGCCAAAAAAAATGGGAAGAACCCAAATATCCTTCAACTGATGAATGGATAAATGTGGTCTATCCACACAGTGGAATAATACTAGGCGATAAAAAGGAATAAAGCAGTGATGCAATGCCCCAGCATGGAGGAGCCCTGAAAACATGCTAGCAAAAGAAGCCAATCACCTAGGACCACATTTGGCATGATTCAACTACTACGAAATGTCCAGAACCTTTACTAAGCACTCTATGCTAGAAGTTCATCTCATTTTATTCACACCACCACCGTGTGGTAGAAATGATGCTATTTTACAGATAAAGTAAGTGAATGAGAAGAGCAGGGCTCTGCTCCTGTGTGTGCAAGATGGTGTGGCTCACGCTCATGCATCACATGCCCGTGGCTGATGTTCTGTCTGGGAGACAATGGAACAGTGGTCAGGGGCTGGCCTAGGAGCCGGGAGACTGAGACTCCACTTCCAAGGCAGCCACTGCCTCACTATACATCCCCAGACAATCCCCTTCCCTTCTCTGAGCCCTGTGTCTGCAAAAGAGGGGTAAGACAAGAGTGGTTTCTCAACCCTGGCTGCACACGAGTCACCTAGGAAACTTAAAAGGCCATGTCTGAGCTGAGGGAAGTGTTTTTTGTTTTTTTGTTGTTGTTTGTTTGTTTTGAGACAAGGGTTTTGCTCTGTCTCCCAGGCTGCTAGAATGCAGTGGTGCGATCATGGTTCACTGCAGCCTTGAACTCCTGGGCTCAGGCAATCCTCCTGCCTCAACCTCCCAAGGAGCGAGAACTATAGGGGTGTGCCACTATACCCAGCTAATTTTTGATTTTTTTTTTTTAAATGGAGTCTCACATCAGCCTCCCAAGTAGCTGGCCCTACCAGCGTATGCCACCACACTTGGCTAATTTTTGTAATTTTAGTAGAGACGGAGTTTTGCCATGTTGGCCAGGCTGTTCTCAAACACCTGACCTCAAGTGATCCACTCACCTGGGCTTCCCAAAGTGCTGGGATTATAGGCAGGAGTCACTGTGCCCGGCCAATTTTTACTGTTTTTTTTGTTTTGTTTTGTTTTGTTTTGTTTTAAGAGATAAGGTCTCACTACGTTGTCCAGGCTGGTCTCGATATCCTGGCTTCAGTGATCTTCCTACCTTGGTCTCCCAGTGTTGAGATTACAGGCGTGAGCCACCTTGCCCAGCCCCCAGAGTAGTTTAAATGTGAATTTTTCTTAGGAGTAAGACTCAGCATCTTTTCAGATTTTTAATAATCATCTGTGTGTCTCTTCCTGTGAACTATCTTGTTCTTATCTCCTTGCCCATTTTTCTGTGGGGCAGTTGGCCTTTTTCTTAACTTTTAGAAGTTTTTTTTAATATTAGGAATATGAACCCTGTATCTGCTCTATGAATTGCAAATATTGTTTCCCTCTGTCACTTTTTTTTTTTCTTGAGACAGTTTCATTCTGCCACCGAGGCTGGAGTGCAGTGGTGTGATTACAACTCAATCCAACCTTGAGCTCCTGCGCTCAAGGGATCCTTGTGCCTTAGCCTCCCGAATACCTAGGAATACAGGTGCATGCCAACATGCCCAGTTAATCTTTTAAATTTAGTTTTATTTTTTCTACTTTCTTTAATTTTTATTTTTGCTCTTTCAGCAGAATCATTTTCTAACAATTTTTTATAGAGATGGTATCTTGCTGTGTTGCTCAGGCTGGTCTTGAACTCCTGGCCTCAGCACTGGGATTATAAGTATGAGACACCACACTTAGCCTCACCCGTCTTTTTAAAACTTTAAAGTACTTGGCTGCAGGAAACACTTTTATGGAAAGCAAAAGGTAAATGCTGGAATAAATTCAGGGAACAGTCATAAAATTTTCTACTTTCCTTCTGAACAAAATCAGTATCAAAAGCTTTCTGTTCCCTGTCCATGTTTTAATTAAAGATCGACCCTGTCCCTTATTACAGACACCTGGAGTTTTTGTCTACCTGCCATCCCTTTCCCCTTCCTGCTGCAGAATTCTTTCTTTGGGGGAAATCCATTCTGTGTGTACTGTGTAGACGTAATCCAGGCGAGGCCAGAGAACTCAGCTGTGTAGCAACAGTAACTGATTCAGGGCTGAGCAGAAGAACCAAGCCCTTCCTCTTCTTTTGAGAGGGAGTCTCACTCTGTCGCCCAGGCTGGAGTGCAGTGGCACAATCTGAGCTCACCGCAATCTCTGCTTCCTGGGTTCAAGCGATTCTCCTGCCTCAGCCTCCCAGGTAGCTGGGATTACAAGCCCTTGCCACCACGCCCGGCTAATTTTTGTATTTTTTAGTAAACACGGGGTTTCACGATGTTGGCCAGGCTGGTCTCGAACTCCTGGCCTCAGGTGATCCGCCCACCTTGGCCTCTCAAACTGTTGGGATTACAGGCATGAGCCACTGCGCCAGGCCGAACAAAGCCATTCCTAAGAACTTTTTGTTAAGCTAGTGCACATGGGTTGTTACCATATCCACCACTTGGAGAAAGACCGTCTGAAAGAAATCAAGGACAGCAAGGCTTGAATATACTGATTACGTGGTGTGAATCCTGGGAGTCAGCCAGTCTACCTGAAGCAAACTCATGTCAAGCTATCCTATTTTCCACATCCCCTTATGCTGCCTGGGGGAGGCCTGACTTGTTTTTCTGTCACCCGCAACCACAAGAGTTAAAGGATTTTTCAGAGAATGTCTAAAGTTATTTTCCCCCAAAATACCCTGAATCTGTTACCTCTTGAGGCCAGAACTCTCTTCCTCCTTGCTGGTCTTCCAGATAGTCACGGATGATGTTTGTTTTCTGCAAAAACAGGCCCATAGAGTTGGCACGTTCTGTATCTTCACCAACTAAGGGGTCTTCAAACTCTGAGGCTGAGAAAAGACGGGAAAGGCCAATTCCGACCAGCCCAGCAACATAGTGGCAGTACTGTAAGAGACGATTTTTAAAGCACTTTAATAATGGAATTTTTACTGAAATGGACACACTAGAGATCATTAGCTACAAAAAAGCAGGTTCAAAAGAGAATGGGTAAGAATGCATTTTGATTTTAAAATACAAATATACATACCAGGATTTAAAAAACATTCAAGAAGGATGTGCTCAAAACATTTCATAGCAGTCTCTGGCTGACGGGAATTTGATGTTTTTATTTTTCACTTGTATTTTCCAAATTTCTACAATACACATGTACTGCTACTATAATAAAAGGCTACTGAAAAAAACTAGTAAACATTTTTTTATTTTTATTTTTTATTTTTTTTTTGAGATGGAGTCTCATATATTTGCCCACGTTAGACTCAAACTACTGGACCCAAGCAATCTTTCTGCCTCAGCTTCCCGAACAGCTGGGATTGTAGGCAAATACCACCGTGTCTAGCTTTACAATAACTTTTTTTTTTTTTTTTTTTTTGAGATCAAGTCTCACTTTGTCCCCTGGGCTGGAGTGCACTGGCACAATCTCAACTCACTGCAACCTCTGCCTCTTGGGTTCAAGTGATTCTCCTGCCTCAGCTTCCTGAGTAGCTGGAATTAAAGCACCCACCACCACATCCAGCTAATTTTTTATTTTTAGTAGAGACGGGGTTTCACCATGTTGGCCACGCTGGTCTCGAACTCCTGACCTCAACTGATCTGCCAGCCTTGGCCTCCCAAAGTGCTGGGATTACCAGCCCAAGACACCGTGCCCGCCCTAGCTTTACAATAAACTTTTTGATACATAAAACTATGAGAGAAGGCAACGATGAAAGATGGAATATTCTGGTAACAGGAACTAGGACAATACCAACTATGGTTTAATCTTTTTTTGACCAATCTGATAACATGTCAAGATCCGCAGGCCCTCAAAATCATCATTATATGAAAGAACAAATAACTATTTTATGTTCTTGACACGGTTTTAAGAACTCTGCACATTCAGCCGGGCACGATGGCTCATGCCTGTAATCCCAGCACTTTGGGAAGCTGAGACGGGCGGATCACGAGATCAGGAGATCAAGACCATCCTGGCTAAGACGGTGAAACCCCGTCTCTACTAAAAATACAAAAAAATTAGCTGGCCTGGTGGCGGGTGCCTGTAGTCCCAGCTACTCAGAAGGCTAAGGCAGGAGAATGGCGTGAACCCAGGAGGTGGAGCTTGCAGGGAGCCGAGATCGCGCCACTGCACTCCAGCCTGGGCGACAGAGTGAGACTCCGTCTCAAAACAACAACAACAGAAAAAAAGAACTCTGCACATTCAATCCTCACAAACATTGTATCAGGTACATAGCAGTATGATCTCCATTTCAGATGAGGAAACTGAGGCACAAAGAAGTCGATTTAACTTGCCCAACATTGCCCATGTGAGAAAAAAAAAAAATTAGCCAGGCACAGTGACACAGGCCAGTGGTCCCAGTTACTCAGGGGGCTGAAGTAGGAGGCTCGCTTGAACCCAGGAAGGTTCAAGGGGCTGCCGTGTCTGTGGCAGGGGCTAAGAGTTCAAAACTAGGTAGTATGACTTAAGTGTCAGGCTTTAACAACTTTGCTAAAACTTCCCCTTTTCTTTTTAGTTTTTCTTTTAGAGACAACGTAACTTCCCCTCTCTCAACAGAGATTTCAGTAAATGCAACTCTTAATTGCCAAATACTTTTTTTTTCCGCGACAGCAATTTGTCAAAAGCTGTCCTCCTCTGAAAAGGGTATCCTAAGACAACTTAATGCAATATCCACATACAATAATTGTCTATTAGTTAACTTAAGAAGCAAAAGTAAAGAAGGTAAGCTCTGGAGTGTCATTAGGAAGGGTAAAAGTTAGGAAATGACCGAAGTTCACGCCTGTAATCCCGGAATTTTGGGAGGCTGTGGAGAGGGGACTGCTTGAGCCCAAGAGTTTTAGACCAGCCTGGCCAACAAAGCAAGACCTCATCTCTGTAAAAAATTTTAAAAGGCTGAGTGTAGTGGCTCACACCTGGGAGGCTAAGGCAGGTGAATCGCTTGAGCCCAGGAGCTCAAGACCAGCCTAGGCAACACGATGAAACCCTGTCTCTACCAAAAAATTACAAAAATTAGCCTGGTGTAGTGGTGTGGACCTATAGTCCCAGCTAATGGGGAGGCTGAGGTGAGAGGACTGCTTGAGCACAGGAGGTGAAGGCTGCAGTGAGCCTTGATCATGCCACTACACTCCAGCCTGGGTGACAGAGCAATACCCTGTCTCAAAAATAATAAAAATTAAAATAAATTAGCCAGGCATGGTGGCAACGTGCCTGTGGTCCCAGTTACTCAGGAGGCTGAGGGCAAGGAAGATTGCTTGAGCCCAGAAGGTCAAGGCTGCCTTGTCTGTGCCACTGCATTCCAGTCTGGGTGACAGAGTGAGACCCTGTCTCAAAAAAAAAAAGTCGTCTCTGACTGAAAGTAATACAAAGCCAGAGACTAATCAGGGGGAAGAATGCACAGGTGAAGAGAAAGCACTTGAAATTTGTTCTGGGACAAAAGTAACATGAAAAGAGTGAAATCTTGCTGAAATTAGGTAGACAGAAATTGGCTTTGGACAGCTATACAAAATCTTCAAAAGAATTACTAGAAATTTAAAAAAAAATTAGTATATCTATAGTACTATCCAAAAATATATTTGAAGATAATAGTTCTTTTGGTAGAAATACTCCTAAAATGGAGACTTATATAATTCATCTTCCCCCAAAGTAGAAGAAAAAAAATAACTCCTTGAAATAATTGGCTGGTCATGCCTGTAATCCCAACATTTGAGAGGCCAGAGTGGGAGGACTGTTTGATGCCAGGAGTTTGAGACTAGCCTGGGCAACATGGCAAAACCCTCTCTCTACAAAAAATGTACAAAAATGAGCCTGGTATGGTGTCATGCACTGTAGTTACAGCTACTCGGTAGGCTGAGGTGGGAGGATCACCTGAGCCCAGGAGGTTGAGGCTGCGGGGAGCCGTGATCACACCACTACACACCAGCCTGGATAACAGCAAGACCCTGTCTCAAAAAAAATTTTTTTTAATTCAATTTTATCTGATCAAAACTTCTATTCAACAACCTAAAATTAAGTTTCCTGAATAAATCTGCACAACAGAAAATGAGTTACTATCATAACCAGTGCTGGTTCTTGGCCAGAAGTTTTAACTTCAACTTTATTTTCTTTCAGATGGTGTCTTGCTCTGTCACCCACGTTGGAGTGCAGTGGCACAATCATGGCTCACTGCAACCTTCAACTCTTGGGCTCAAGCAATCCTCCCACACCTCAGCCTCCAGAGTAGCTGGGACCACAGGCACATGCCACCAATTCCCTGCTCATTTTTTAATTTTTTGAAAGACGGGGTCTCGCTATGTTGCTTAGGCTTGTGTCTAACTCCTGGGCTCAAATGATCCTCCCACCTCAGCCTCCCAAAGTGCTGAGATTACAGGTAAACCATAGTACCCGGCTAACTTCACCTTAAATGCAGAAATTGATTTCTAGCAGTCATTGTATGCTGTTAACTTAGGAAGCACAAATCAGCAGTTCCAAAGATAACTGCTGTCAAGTTTTGAGGTTTGAAAAATTAAGAGGCCCAAGACCTTGGACCTACACTAACGTAGTGACCATGTAGCAGCATCTTTTCGGAGATCCTAATTTAAGCACAGTTAAAGGTATGAAATACATCAACACTTTAGATGTCTGAAATGTCTCTGCCTGCTAAATCTGACTGGCTTTAAAATAAATAAATAAAATGTCTTTACTTCCACAGAAGTGATGAGTAAGTCTCACAAACACCATTCCTATGAAAAATAGGCAAGACTCCTAACCCTACCTTATGTTTTGATGTGTAGTTTTAATCTTCATGGTCAATTACATCCCTTTGTCTAGATAAGCACTTCTCTCCAGTACCCTACTCCTAGCCTGGCTGATATCCTACATAGCTGCTGGTTTGGAATTAACTCTGGAATAAACTGTTTATGATGAGACATTCAACCTAAACAGATGAATTGTAAAACCAGAGGGGCTGAAAATACTGGACAACTTTTCTTGTTCTGAGCTTCACTATGAGGACTGCCAGCTCTGTCTAATACATCACACACAGACACTGTTTTATGAGACTAACCTTGTCCCACTCCTGTTCAGAGGTCACATGCTTATCCAAAAACTCTGCCATCCCAATGCCCATTCTCCGGCAAATGTCGGCAATCACTGTTTGGTATTTCTCAGCCAGATTTCTAAACTCAAGGGAGATCTGAAATGGAAACCGTAAAAACACAGAAATCATGAAATATGTACAGACATGGCACCAAAGATCACAAGGCAAACAATGGCGGAATTAATCATGACTGCAATGGTTCATCTATAAGCCTAATTTAGGTCACACATTTTTTTTGTTTTTGTTTTTGTTTTTGAGATGGAGTCTCGCAATGTTGCCCAGGCTGGAGTGCAATGGCACGATCTCAGCTCACTGCAAACTCCGCCTCCCAGGTTCAAATGATTCTCCTGCCTCAGCCTCTCCAGGAGCTGGCATTACAGGCATGCACCACCACGCCCAGCTAATTTTTATATTTTTAGTAGAAGTGGGGTTTCACCATGTTGGCCAAGCTGGTCTCAAATTCCTGACCTCATGATCCACTAGCCCTGGCCTCCCAAACTGCTGGGATTACAGGCATAAGCCACTGAGCCCGGCCTCATGTTTCTTATTATTTCATAAATTTCATAAATATTAAAATAGAATGGTCTAAAAATGCTAATGTTTCTAGATTCAAAAGAAGATTCAAAGTCTCACTACACATTTCATCTTTCCAATGTATAATGAGATGCTTCAACATAAAGCTGGGTTTAAGTTTTTGGGAGAACAGCTTGTTTAGAGAAACCTCATTATGAGAAAGATTCATTTGTGCAAACATGGATCAAGCACTTCCTATGTAACAAGTATCATTCTAGGCACTGGGGATATACATCAGGGCAACAAACAGAAACTCAGACCCAGAGTTGCTTCCAAGATGTCCCAGTAGGAACAGCTCTGGTCTACAGCTCCCAGCAAGATCGATGCAGAAGATGGGTGATTTCTGCATTTCCAACTGAGGTACCTGGTTCATCTCACTGGCACTGGTTGGACAGTGGGTGCAGCCCATGGAGGGTGAGCCAAAGCAGGGCAGGACGTCACCTCATCCAGGAAGTGCAAGGGGTCAGGGGATTTCCCTTTCCTAGCCAAGGAAAGGCGTGAGTGACTGTACCTGGAGGAACAGTATACTCTGCCCAAATACTGTGCTTTTCCCAGTCTTCGCAACTGGCAGAGCAGGTGATTGCCTCCAGTGCCTGGCTCGGGGGGTCCCATGCCCATGGAACCTTGCTTGCTGCTAGCCAAGCAGTCTGAGATCAAGCTGGGATGCTGGAGCTTGGTGAGGGGAAGCGCCTCCCCGCCATTGCTGAGGCTTCAGTACGCACTTCTATGCTCACAGTGTAAACAAAGCAGCAAGGAAGCTTGAACTGGGTGGAGCCCACCGCAGCTCAGCAAGGCCTACTGCCTCTCTAGATTGCATCTCTGGGGGCAGGGCATATCTAAACAAAAGGCAGCAGACGGCTTCTGCAGATTTAAACATCCCTGCCTGACAGCTCTGAAGAGAGCAGTGGTTCTCCCAGCTCGGCATTTGAACTCCAGTAACGGACAGACTGCCTCCTCAAGTGGGTCCCTGAGCCCCATGTAGCCTGACTGGGAGGAGACACCTCCCAGTAGGGGCCGACAGACACCTCATATAGGTGGGTGTCCTTCTTGGACGAAGCTTCCAGAGGAAGGATCAGGCCGCGATATTTGCTGTTCTGCAGCCTCCACTGGTGATACCCAGGTAAACAGGGTCTAGAGTGGACCTCCAGCAACTCCAACAGACCTGCAGCTGACGGGCCTCTGTTAGAAGGAAAACTAACAAACAAAGGAATAGGATCAATATCAACAAAAAGGACACCCACACCAAAACCCATCTGTACGTCACCAAAATCAAAGACCAAAGGTAGATAAAACCACAAAGATGGGGAGAAACCACAGCAGAAAGGCTGAAAATTCCAAAAACAGAACGCCTCTTCTCCTCCAAAGGAACGTAACTCCTCACCAGCAAAGGAACAAAACTGGATGGACAATGAGTTTAACGAGTTGACAGAAGTAGGCTTCAGAAGGTTGGTAATAACAAACTTCTCCAAGCTAAAGCAGCACGTTCTGACCGATCGCAAGGAAACTTAAAACCTTGAGAAAAGGTTGGACAAATGGCTAACTAGAATAACCAGTGTAGAGAAGAGCTTAAATGACCTGATGGAGCTGAAAACCAAAGTACAAGAATTTCACAAAGCATAAACAAGCTTCAATAGCCGATTCGATCAAGCAGAAGAAAGGATATCAGTGATCGAAGATCAAATTAATGAAATAAAGCAAGAAGACAAGATTAGAGAAAAAAGAATGAAAAGAAATGAACAAAGGCTTCAATAAATATGCGACTATGTGAAAAGACCAATGCTATGATTGTTGTACCTGAAAGTGATAGACAGAATGGAACCAAGTTACAAAACACTCTTCAGTATATTATCCAGGAGAACTTCCCCAACCTAGCAAGGCAGGTCAACATTCAAATTCAGGAAATACAGAGAACACCACAAAGATATTCCTCGAGAAGCGCAATCCCAAGATACGTAATTGTCAGATTCACCAACGTTGAAATGAAGGAAAAAATGTTAAGGGCTGCCAGAGAGAAAGGTCGGGTTACCCACAAAGGGAAGCCCATCAGACTAACAGCAGATCTCTCAGCAGAAACCCTACTAGCCAGAAGAGAGTGGGGGCCAATATTCAGCATTCTTAAAGAATTTTCAACCCAGAATCTCATAACCAGCCAAACTAAGTTTCACAAGTGAAGGAGAAATAAAATCCTTTACAGACAAGCAAATGCTCAGAGATTTTGTCACCACCAGGCCTGCCCTAAAAGAGCTCCTGAAGGAAGCAGTAAAAATGGAAAGGAACAACTGGTACCAGCCACTGCAAAAACATGCCAAATTGTAAAGACCATCGAGGCTAGGAAGAAACTGCATCAATTAATGGGCAAAATAACCAGCAAACATCATAATGACAGATCAAATTCAAACATAACAATATTAACCTTAAATATAAGTGGGCTAAATGCCCCAGTTAAAAGACGCAGACTGGCAAATTGGATAAACAGTCAAGGCCCGTCACTGTGCTGTATTCAGGAGACCCGTCTCACGTGCAGAGATGCACATAGGCTCAAAATAAACAGCTGGAGGAAGATCTACCAAGCGAAAAAAAAAAGCAGGGAATGCAATCCTAGTCTCTAATAAAACAGACTTTAAACCAACTAAGATCAAAAGAGACAAAGAAGGCCACTACATAATGGTAAAGGGATCAATTCAACAAGAAGAGCTAACTATCTTAAACATATATGTACCCAATACAGGAGCACCCAGATTCATAAAGCAAGTCCTTAGAGACCTAGAAAAAGACTTAAAGTCTCTCATTATTATTGTGTGCGAGTCTAACATCCCACTGTCAATATTAGATAGATCAACAAGACAAAAGGTTAACAAGGATATCCAGGACTTGAACTCAGCTCTGGACCAAGCAGACCTAACAGACATCTACAGAACTCTCCACCCCAAATCAACAGAATATACATTCTTCTCAGCACCACATCGCACTTATTCTAAAATTGACCACAGAATTGGAAGAAAAACACTGCTCAGCAAATGTAAAAGAACAGAAATTACAACAAACTTTCTCTCAGACCACAGTGAAATCAAATTAGAACTCAGGATTAATAAACTCACTCAAAACCACACATCTACATGGAAACTGAACAACCTGCTCCTGAATGACTACTGGGTACATAACGAAATGAAAGCAGAAATAAAGATGTTCTTTGAAACCAATGAGAACAAAGACACAACATACCAGAATCTCTGGGACACATTTAAAGCAGTGTGTAGAGGGAAATTTATAGCACTAAATGCTCACAAGAGAAAGCAGGAAAGATCTAAAAACAACACCTTAACATCACAATTAAAAGAACTAGAAAAGCAAGAGCAAACAAATTGAAAAGCTAGTAAAAGGCAAGAAATAACTAAGATCAGAGCAGAACTGAAAGAGATAGACACACAAAAAACCCTTCAAAAAAAAAAATTAATGAATCCAGGAGCTGGTTTTTTGAAAAGATCAACAAAATTGATAGACCGCTAGCAAGAAGAAAAGACAGAAGAATCAAAAAGACGTAATAAAAAATGATAAAGGGGATATCACCACCAATCCCACAGAAATACAAACTACCACTGGAGAATACTATCAACACCTCTATGCAAATAAGCTAGAAAATCCAGAAGAAATGGATACATTCCTCGACACATACACTCTCCCAAGACTAAACCAGGAAGAAGTTGAACCTCTGAAATGACCAATAGCAGGCTCTGAAATTGAGGCAATAATTAATAGCCTACCAACCAAAGAAAGTCCAGGAACAGACAGATTCACAGCCGAATTCTACCAGAGGTACAAAGAGGAGCTGGTACCATTCCTTCTGAAACTATTCCAATAGAAAAAGAGGGAATCCTCCCTAACTCATTTTATGAGGCCAGCATCATCCTGATACCAAAGCCTGGCAGACAAACAATAAAAAAAGAGAATTTTAGGCCAATATCCCTGATGAACGTTGATGCGAAAATCCTCTATAAAATAATGGCAAATTGAATCCAGCAGCACATCAAAAAGCTTATCCACCACGATCAAGTCGGCTTCATCCCTGGGATGCAAGGCTGTTCAACATACACAAATCAATAAACATCATCCATCACATAAACAGAACCTATGACAAAAACCACATGATTATCTCAATAGATGCACGAAAGGCCTTTGACAAAATTCAACAGTCTTTCATGCTAAAAACTCTCAGTAAACTAGATATTGATGGAACGCATCTCAAAATAATAAGGAGCTATTTATGACAAACCCAAAGCCAATATCATACTGAATGGGCAAAAACTGGAAGCATTCCCTTTGAAAACCTGCACAAGACAAGGATGCCGTCCTCTCACCACTCCTATTCAACACAGTATTGGTAGTTCTGGCCAGGATAATCAGGCAAGAGAAAGAAATAAAGGGTATTCAATTAGGAAAAGAGGAAGTAAAATTGCCTGTTTGCAAATGACATGATTGTATATTTAGAAAACCCCATCGTCTCAGCCCTAAATCTCCTTAAGCTGATAAGCAACTTCAGCAAAGTCTCAGGATACAAAATCAATGTGCAAAAAATCTCAAGCATTCCTATACACCAATAACAGACAAACAAGGAGCCAAATCATGAGTGAACTCCCATTCACAATAGCTACAAAGAGAATACAACACCTAGGAATCCAACTTACAAGGGATATGAAGGACCTCTTCAAAGAGAACTACAAACCACTGCTCAATGAAATAAAAGAGGCCATAAACAAATGGAAGAACATTCCATGCTCATGGATAGGAAGAATCAGTATCGTGAAAATGGCTATACTGCCCAAGGTAATTTACAGATTCAATGCTATCCCCATCAAGCTACCAATGACTTTCTTCACAGAATTGGAAAAAACTACTTTAAATTTCACATGGAAGCAAAAAAGAGCCTGCATAGCCAAGACAATCCTAAGCCAAAAGAACAAAGCTGGAGGCATCACGCTACCTGACTTCAAACTATACTACAAGGCTACAGTAACCAAAACAGCATGGTACTGGTACCAAAACAGATATGTACACCAATGGAACGGAACAGAGGCCTCAGAAATAACACTACACATCTACAGCCATCTGATCTTTGACAAACCTGACAAAAACAAGCAATGGAGAAAGGATTCCCTATTTAATAAATGCTGCTGGGAAACCTGGCTTGCCATATGTAGAAAGCTGAAACTGGATCCCTTCCTTACATCTTATACAAAAATTAACTCAAGATGGACTGAAGGCTTAAATATAAGGCCTAAAACCGTAAAAACCCTAGAAGAAAATGCAGTCAATACCATTCAGGACATAGGCATGGGCAAAGACTTCATGACTAAAACACCAAAAGCAATGGCAACAAAAGCCAAACTAGACAAATGGGATCTAATTCAACTAAAGAGCTTCTGCACAGCAAAAGAAACTATCATCAGAGTAAAAGGCAACCTACAGAATAGGAGAAAATTTTTGTAATTTATCCATCCAACAAAGGGTAGTATCCAGAATCTACAAAGAACTTAAAAAAAATTTACAAGAAAATCAACAACCCCATCAATAAGTGGGCAAAGGATATGAACAGACACTTCTCAAAGGAAGACATTTATGCAGCCAACAGACATATGAAGAAATGCTCATCACCACTGGTCATCAGAGAAATGCAAATCAAAACCACAATGAGATACCATCTCAAGCCAGTTACAATGGCGATCATTTAAAAAGTCAGGAAACAACAGATGCTGGAGAGGATGTGGAGAAACAGGACTAAATTTACACTGTTGGTGGGAGTGTAAATTAGTTCAACCATTGTGGAAGACAGTATGGTGATTCCCCAAGGATCTAGAACTAGAAATACCATTTGACCCAGCAATCCCATTACTGGGCATATACCCAAAGGATTATAACTCGTCCAACTATGAAGACACAAGCACATGTATGTTTACTGTGGCACTATTCACAATAGCAAAGACCTGGAACCAACCCAAATGTCCATCAATAATAGACTGAATAAAGAAAATGTGGCACATATACACCATGGAATACTACACAGCCATAAAAAAAGGATGAGTTCATGTCCTTTGCAGGGACATGGATGAAGCTGGAAATCATCATTCTGAGCAAAGTATCACAACGACAGAAAACCAAACACTACATGTTCTCACTCCTAAGTGGGAGTTGAACAATGAGAACACATGGACACAAGGAGGGGAACATCACATACCGGGGCCTGTTGTGGGGTGGGGGGCCAAGGGAGGGATAGCATTACGAGAAATACCTAATGTAAATGACGAGTTGATGGGTGTAGCAAACCAACATGGCACATGTATACCTATGTAACAAACCTGCACGTTGTGCACATGTACCCTAGAACTTAAAGTATAATAAAAGAAAAAGAAAAAAAAAAACTCAGACCCTTGAAGAGCTTAGATTCTAGTGAGCAGATCTGCCAACCATTTTATCTCATTAGTTACCCAATTTATATTATGAAGCTATAGAGTTTCTCTCACTATTAAGGCTATACTTTTAAATTCATTAAACAACTCAGTATGAGGCATGCTGCCCAATACTTTTTCCATAGTCCAAGCCCTAATGTAAAAAAGTTGAATTGATGTTTTTAAAATTTATTGTTACTGCCCAAATATCTTGTTTTAAGTTCAAAGAATTGTTTATAGGTTAGCAAAATACAATACAAAAACACCATGGGAAGTCTTAAAACATGAGAGCCTACAGATAATACTGCAAACAGTGAAGAGATTTGGTTAAACATTGAAAGTATGCAATATACCTGGTCTGTGTTTACAGAAAAGTTAGAAAAACTTCCTCGGAATACACCTAAAATTAAGAGCCCAGAGGAAAACCAGGTGGCCGGCTGATTGCAACATACCAGGAATACACATAATTTAGGATTTCTGATTAACATCAACTGTCAATACCCCCATGTCCCTCCAAAAAAAAAAAAAAAAACCTATAAAATCAATCTGGTACTTCCAGAACTTTCCAAAAAGTTTTTCTTTGCACAACAGCTGTTCAAGCCAATGTCAAAAGGTAATTCCTTCTTGTGGCTGAAACAAACCAGTGATTCTACAAGAGGTTATTAGAATCCCTGAATCTCCGTTGGACTCTGCTCATTCCACAGATCCTTGGTTAGACCAGTTCTATTTATTAGAGAGGAAAGGTCAATGAGGGTGGGAAGGAGCTTAGACTCCTCCAAAACACTTTCACTTCTGAACTTCACCTATCCTTCCAACGACTTTTTATTATTTATTACGTAATTGTACAGTTCTAAAAGTAAAAACAAAAATATACAGGAGAAAGTGACAATGAAGGGGTCCACGTTTTCCCCAGAAACCCAGAGGATGGACAGGGCTTTCCTGACTCCGCACTCAGTGCCCAGTTTCATATGTTCCCCGGATACGACCATAAGCCGTGACATGTGAATTGAGCCAGGAGGGCTTTTTCCGCTTCCAGGTAATTCTGTTTCACAACACAGTAGATTTCTATGTTCTCAGATCACTTTCTGATGGTTCCAAGTACAAGAAGGAAGGTCCCAGAGCGAGTTCACAGGGATAATGGAGAAAGGCCAAATCCCACATAGAGGGTAAGAGTAGCAGGGAATACAGATACAAATTCCTCTGATTAGAAACCTTAGAGGTAGTAAAGTATGCGAGTGACTCAGCACAAGAGATCTGAAGCCAGACCTTCCAGATTCATTGATTCTGTCACTTAACTTCACGGGTAATCCTAGGCAAAGTACTTAATTTCTCTGTGCCTCAGTTTCCTCATCTAGATAAAATGTAGATAACAGTACATTATGTACTAGGTAATTTCCCTGTTAAACGATGTTATAGATCAAATAACACAAAGAGTAAATTAACGATGAAATATATTTAGTAAGTAACTCATAGTAAAATGCTCAATAAGTGAACACTATTATTGCTATTATCATTTAAAAATAAGGCTGTATTATTACTTAAGCTATGTTTACAGGTAGACTTCTAAGCCTTCTAGCTTTCCACTAGTACCAGGTGAGAAAGATACGTGCTCATGTACTGTATAATGATGTTTCAGTCAACGGAGACTGGAAATACAATGGTGGGCCCTTAAGACTGTAACACCCTGTTTTTACTATACCTTTTCTATGTTTAAATACACAAATACTTACCACTGTGCTCCAATTGCCTACAGTATTCAGTACAGTACCATCCTGTAGAGATGTGCAGCCTTGGAGCAATGGCCTGTACCACAGAGCCTACGTCTGTAGTAGCTATGCCATCTTGGTATGTGTAAGTACACTCTATGATGTTCACAGAATGATGAAATCATCTATCAATGCGTTTCTCAGAATGTATCCTGTGGCCATTCATTAAGTGATGCATGACTGTACTCTAATCGAACCCCTAACATACAATGAGATTTCTAGAAAGCCTGACTTGAACTGGTATCAACTAATGATCACTAAAGTATAAAGGATCAGGTTCAATCTACTGTACATCGAGGCGGAAGTCACTGGGTTAGAACACTGTATTGAGGCTTATTCCTAAATTCTGCAAGGCCTGGGATAAGAGGACAAATGGAGGCCCACATACTATATGTAGCTAAAAATTTAAAAATGATCAATCGAGCTAGTAACTTAAGTAAAATATATTGTATCCTCCTGCACTGACAAACTTATCTTTGTAACAACCTGGTTGATTCAGGTTTGAATTTAGAATTCTTAGTCCCTCAGAGTTTTATTCCAGAATGCAGCAGGGCACAGACAGCTGATCCCCATATCCCAGGCTCTTCCCTTCCACTGCTTCCTGAATCCCGCTCTCTCCAGCACTGGGAGGCACCTCACATTCATTTGAGAGGATATCCCAGCCCTCGGTGCCAGGATCCATCCACAACACTCCCCAACACAGCCCTTGGCCATCACTCAGGCCCAAGGGCACAGTCAATGGTGGCACGTTCCCACCTGGAGGAGATGGACTGACCTTAGGAAATAGACTGTGCGGACGCAGACGTGGGCTCAGGGATTTGGGGCAAGGAACTCCAGATGTCCAGAACGTGGTACAGAAGGAGAGCCCACGAGAGCTGAACAAGCACATTCCCATGGCCCCAGTGATCCCTCACCCCTTTGGGAGTGAGGGGGCCTAGAATGGGGCACTCTGAAGTGAGGAGTTTCACTTGCCCCAGTCTAAGAGCAGTACTGTGTGTGAGGCCAAGGTATCAGTCCTCTTTCACACTACTTGTTCCATCCTGGGACCTCTTAGCCAAAAGCTGATTGCAGGCCTAGCCCCAGACAACTGGTTTCAAAGACATACTGAGCTATATCAGCACATACACAAATCACTCCTTAAGAAGACAAGGCACTGTTAATTCCCATACAGTCCCATCTCAAACTGAATCACAGACTGGAGGGACCTACAACTCAAGTAGCTTAAAATTATATATGCACGCAAAACACACAACTTAGTACATCTTCATATTCGTAAGGATACAAAAGGTGAACAACAGTGAAAACAGCCGTGCCTGGCTTACGCCTTCTGCTCCCTTTTACTCTTCCCGGGGCAACTGTGCTTTCAAGAGGATGGAATCTCTAACTCTACTACCCAAAAAAGAAAACGATGAGTTCAGTGTTCACATCTGAAACCTTCCAGAACTAAGCATTATTTTTCCACTGGAACACTGTATGAACACAGGAAGACACTGAAGTTTCACAAACATGTTGGAATATCATCTGGAAATCTGACGGCGATATTCCCCAAAATTATGTTAGCATTCACACACTTTCATATTCCCTCACTTCTGCTGAGGGGATAGGGCTGCCTTGACTTAGCAATACCTAACACATTTATCCCATGCCCCAGAAATTTTTTAATTATTATGAATCCACTCAAGTCAAATGTAATTTGGCTGTTTCTAGAGGCTAGGTCCAGCTAGAATAATATTAGTTGTTTTTAAGTGAGAATGCACTTCCATTATAAATGGGGTATTACTACTTCCTCTGCTTCAGCAGAATTCAGAGGCCCATCAATGAATCGCCACAGATTTCCCATCAAAGGAAACCCATCCTCTGGTCATCAGGTGTCCTGTGAGAGTCAAATCACCAGGACCTTCCCAGGGTTACAGTTCTAATTCTCACCCAGCTAGTCGTCATAAATTTTCTTTCTTCTCTTGAATTGTACTGTATAAACTCGAATTATTCTTCAGCTATTTTCTTCTCATTTGTATTATGTTGTACTATATTTGGGCTTTGGTACTTAAGGTCTGATCTCAGCAATCTGAAACAGCCTTTGCACCGCAAGAGTCTTCCCCAAACATTCCTTTTTTTTTTTTTTTTTTTTTTTTTAAATATTGCTCCCATTATGCCCAAGAATCAAAGATTCTTTTGTTTGGGTGGAGGACTCTCTGTCCACTTAGCTCCCTCCCAACTCAGCTACAGATTAGGTTTGTTTCAATAACATAAGGACTGTTCTCCAAAAGCTCTGGCAACTGTGGACAAAAAGGGCTTCTTCGAGCTATTACACAACATGTGACTTTGCTAAATCAAACCTTTATTTATAAGATATGGAAGAATCAGTTATTTGTGTGATAAGACATGCGAATTCTAGGATAGTAGGACCTAGGCAGATGTCCACATGAACTTGAGGGACTTTAAAAATCTTAGGATTTTAACTATAACCCACTTTACTCCAACAAAATAGACCAAATAGCTAATACTTACAGAATACTTACCCTGTACCAGGCACTAAGTACTTTATATGTGCGAAATTAATCCTCTCAGCTCTAACTTTACAAACGAGGAGACGGAGACACAAAGCAGATAAGGAACTTGCCCAGGATCACAGGTGAAGTGGCAGAGGCTCGCCCTAGCTGCCAACAGACACCGCCCCCATGCCAGGCTGCTGCCCATCGTGAGCAGCAGTCCCATGCTACCAGGCTCCGGGTAGTCAAGAGGCCAGCAGTGTTACAGGTAGGCTGCATCATACAGTCGGCAGGCTTTTGTGAGCTAGCCTGAGAATCTTTCACAACACTAAAATTTGACTGCGTCTTCCCACAGGAAGAAACACTGGACTTCCAATACTGATAATAACAGCAGTAGCTAACATTCTAAGAGCATTACCTACGTTAATTCTTTGAATCCTCAGAATACCATGAGGTAGGTGTTATTATTACCCCTATTTTACAGATGAAGAAACTGAGGCACAGAGAGTCTTTGTAAGTAACCAACAGTTTAGTAAGTGGGAGATTTGAGATTCCAACCCAGGCAGCCTGGCTTCAGAGTCTTGGCTACCGGAGTTTTTAACCCTCACATTATGCTGCCCTCAGAATGCTTATTTAACCTTTCTCCACATGTATGGAGGCTACCGGACAACCACGTTAGCAATTATGAACACAACAGTCCGTAGACAAGATGCGTAACCCCACTCACCGTTGGGAAGTCCTCCAGCACCTGGCGATCCTTCTCCTTGCTCTCCATGAACCGCCAGTCTGGTTGGTAAAGGAAAGAGTGAAAGTTGTGTAACAGCGGGACCTTCTTTTCCACACTGATGGTCATGTCATCTTCCAGTGTGTCCAGAGCTCGGAGAACCAGATAAAATATGCACACTGCGTTGCTGTAAAAAAGGGAAAACTATTAATATATTGGAACAAACAGCCAAAGATTTTTTATTTTAAAATAACTTGTGCCTGGCCACTTTCTAAACCCATCTCACCCTTAACTCTAAAGAACTATAAGGATATCCAACGCTTTTCATACTTAACGAAAGTTACATTAGTTTTCCTTCCTTACATGAGAGTAATGAACTTCTGTAGTTTATTAAAAAGCCTACTAGTTGAATGTCACCACTACTCCCAGAAGTGAGTTGCATTTAACCAATGTAGAACTATGGAGACCAGAAGACCAAACGTTTAGACCGAACTAATATGTAGCAAATAGAAAAGAAAGTCAAAAAACACAGTAACTTCTCAGTATAAATACGATCATACATAAAGGCAACTGGTCTAAGTTCATGGGTGTAATGTGCACAGAGGCAGCTTCAAAAGAATCAACCCAATATGCTAGAAATAGAAATGCAAAGTTGGATAAGGGAAGCCGAGAAATACACGACCTGCTCACAGGCAGGTTCAGCTGCCAAGACTAAAAAAAGTTAATAAACATCACCCCCTCCCCCCTCTTCTCTGAAAGGCTGGGCCCGCAGGGACTCTACTAGATGGCAAAGAGCCTGGAAGGGCTTTCTAAAGTAAACACGTAGGGCCGGGCTATGTTCTGGATAAGCCACAGCAACGAGGCTGCAACGCTGAGCGCTATATCAAAAGGTAGCTTCCAACACACTCAAAGGTCCCGGACAAGCTTTCCTCCAAGCCAGAGGCGCTGCCTCCATCACTCACCGCATTTCCCCATCCAGCGCCTGGATAACAGCTGCGAAACTGCGACTGGTCTGATTGAGATACTTGTAGCAAGTTTTCAGGCTGCTGCTGAGCGAGTCCTGCGGGCAGACAACACACACGGCGGTGGGAGACGTCGAGGAGCAGGAGTGGGAGTGGGAGTGGGAGTGGGAGTGGGAGTGGGACTGGGGCAGGCGGCTCCACAGCCTGCCGCCCTCTCCCCGAGGCCAGTCCTTGCAGGGCCAGGCGGCAGGAGGCAAGCAGCAGCCCCGCGGGGCGGTGCCTGCGCCCGGGCCCCTGGGCGCCGCGGCGGGACTCAGCACCAAGGTGCGCTTGAAGAGGGCCATGGCCTTGGTGCCGCAGGCGGCTGCGGCCATGGGAATCGCGGACCCCGCGGAGTTTTTCCTCCATAGACTCAAGCAGATCTGGGAAGCGCCCGACGAGGGGCGGGACGGGCTCGCCCTCTACTCGAATACGCGCTGGGCCGACCCACAACGGGCCCGCCCCGCAGCCCCGCAGCCCCGCCCCCGGCCTCCCGCTCCGCACCGGCGCCTCCTCCCGCTGTTGCCCTTCTCACCAGAACCCACTGGCCGCTAAGGGAACCCAGCGCACTTCCGAGCGGCTCGCTCGTCCTCCCAGTGACAGAGTCTCCCTAGACCAAACTCTACTCGGGCTCCGCTGAAATCCTCTTCCCAATAAGGCCTGGACTTTGTACTCAACGCATCTGTCTTTGCATCGCCCAGTTTTACCAAGAATCCTGCTAAATTGATTTGACCAGAATCCCCCAACTTCAGTATCTGATCACCCTAGACAGCCGATTAGGTTCCACATCCCCCTCCATCCCTCAGGTGATGTCTGATAACTCTGGCCTGCCTTCAGCAAGAATGCACACCCCTGTGTTTCCTCGTAATAATTTTCCATCCACTGACATCCGGCTCCCCCGCCATCAATTCCTACTTTTCTTTGTATTCGCAGTGGAGCAGTTCTGTACCGAGGTCTCTCTCCTCTTACTGCAGTAGTTTTTCTGAATAAAATCTGTTTTGCCGTTTTACTACCACTGTCCAACCCTGGTTTTTCTATGACACCTATTAAGCCTCTACTATTCTCTAGAAAGCCAGCCATTCCTTTCAAGATGTCTTCTCATCTTTCCCTTCGAAATTAATGCAATGCAGCGCACTGACCTTTACTCTTCCCTAAAGCAAACAAGGACTGTGTTTTTCCAAAAGGGAGAAAAAGCCTGATTTTAAATGCAAGCATATCAGAAAGAGTTGCTGTTTGTACTATGTATTTTTTCATGGACTATTTTTTAGAGCAGTTTTAGGCCCACAGGGAGTGGAAAATACGGCGGGTTCCTATTTGTCCCTTCCCTCCCCTCACCCCACAGTCTTACAACAGTTCTTTTTGGGAGAGACTGGAATCATTTATCCAACAGGGCCGGGTGCAGTGGCGCACGCCTATAATCCCTGCACTTCGGAAGGCCAAGGTGGGAGAATCACTTGAGCCCAGGAATTTGAGGGCAGCCTGGGCAACATAGTGAGACCTCGTGTTCATAAAAAAGTTTTTAAAAAATTTTTTAAAAAGCCAGGTGTGGTGGCGCCCACCTATAGTCTAGCTACTGAAGACTAGCTACTCAGGAGGCTGAGGTGGGAGGATCGCTTGAGCCCAGGAGATACACGTTACAGTGAACTATGATATTGTACACTGCAGAGTGGGACCCCATCTCAAAAAAATAAAAAACAAATATCCAATAGGAGTGGTTAAAAAAATATGGCATATCCACTTCTAGGAAATTCCATAGTCACTTCAGAATGGTAACAGTGAACCCTGGGCTCTGGTGGGAGGTTTAAGTGAACTATGTTGTTTTTATTTGTATATATTTCCTATCATGAATACGTATTTTGCCAAAAGGGTCAATCTTTTAAATCACATAATCCTGAAAAAGTCATTTTATTGCCATAAAAAATATTAGTAAAAACAAGTATTTACTGGGCACCATAATATTAGTAAACTTCAGCGTCTGGCACATAAATATATTCAGAAGTGGTGTCATGAATAAATGAAGACATTCATCGAGGATTTTAAAACAATTCACCAACTCCTTCCTTCTCAAAATATCGAGAGGCAGGATTTCAGAGTGAAAGAAACAGAATACCCGCTCTGGACTGAGCTCCAGAGCAGCTCTTCACATAGCCTGACCATTACCAGGCTACAGCAGGAAGTGTTTTTAACTGCACTGCCAAATGTCATGTTCAGTCCAACTAACAGTTTCGGGGTGATGTTAAGCCAGGAGTTTCAATCAATGCCAAGACACGGTCCCCCTAGATTTAAACCCCAACACTCTTCAAGAACACTACCCCTCCTTTCCATACAGCCCTCCATTCTGAAAGAGAGCAAGCCAAGCCACTTACTCCTCCAGCTCGTACCCCTGCTGCTCTTTTTCCTGTCACCTATTTGTTTCAGTCCCTTACCTTGTAAACAGGTTTCTTCAAATCACCAAGAACAAAACAGGAAGACACAACTAGTAAGCATACTATGGAAAACAACACTCACTAAAAATTTCTACTGCTTGATTCCCATGAGCCAGGGGAGAAAGCAAGCTCAGGCTACTGGTGCCTGTCCCTCTTGGGTTTATCTATTGCAGTCTGAGATTCAGCACACTCCCAAAAGCTCGCAAGCGGGAGAAAAACAGGGATGGAGGGAATTTAGAGGAAGGGTGTGGGGGTGGTCAGGAAGACGACAAGACCAGACTCCCAGGAAGGGGCTCCAGCCTCAGGCTGAAAGTTCCACAAGTGAACAGCTACCAGCTACCAGCCCTCCACGGAGCCTTCCTCACTTTAAAATAGAATAGATTTCTCCAGGAGGGGAAAAAAACCACAAACTTGAGAACTGAATTTACATAAATTTACATAATCAGATTGATAACCACCATTTATCAAGCACTTAACTCCATGCCAAGCACAATGCGGACATCACCTGTGATCCTTACTCAATCAACCCTTTAAGGTCTCACAGGCCCATAGTCCACTGAAACATCTGTGGCAAGACCTGGGGCAGAATTTAGCATTTTTAGTGTTTTAGAAAATAGGCAATAAAATGCATATACAACCCTAGTCAGTGTGAAGTAGCACCTCATAATTATTTCTTTAGCAAAACATTTGAATATACTAAGTGGGATGAATGAAGCCTCAACTTCAAGTCAGGTTTTGCTGCCAAGTGATTCTGAGCCAAACACTCAAAAAATTCTTTTCAGACCATCTTAGAGTTGGGAAGTTGTGGTTAAAAAATCGTTACCATACATACATCCCTATTTTACAGATGAAGTAACTGTGGTTCAGAGGTTAAGTTACCAAGGTTGTTCACCTAACTTAATAGCGTCAGAAATCGGACTTAATAACAGACTTAAGATATTAGTCTAAATAACAGGATTTAGATTGGACAGGAGCCAGATCTGCCTGATTACTAACAGCCTGCTCTTTCCATTACTCTCGGCTTTTGGGTGATGCCACACAACTTGCAGGCGGCATATGCCCGTAGATTTACTGATATGCACCTAAAAATTCAGTGTAAATCAAGTTTACTAAACCCTGAAATTCTATAGCCAAATGCTTCTGTGATAGAAATAATCAGCCCTCAGTATCTGCTAAGCGTAAATTTTTTCCCTAGTTTGCAGAGAGAAACTGGTTGGGTGCAGTGGCTCACACCTGTAATCCCAGCACTTTGAAGGCTGAGGTGGGAAAATCGCTTGAGCTCAGGAGTTCAAGACCAGCCTGGGCAATGCAGCGAGACATTGTGTCTACAAAAAAATTTAAAAATTAGCCATGCATTGGTGACACGTGCCTGGAGTCCCAGCTACTCGGGATCAGGAAGCCGAGGTGGGAGGATGGCTTCAGCCAAGGAAGTCAAAACTGGAGTGAGTCATGTTCAGGCCACAGCATTCTAGCCTGGACGATGGAGTGAGACCCCCCCCTCAAAAAAAAAAAAAAAAAGGCCGGGTGCAGTGGCTCACGCCTGTAATCCTAGCACTTTGGGAGACCAAGGCGAGCAGATCACTTGAGGTCAAGAGTTCAAAACCAGCCTCACCAACATGGTGAAACCCCGTCTCTACTAAAAATACCAAAAAATCAGCCGGGCGTAGTGGCAGGTGCCTGTAATCCCAGCTACTCAGCAGGCTGAGGCAGGAGAATTGCTTGAACCCAGGAGGCGGAGGCTGCATCTAGCTGAGGTCCCGCCACCACTGCACTCCAGCCTGGGTAACAGAGCAAGACTCCATCTCAAAAAAAAAAAAAAAAAAAAAGAGAAACTAAGATAATGTTAAGTGAAGGGAAATGTATTTTTCCAATTTATTTCCCCTAATTAAAGGTTCAGGTATTTTTTTAACGGCTCATGGGGATGTAAAAACTGCCCAGAAAGACTACAACTAACATAACAAATACTGCACCATATTATCAGAGCTAGAATAGCTCAAGTCTCGCTTTTAAAAAAACTCAAAATGTACAAAAACAGTATACTGTGAAGTCTTTCTCTACCCACTTACCATGACCACCCACTTTCCCTCCCAACAGGAAACCAATGCTACCATTTTCTCTAACAGTCTTTCTGTAGAAAGGAAAGAGACATAGAGGAATGAAGTCTGGACCCAAATGAGGTCTGACTGCACTCAGATCCCTTGCCCTGCTAGTATCTTCCTCTGCAGTGCTTTTCTCCACGTGAAAAACTGTACATTCGCTTTCTTAAATTGTCTCTCTTCCACTAAAAAGTAAGTTTTATAAAATCAAGGTCTTCACCTAGCTTGTTCACTGTTGTACCTCCAGCACCTAGAACACTATCTGATATACAACTGGTCGTCAAATATTTGTTAAATAAATGAATGCTATATCTAAATATAAAAAGTGACATCTGCCATATCAAATAATAGAAGTTATTCTGTAGCAAAATAATTCAAATAATGTAGCACCGGCAAAGAAAAGATGAAGAAAACTGAATGTTCTACAAATAGACTGAAGGATGTACCTGTATTAAAGATAGCACGTGAAAAATAACACCAAATGAGGGTGTAGTCTACTGGGGACAAAAACCAGAAATTTATTTTCTAGTGTGTTTACTGAAGCACATGGACACTGAAAGAAAGACTCCGATGTTCAGGCACCTATCAAGCCTCGGCCTGAGTCACATTTGCTACTGTCCTGTTGGCCCAAAAAAGTTACAGAAATCAGCCAGGCTGGTCCAGACCAGAAGAACTTGGCTGAATTTGTCTATTCATTCAATAATCGCGTACGAATAATTTTCTTGTTGGAATAAAAACACCTCCTATGCATTCATTAAACAAATAGTACAGGCATGAGGCAGATAAAAATCTAAGTAAAACCAAGTTCTGACCTTCCACCAACCACCTAGCTAATCCATAGACGTTAGATAACTCATTGGAACTTGGAAGCGTAGATAGGCGATTTTAAAACTCAGGAAGCACCGAGGATGAAGCGATGGAAGGCAGCAAGGCGGGGAGAGCTCCGGAAGAGGTGGTGAAACTGGAGGAGTCAGACTTCATTCCAGAAACGGCCTTCATGTGATGTTATCTGCATAGTTCATTCCGCTTACCAAAAAACTCACTCGTCCTCTCCCGCGTAACCCACCCACATTGCCTCAGATGTGTAACCCTCGGGTTAAAATACCGGTAAGCGCCGATGCTCACGGAGGGGACGAAACGGGGAGCGCAACCACCGGGAACCACGCAAAAGTCGCTCATGCCCAGGGCGGCTTGCGGGGGCAGGGACAGGTCAGCCAGGACGGCCGCGTCCACCCGGGCCCTACAGGGGGAAGGCTCGAGGAAAGGGGGACGGGAACACCCAGGCGTCGGCCCTGCTCGCCGCGCCCCTTGCCCCAGATCCGGGCCCGGCCGCTCAGGCCCTGAGGCCGGCCCAGCGAGCTCCTTCCCCGCCCCGGGCAAGCAGGGAGGCTCGGCCCACCTGGTCCATCTTGGGCATCACCTTCCGCTTGCCCCCGATCCGGAAGCGCACCAGGTTGTAGAACTCTTCGGGGTGGCCAAGGCATTTCACGAACTCCATCCTGGCGCAGGCGGCGGACTCCCGGGCGCGACTCTCACCTCTGCGGTCCCCAGGCGCTCACCGGCCGGCTGGACCTGTGGAGTAGGTGCTTCGAGGGGCTGGCCGGACAGGGGGCAGGCCTAGTACGGCGACGCCCCGCCCGCCGCTCCGCCCACTTCAACCGGCCTCGGCCGCCAGCGGGGCTAGCTGCGGCCTCGTGGGGTGGGCTGACGGGCGCTGATTGGCCAGGGCCGCTCACACTAGGAAGACCCCGGCCAATCAGTCGCGGAAGGAGACTGGCGTGATAACACTCTAGAAGCTCATTGGAGGCCGAGAAAGAGGCCGACGAGCGGGATTGGTGCCCTGATGGAGCCGGGCCTTTGTTTTCTTCCGCTTACCCCGGCTGGGAGCGCGAACGCTGTGGGGACTGGAGGTGAGGCGGTGGGGCTTAGGATGCGCAGGAGCCCAACGGTGGTCCGCAGTCGGGAGAGCAGTGCGGGGCTGCTTCCTCCCCACTTGGTCAATAAGTCGCCCACGTGTCCGGCCTCGGTGGCTCCTGCCAGCCGGGTGAGCTCTGCAGCCGCTCTCTGTAGAGCCTAAAACCGTGAAAAGGCCGGGCCAGCGCCAAGCTGGGCGTCTTTACTGTAACACACCCGAGCACAGCCCAGCTCGCCTGCCCGCCACCGCCATCCAGCCCCAGGGAGCCCCACACACTCCTGGAGCTTCAGCTGCCCCCTCTCTAGTGTTTACTTGAGATCCAGCTTAGTCCTAGAAAAAGGAGCTGAAGCCTTAGAGAGCCTGTAACAGGAATGTGGAAACTTCTCTCATCCTAGATCTCTCCAGCCCTAGAAACTACTGGCTACCCGTCCAGGCGTGGTGGCTCACGCCTGTAATCGCAACACTTTGGGAGGCCAAGGCGGGTGGATCACGAGGTCAAGAGATCGAGACCATCCTGGCCAACATGGTGAAACCCGTCTCTACTAAAAATACAAAAAAGCCGAGTGTGGTGGTGGGCGCCTGTAGTCCCAACTACTCCGGAGGCTGAGGCAGGAGAATCACTTGAACCCGGGAAGCGGAGTTTGCAGTGAGCCAAGATGACACCGCTGCACTCCAGCCAGGCCAACAGAGCAAGACTACGTCTCCAAAAAAAAAAAAAAACCTACTGGCTACCTAAGCCATCCTGCAGTCTGTTTTAACACAGCAACCAGTAATCCTTTTAAAACCTGTCAGGTCTAGCCGAGCGCGGTGGCTCATGCCTGTAATCCCAGCACTTTGGGAGGCCAAGGCGGGCGGATCACCTGAGGTCTGGAGTTCAAGACCAGCCTGGCCAACATGCTGAAACTGCGTCTCTACTAAAAATACAAAAATTAGCCAGGCATGGTGGCAGGCGCCTATAATCCCAGCTACCTGGGAGGCTGAGGCAGGAGAATCGCTTGAACACAGGAGGCAGAGGTTGCAGTGAGCTGAGATCGCGCTATTGCACTCCAGCCTGGGGGACAAGAGCGAGACTTCATCTCAAAAACAAACAGGAAACCTGTCAGGTACGTTCACTGCCCAAAGCTGTTCAGTGTCTCTCCAACAAAAGCCAAAGCACCTATAGGGATCCTGAGAGGCTGCAGCCTTCCACCCAGATTACCTCTCTGGCCTCCATCTCTTATGCTTTTGCTTTCTCTGGCCCTAGGACTTTTTGTCTAGCTGTTCACTATTCCTGCACTATCCCCCAGATACTGGCTTGACTAACTCCTGTGCCCCTCGAGTCTGCTCACACCTCATCTAGACCCACCTGTTTGCCCTCTCTCACATTTCCACCACTGCTAATCCCAGTGGGGGTCTACTTGCCTATATTTACCATATTCTAATACATCATTTACTTATGTATTAGATTACAGAGTGTTTCCCCTACTACTGTAAACTAAAAATCCTAAGTCCCTACCACTGGACAGCCCTCCCACTCCCCACCTCGGCCAAGGGAACCCCAGAAAAATCTTAAAAACTTAGTTTCCAGCCATGACGGTATAAAAAGTAAAGTAGAGGTTCCTCTTCAAAGACTTTCCTCCCCATTTAATTAGGAATAAATAGTAACTTCTCTTAGAAGCAAACTTTATTCAAAGACCTGTGCTAACATTCTTAAATATCTGCTAGCTATGATAAAGAAATCAATGTACTTCATGTTCTTAGCTCTCACAATTTAGCCTAAATATTTGCCCTGGCATGCTTATAGTGGTCCAAGAAAGCATTAGGTCATAGCCTGTTCCTCTTCCTTATTTGAAGGTGTTTCAACCTTTGTCACCATTCCACAAGTTACTTCCTCCTTCCTTTGTTCTCCTCTACCTTTGCCTCTTTTAAAAACTTCTAAGTTGCTAGCCAATCGGGACAAATACAGAACGTGAGGCACCGTTCCAGCCAATGGAAACTAGACACAAGCAGTGGGGTGGACGAGTCAGGTTATAAATGACCCTGTCTCCTTTGTTTGGTATACTCCCATGGCAAAACTGCTGGCGAGTGTACCCTTTCTGCAGGAAGTAAAAATGGCCTGCTTAGTAAATTAATGTTCAAGCGCCTTTTTTTTTTTTTTTTTTTTTTTTTTTTTTTTGAGACAGAATTTCACTCTTGTTGCCAGGCTGGAGTGCAGTGGCACAGTCTCGGTTCACTGCCACCTCTGCCTTCTGGGTTCAAGTGCTTCTCCTGCCTCAGCCTCCCGAGTAGCTGGGATTACAGGCGCCCAACCACCACGCCTGGGTAATTTTTCGATTTTTAGTAGAGACAGGGTTTCACCATGTTGGCCAGACTGGTCTTGAACTCCTGACCTCATGATCCACCCTCCTCGGCCTCCCAAAGTGCTAGGATTACAGGCAAGCCACTGCGCCCAGCCTTCGAGTGCTATTTCTTCTTCATTTTTTTTTTTTTTTTAAATGGAGTCTCACTCTGTCGTGAGGCTGGAGTGCAGTGGCGCGATCTTGGTTCACTGCAACCTCTGGCTCCCAGGTTCAAGTGAGTCTCCTGCCTTAGCCTCCCGAGTAGCTGGAACTACAGGCATGTACCACCACGGCCAGCTAATTTTTTTATTTTTAGTTGAGACAGGGTTTCACCATGTTGGTTAGGATGGTCTCAATCTCTTGACCTCGTGATCCGCCCGCCTCAGCCTCCCCAGGTACTGGGATTACAGGCGTGAGCCACGGCTCCCAGCCTACAAGTGCTATTTCTTTCCAGCACCAGGGAAAAAGCATTTCAAATAACGGGACAGGAGATCAGATAGCCCTCATTGTACCCCCTTCCTTTTGGAGTTCATACACAACTGGCTGGCATTAACATTAAAACAGAGATCATAAGACTAACGGAACAGACTCTGTGGCAATAAGATACCCAATTATAAACAGGACCTAAGGCCATGCAGGCAATGGTGAAGTCAGGCACCCCTACACTTGAAGAATCAACTAAGCTCTAACTGCCACAGGGCTCTTCTTTTTCTCCAGCAGCTAAACGCTGGCCTTGAGATAAGCAATAGTAAAACACCTGCAGCTCCACCAGACAGTGACTAATTGAACCCCTGTTCCACCAGCCATAACTACAGCTTTGACTGGTCAAGAGATTGATCTCAGTAACTTTCTCCTGATAAGACCGCCGACCGTGGACTGGTCTGGCCAGTTTACAGAAACTGTACACTCAAGGCGCCTTCCTGTCCTAAAAAGACCTTTTGACCTATAGGGTGTAATTGTAATGCATTCACATGTTGAGTCTCTATCCCAAAGTGAATATGGGTCATATATTACATACATGTTTGTTCAATGTGTCAGGTCCGCCATCATAAATATTCGTAGCTCCTCTTGTAATCTGTTAAATATGTACGTTTAGCCAACCCAGTCAGCATAAAGCTCCTACCTCAAACGCCTTTTCCTTCAAAGTGCCCGTCTGTGGTCTAAGCTGGAAGCATGCTGTAACCCTTTAGAAGAAATAAAGGCTCTTCTCCCTTTCTAAATTGATAAATCATATTTTTTAAGTCAACACTAGAAATCTAAGCTCAGTGACGACACACCTTTGTTTTGCTCACTAATGTCCCCTCAACCATCTGGAATAGTGCCCAGCACATACTGGCTCAATGAATATTTATTGGGTGCTCAATGAGTATTTATTGAATTGAGCTGCGTATAGGACACGATGGTGCCTAAACAATGCAAAGTTAGTTAACGTGCCCATTCTTTAAATCTCTCTTCCATTAAATCTGCTTCTCCTGTGGATAGCGTTAACAGCCTCTCAGTTTTGTAATCACAAAATCCAGGTGTCATTGATAACGCCCTTTCTCTCCTTATATCCACCCCTTCAAAATCATTCATCAAGTCCTGTGGAGTCCAAGAAAACAAATACCTTTCATTTTAATCTCTCCTCTCTGCTCCATCTTGGTTTAAGCCACATCTTCTTTCCCAAACCATGTTGAAGTTGACTTCCCCTGTCCTTTCCCATATGGCAGGTAGAGTTATTCGTCTAAAACACACACTGGGCTGGGTGCAGTGGCTCACACCTGTAATCCCAGCACTTGGGAAGACCAATGCAGGCGGATCACTTGAGGTCAGGACTTTGAGACCAGCCTGGCTAACATGGTGAAACCCCGTCTCTACTAAAAATACCAAAATTAGCTGAGCGTGGTTGTGGGTGCCTGTAATCCCAGTTACTCGGGAGGCTGAGGCTGGAGAATCGCTTGAACCCACGAGCCGAGATCACCACACCACACTGCAGCCTGGGCAACAAAGTGAGACTCCGTCTCAAAAAAATAAAAAATAAAAACACACACTTGATTATAATCCTTCCATTTTAAATTCCTCCAATGAAATGTCTTCGAATCAATGGATTGATTTAAAGGAAATCAAGCCTTCTGGCATAGAATAAAAACGTCCTTGCCATTTGGCATCTACATCCTTTGTTGGGATTTCAGCCTCCTGTCCACCCATTCTTGTACTACTTTCACACCCTGATCCAGTCCTAGCAGCACTTATTGTCCCCCGAACAGGCTACAGTACTTCACATCCGGCCTTGGCCCAAGCAATTCACCTGCCTGGAATAGGCTTCCTGCTCCTTGCCTAGCCACCTGCCACGCCTCCATTACAGCTCAGGTGGAATCTGCTTCAGGAATCCTTTTCTGGTGTTTCCTGGCCTCTCCTTTATCTGTTCCCCTCCCCCACCGTTTTTTTTGTTTGTTTCTTTTTTTTTTTTTTTTTTTTTTGAGTGTGTGTGAGAGACAGACAGGGTCTTATGTTGTCCAGGCTGGCTCAAACTCCTAGGATTAAGGATCTTCCCATCTCAGCTTCCCTAGTAGCTGTGATTATCTGTTCTTTAAATGCAACAAACATTGGCTGAACATCTACAATGTGGCAGGAGACATGGGAAAAAACAAAGATGAGTAAGATAAGGTTCCACACCCAAGGAGCTTACAATGCAGAGGAAGAAACAGACATGTTATGTGATGGTGCTATTTGTTAGAGAGCCCCTAATCCAGCTCCCTCAGTCTGACTTAGGTGTCCACTTGGAAGCTGAACATACGAATGGATAACAGCCAGACACTATATAACAGAACCATGGCTTAAACAACCGCTGCTGCAGGCAGTCCAAGGAACTCAAAATGAGATAGAAGGCGAGATTCGACTCCAGAGGTGGGGTTCAGACAGCCGACCAAATTGAGGACTAGCTAAAACAGGGAGGGGCCGAAGCAGCCGTCCTTAAGACACGCCCACCAGTTTGCCATGTCAGTTTACCATTGCCATCGCAACACCCAGGATTTACCACCCCTTTCCATGGCAATGACCCAACAACCCAGAAGTTACTACCCTTTTCCTACAGATGTCTTCAGAAACTGTCCTTTAATCTGCGTGCAATTAAAAGTAGATATAGATCTGACTGCACAACTGCCCTGAGCTGCTTTCAGCACACTGCCTGCGGAGCAGCCCTACTCTGCAGGAAAAGTCACGGAGCTGTCACACTGCCTCTTTAATGAAGTTGTTTTCTTCCACCTTACCACTGGCTCACCCTTGAATTCTTTCCTGGGTAAAGCCAGGAACCCTCATGGGCTAAGGCCCAATTTGGGGCTTGCCTGTCCTGCAAGAAAACCACAACCTCAGCAGCAATCAGCCCCAAATGGTCAGGACTCTTGCAACTCAGAATCAACCACAGAAAAACAAATAGGCTCCTCAAACCAATCACTGAAGACACCTACCTCTATCAGCTGCTTCCAACTTCCCCAGGCCAGAAGCCTCCAATCAGAGCACTGCTGCAGCCTTCCCCTTTTCCACCGTAAAGCTTCCCACTCCCCTGCCTGCCTCGGAGTGTCCACTAAGTACAAAACTCCCTTACTACAGCAAGCTCCGAATCAAGAACCTTATTTGTTTGTGTTCATTGGGCTGATCTTTACTTTCACAGACCTCAGTACTTCTACCATGTTCAGTGGTTCCTCCCAACCTGAACTTTCTGTATTCTAATAATCTCTTGTCTGTTTCGCCACCTCACAGTGGCCCCCTCAAGCACAAGGGCTGGGCCTACACAGTATCTGGCGGAGTGTTTACAGCGTAATCAGATCAGTCCTAGAAAGCTCAGAACACAAACAGTCCAGTCACTTAACCCCCATCCTCACACAGCACTTTTTCCATTAACAGAAACACTTTACATACTCCCATTACAGTAGGATTTGGCTTTGTATTTTGTTTAGCCTTGTATTGCCAAATCCTAGCATTTAGGAGGCATTTAAGAAATATTTATGAAATGTCTAAAGCCACTGTGAAAATCTATGTTAAATCCCCCGTTTTTCACAATGTCAGTTATCACAAAACCCCAACTCATGAACTAAACCAATCTTTCACCTTAGAGTCTGTCGAGTCCAAGTGTGTCCGGAATTGGTTGGTTCTTGGTCTCACTGACTTCAGGAATGAAACCGCCCACCCTCGCGGTGAGTGTTACAGTTCTTAAAGGCGGCGTGTCCGGAGTCTGTTCCTTCTGATGTTCAGATGTGTTCGGAGTTTCTTCCTTCTGGTGGGTTCGTGGTCTCGCTGGCTCAGGAGTGAAGCTGCAGACCGTCACAGCGAGTATTACAGCTCTTAAGTCGGCGCGTCTGGAGTTGTTTGTTTCTCCCAGTGGGTTCGTTGTCTTACTGGCTTCAGGAGTGAAGCTGCAAACCTACCCTGTGAGTGTTACAGCTCATAAAGGCAGTGCAGACCGAAACAGACAAGTATTAAAATTTATTGCAAACAACAAAGCTTCCCAAGCGTTGTAAAGCAAACCCAGCGTGTTGCCACCGTTTTTTTTAAGGCAGCCCGCTTTTATGCTCTTATCTGGCCCCACCCACACCCTGCTGATTGGTCCATTTTACAGAAAGCCGATTGGTCTGTTTTACAGAGAGCTGATTTGTCCGTTTTGACAGGGTGCTGATTGGTGCGGTTACAATCCCTGAGCTAGACATAAAAGGTCTCCACCTCCCCACTAGATTAGCTAGATACAGAGTGTCCATTGGTGTATTTACAAACTCTGAGCTAGACACAGGGTGCTGATTGGTGTGTTTACAAACCTTGAGCTAGATACAGAGTGCTGATTGGTGTATTTACAATCCCTTAGCTAGACATAAATATTCTCCAAGTCCCCACCAGACTCAGGAGCCCAGCTGGCTTCACCCAGTGGATCCCGCGCAGGGCCGCAGGTGGAGCTGCCTGCCACTCCCGTGCCATCCGCCCGCACTCCTCAGCTCTTGGGCGGTCGACGGGACTGGGCGCCGTGGAACAGGGGGTGGCGCTCGTCGGGGAGGCTTGGGCCGCGCAGGAGCCCACGGCGGCGGCGCGGGGGAGGCTCAGGCATGGCGGGCTGCAGGTCCCGAGCCCTGCCCCGCGGGGAGGCAGCTAAGGCCTGTTGAGAAATCAAGCACGGCGGCTGCTGGCCCAGGTGCTAAGCCCCTCACTGCCCTGGCCGGCGGGGCCGGCCGCCCGCTCCAAGTGCGGCCCGCCGAGCCCACGCCCACCCGGAACTTGCGCTGGCCCGCAAGCGCCGCGCGCAGCCCTGGTTCCCGCCAGTGCCTCTCACTCCACACCTCCCCGCAAGCCGAGGGAGCCGGCTCCGGACTAGGCCAGCCCAGAGAAGGGCTCCCACGGTGCAGCGGTGGGCTGAAGGGCTCCTCAAGCGCGGCCAGAATGGGCGCCGAGGCCGAGGAGGCACCGAGAGCGAGCAAGGGCTGCAGGGCTGCCAGCATGCTGCCGCCTCTCACACGTATCCCGCCTCTCCTTACTAAGATGGAAGCCTAGATTCACCCCCGACCCCCCATATTTCCGTGCCCTCCTTCACAGTCCTGTCAAGCGAAAACCTCTCCTCCTTCCAGGCAACAGGCACAGGCACAAAAGGCATAACCGCCACTGGTCACACTCCACCCTGCTGTCTCTGTACCATCTCCTCTCTTTCAGTCCACTTACAACATATCGTGCCTACCTCCTTTTATGTATTTATTTAAAATTTTTATTTTTTTATTTTTGAGACAAGGTCTTACTCTGTCACCCAGACTGGAGTACAGTGACATCATCTCGGCTCACTGCAGCCTTGACCTCCTGGGCTCAAGTGATCCTTCCACCTCAACCTCCCTAGTAGCTGGGACTACAGGTATGCATCACCATGCCTGGCTAATTTTTGTATTTTTTGTAGAGATGGGGTCTCGCTATGTTGCCCAGGCTGGTCTCGAACTCCCGGGGTCAAGCAATCCTCCTGCCTCAGCCTCCCAAAGTGCTGGGATTACAGGCGTGAGCCACTGCACCAGGCCCTACCTCCTTTTGGAACCAACCTGAAACCCACTGAGGACCTACTGCCAGGGTGAATTAGATCTCACTCACTGGGAGAGAAGCATGGGAGTGTGGGTTGTTACCTGCCCACATTCCCCCTTCCCCACCTCTTCCATGAGGAACATGTTCCATGGAGTTCCAACGGCACCAACCACAACACTTAGTCTCAACTGTTAGGTACTAGTATTTTCCCAATTATTAGTTTTTTCCGTAAGTCACTGCAGTCAGAGACACTATGAGCAAAGCTGCTCCAGAGATCCTCCTAAGGCAGGGATGAAGGTCATTCTTTCATGTTTCACTCTATAAACTTTGTATTGTGTGACTCTTTTGACGTCTGTAATTTTAAAAAAATAATGTTTCTCCTTGTCCCTTAGGTCTCCCACCATCCTTACCCTGACAAACGTCCATGTCCATTGTGGGGTAATCCAACATCCAATGTCTCCATTTTTTATCCTAAGCCACTGGATGCTGTCAGGGAAAGTCAGGAAATGCACAGGTGTCCTGGGCTTGCCATGTGGCTCTACAGCCCTTCCCTCTAACCCGAAGTGATCACGTTTCCCTTACAGCCGTTACAAACCTGCCCACTCTTCTGTACCCCAAAGGCCTCACTTTTAGCAAATTTTCTAGGGACTTGTTATTCTTTCTCTTCCCACCCTAGTCCAGTCATCTTTAAGCGACAGCTCTGGTGTGAGCTTTCTCTCTCTCTCTCCTGGTTTTCTCCCCTGAACTAACTATACATACATTTTCACGTTATATTCATCCTTTGCTCTCCTCCCTAGCCTTCATTTTTTTTTTTCACATTTCTTACTTTTATTTCAACATTTAAAATATTCATAGATGGAGTATTATATTCAGACATCTCCAAGGAAGATGTATGAAAACAAAACATACAGGCATTTCACAATTACAGAATTGCATATTTGTGATTATGTGAATGTTTACCCTAGAGTTGATCTGGAAAAACACCATTTAAAAAAAAAACTTTTGCGTGATTCACTGGATTAATTTCCATAAAAAATGAACTGCAAATAATTTCAGGATACCTAAATATTAGTACTTTTTAAAATTTTCAAACTTTTATGGTATTCTACTAACATATCTCCTACAAGGAACACTTAATACTTAATTCTTTCTTTTTACCCTCAATAGCCAAGTCAGAATATACTTATTTCATTTTTCACCCAAGTCTTTGTTTCTAAACACATTATGTAGAATAGATTTGGTCGTCACAGCATCTTGAGTAGCTAATGAGGTAGGAGTATTCTTAAGTTCTTAGACATTAATAAAGCAAAGCAAAAGACAAGCAAATTACGAAGTTTTTCTTTTTTAGTGGTTGTTCTTTAAGTAAAATGCTAAGAGCACTGGAAATTGGTCAAAAGCTGCTCACATTTTAAAAACAAAGAGGAAAAACCCATTAGAAAGCCCTGATACACATAGAGTCTGTTAAAGGGAAAAACCTGAGTACTGGAATTAAATTCATTTTGACATTATAAGGTAAGGGATCTATGCCTAAAAATGCCAAGCTTTCTGCCTTGGAAAAAAAGTCTTACCAAGGAGATAAAATTTAAACAGAAAACAAAATTAATCTATACTTTCTTTTCAGAACAAGTTAATTTGCTTCTTTTAACCCACTTCTCTTTTCCTATACACAAAAAAGATCAATAATTTCAGTATACTGCATATCCAGTAACACATTTCAATGAAGTTAGCAGTCAACTTACCAACTGTGCCAGAGAAACACTCCTTATATGGAGGCTTCATTAACATAATGCTAAAGAGCTAGAAAACATGTAGGCAATAGATTTCAGCACCATCTGTTAATAGCGTTTCAAAATGCGTACACCCCCTAAATTCATATAAACCTAGGAAATTTACCCATCATTCTCTCCGTATCTACACCAAAAATCAAAGTTCTGTATTCTAACCATCCTGTGTGCCAAAAATAAGAAATACTTAAAAATCTATCCAATTAAGTTAATAGGACACAAACATGTTCCCCAAAAAAGGAGGGAAGTTACCAATCAAGCATGACGTGTCTAAAATACAAATTTTGGGAGTTTCTCTGAACCTACTCTGGTTCAAAGGGCTGCCAAAAAAAAAAAAACCACATATTTTTAATACATTGGTACCTATTATTTGATGAAGGCTAAATGACAAGAAGAGATTTATTTTACTAATATGCACCTCTTAAGGTTACTGCTAAATAGACTTTAAAAAGTCATCTAAAAAATGTTTTAAAAATACAACAGAATAGCTGCTAGAAAGAAAATTGATAACTATGTGGCCTGGCAAATGATTTTCAAATTAAGTCCTTGACAATCAACTACAAAATGTTTTAGATGTACGAATCAAACTTGGTAGCAAAATAGTGCAAAACTCTGATATGGCAGCCCTTAATAGCAGGTAATCATTTGAGATTTGCTACCAAAAATAAATTGTCAACAAGAATCTTTTATATGTCTTTAAACCTTTCCTTTTTCTACTCTACCCAGAATTGTGTTCCACTGCAGTTATAAAAATCTCAAAATATCATATGTATATCATTTAGATAGAAGATAATTATTTCCTCTTCACTGCCGCCTCCTTTAATTTCAGTTATAGTTCCCTTTATAAACATTCTTTTCCTAAGGCACACCATGCCCTATTTATTGCCACAAAGCCACTAAAATCTGTGCCTCAGTCTGTCTGCTTCATGGCTGTGGTTAAATACAAACCACTTGCTAGTGTCTGCTAAAACTTAGTAACATCAAGACTAGAATGTCATTGTCTGATCTACTGGGGCAAAGGCCGAAATACACAAGCATGTGCTCATACGCTCTTTTCCCTACAAACTAACCATATTACCTACCGACAGTAAGCCTTATTGACATCTCTGGCTACATATAATTCATACTCAATATTATAAAATAAACTGTTAGGCCAGTAAGCTTTCACAATTTTTATTAAATCCTAGTCTAGTTTAACAATATCTGACGTTACAGACATCATCCCATGGTGAACATGTTTAATAAGTGAAAGCAAGTCAGACATCTCATCTAGGTCATTATTTTCTGCAGACTAAGCAATAACTACACAGAACACTATGGGTAATGACAAACACCTGCTCGGTTTTCACACAAGCCATTTGTTTATCAAACTAGATCTGCTAATACTGAAGACAGTCGATTTGGTGATTGTAGTTCTCATACAATTATAAATATCTTATTGAGGTAACATTTTGACAGTTTCACTGACTTTCCAAATAAACATTTGATTGGAAGAAAACAGATCAAATATGGATTTCACAAACCAAAAGTTTATAAACTCAATGCAATACAAATCCTTTTTATTGTAAAAGCTGAGTTGAGACTAAAAGATTTATAAAAACTATTACTTTTGGCCTTAAACAGTACCAACTCTTATGATCAAAAAAGGCCACAACATTTAAGACTGTATTGCTCGATTTTATTTTACACTAGGTGGTGGGCACAAAGCAATCCTCCTTAATAAAGGTGACAATTGCTTCACTCAACATTTTTAATAATGCACATTAAAAAAAAGTTCATCTTACAAATTCTTCTGCAATCCAAACATACAATTGCTTGGAGAACAACATTTAGAAAACAAAAGCCAATGTAAAAAGACAGATTAAAACAACTAGAAAAGTACAGGTTTTGTTTGTATGACTCGGATTTTACAGTTTTCTTACTGCATCATCAATGACAGAAATCTGTTCCTTCAGCTGGCTCCATTGTTCTGGATTTAAAGCAATACCTTTTCTTCCTGGTTTCATTTCGCCTTCAGGATCCATCCAATATTCTCTAGTATCAATTAGCACTTTCCCTTTAAAATCTCCAACGCTAACGTACCTCATTTTCCCAATCTGAAACTTGTTATCATCTCTGCTGCTGCCGCTCTGTTTAGAAGATGACAGAGCTCTCGAAGTTTCACCTGTCTTTTGCTTCTTTACAGGTTTTTCTGGAGCAACTTGCTTTTTCCTCTTTAACTTTTTGTCAACCTCACTGTCAGGATCACTGCCAGAAGAGCTTGAAGAAACAAGTTCCTTTGATTTAGGCATCGCTTAGCTCAGCTCTAGCAGTCGAACACCCTCCTGCTTGTTCGCTCGCGACTCCTCCCTGCCCTTCATTTTCATCCCCTCCAAGGCCAAACTTCCTGCAGGGGAGACCACCCTCACATTCCACGTCCTCCCTCCCACCCGGTCCCTTCCCACTGCTGGCACTCTGCACACAGTGCTCTCCTGAAGGTCATCATGACCTCGAATTTGATCACCTGCCAAGCCCAAGGGGCCACTGCTCCATCGTCCCGCCTTCATCTCTGCATGATTCACCATAGCGACAGCCCGCTTCTCCTTGGACGTTCCTTTCTCCACTTACATTTGACCCATCTCACTGACTGGTTTCTCCTTCCTGTCTTGCTCCTTAAACACAAGACTTTCTCTAGGATTCCCTGCACCTTTCCTCGTGCTCCATGACACCCTGTGAGCCTCTGTAGCTCATCATGACTCCTACTAGGAAAGCTGCCCCATCGGTGCCTCTAAGACCAGCCTGTCCCTGTGGCAGGGGGAGGCCAGGCCTGCTTCCCAATTACATTGTCTCCATCTCCACAGCACAGGTGGTCACAGGCTCGAGCTCAGCACGCCTCAGGGGGTGATACACAGTGCCCGCTCACCCACTCTGCCTTTCCCCATCTGCCAGGCGGTGGCCTCTGCCACTGCTCAGCTCAGTGCCGGCTGAGCCGCTCCAGTGTTCCCTCCTTGCCCCGGTGCCCACACTGTTGGCCAGCTGACACCAACAGAGCCCAGTGCCGCCGTGGCCCGCGCCTCTCACCCTCTCCACTCCTACAGCTACAGCCGCCCCATTGCTTCTTTGTCAACAACTTCCTTTTCGGCGCCACAACCGCCTTTTCCTTTCTACCAATCCCAGTTGGAGCAGACCACACGCAGGCCATGGTATTCAGTCCCCACTATGTCTGGGGAGCCCCTGGACCCACTGTCCTATAGACACCCACTCATAGGAAATGGTCTCAGCCTCATTTGCAGCAGCTCATGCCTGGAGTCCTAGTCTTGTCCTAACCATATGGGTTAGAAAGGTGCATTTCAGTACACACACACACACACTTTTTTTTTGAGATAGAGTCTCACTCTGTGGCCCAGGCTGGACTGCAGTGGCGTGATCTGGGCTCACTGCAACCTCTTCCTCCCCAGTTAAAGCTATTATCTTGCCTCAGCCTCCCAAGTAACCGGGATTACAGGCGCCCACCACCACGCCAGGTTGAATTTTGTATTTTTAGTAGAGACAGGGTTTCACCACGTTGGCCAGGCTGGTCTCAAACTCCTGACCTCAGGTTATCCACCTGCCTTGCCTCCCAAAGTGCTGGGATTACAGGCATAAGCCACCACGCCTGGCCCACATTCTTTGATGTTACATATTTTATATATGTGCATATATACACACAAGTGCATGAGTATGCTCTTCTACCCTTCTAAATACAAATAAATCCATTATTCAATATTTTCCCATCGTCTATTCTGGAATTGAGGTTTTATTCATTTTTTCTTAAATCCAGGCCTTCATGAAGGGAAAGTGAGGTTTTTATAAGCTATTGTATGTTTTTTCAAGAGTGGGAGGAGACGACCTTTGAGAAGTTGAGGATTTTCTCCCAAATTCCTTTGTAGCCTGTAACAGACTGAATTGTGTTCCCTTAAAATTCACATATAAAGCCCTAATGCCCAGTGTGATCTAGCAGAGGAACTGAGTCAGCCAGCCCTTGATCTTGGACTTCCCAGGCTCCAGAACTATAAGAAATAAGTCTGCTGTTTGAGTCACCTCCCCTAGGGCACATTTCGGCAGCCAGAGCTGACTCCGGTGTGGCTCTGGCCCTTGTTAACTGTGTGAGCTTAGGCGAGGTCCTCAGCCTCTCTAGACTCTTCCGTTTTCTCATCTATAACTTAAGGACAACAAGGTTGAGGACCTGTCTTCATGTGTTGTTTTGTAGATCATGTGCAAGAAGTAAGCGAAGTGGTGAGAACTGGGTGGGGGAGACACAGCCCTCGACACAGGGAGAGCACCCCGTGCGGGAGGAGCCTTCAGTACAAGAGACTTGGTCTGCCATCAAGTGGCTCTCTGCACTGTTGACAATTGTCAGTCATTTAAGACAGAGGAGGCCGGGCATGGTGACTCATGCCTGTTATCCCAGCATTTTGGGAGGCCAAAGCAAGTGGATCACTTCAGGCCTGCAGTTCGAGACCACCTGGGACAACATGGTGAGTCTCCCTCTATACAAAAATACAAAAATTAGCCAGGCATAGTGGTGCACACCTGTAGTCCCAGCTACTAGGGCGGCTGAGGTGGAAGGATCACCTGAGCCCGGGAGGTCAAGGCTGCAGTGAGCCATGGTCACACCACTGTACTCCAGCCTGGGCAACAGAGTGAGACCCTGTCTCAAAAAAAAAAAAAAAAAAAAGAGAAGAATAAAGGAAAGCCAGAAATATCAGCCAGTGTTTTCAGCTTCACTCTCACAAATCTCTGTGCAGACATCGTGGTGACAGAGGTCAAGTCCATCTCTGTTCAGCTGGGGCAGAGGAGCAGGTGTGCGCTCACCTCCTCTCACTGCTACTTTTATGTAGATTCCTCAGCTAACCCAGTAAGCCCTGGAGGCCACCTCCATGAATAGTTGGGTATTTAAAGACCTTTTACTACCAAATAAAGACAAAAACAGCGAGTAACAGTGAGCTTTATTTTCATGTCACCGCTCTAGGTTCATTCACCTGTTGCCAACAACATGAGGGAGTTTCTCCACAGCCCTTGATTCCTGAATTGTTCAACAAATCAACAGTCACCAATACATTGACTTAAGGAGTAAACAAGCAGCTTTTCTCTACACACCACCGGGCACCCCAGGAAGGCGCAGCTCCCTGCTCCACGACCGCCTCTTGGTGCCTGTATCCAGCAGAAGGACCCAGCAGGAGGCTGAATCCAAGCACTGCTCTCAGGCCACTCTATCCTCATCCCTGGATCCTCCAGGGAACAAGATAAAAAAAAAAAAATCCTGTTTTCCTGCTTTCCAAAATGGAGGGCCTTAACATCAACCAAAGTTACAAAACAAAAACAAAACACAGGAGCTAGCTGGGCGCGGTGGCTCACACCCGTGGTCCCAACATTTTGGGAGACCAAGGTGGGAGGAATGCTTGAGTTGTAGGAGTTCAAACCAGCCTGGCAAATATGGCAAGACCCCATCTCTCTAAAAAGTAAACAAAAATCAGCCGAGCATCATATCACATGCCTGTAGTCCCAGCTACTCTGGAGGCTGAGATGAAGACTGCTTGAGCCAGGGAGGGCAAGGCTGCCGTGAGCCAAGATCACACCACCACACCCTAGCCAGGGAGACAGAGCAAGACTCTCTCTCAAAACAAACAACCAAAAAAAAAAAAAAAACCCACATCATCTGCAAAGCTATGTTGGGAGCACAGCCATTTCCCATAGGCTTTCTTTTTCCTTGCCCCATTGCCTTCCGGGAAGTTTTCCCCTTACCCATCATCACGATTTTTCCCATCTTTCACGATGGTGCAATTCAACAGGATGAATTAACTGAACTAGAAAAGGATAAAAAAAATCTAACCCTATGAAAACTCTGCCTTCAACATAACTCCAGGGAGACGAATATTATACTACTGGCACCTCTGACCCACACTATCCTCTGTACCCCGTCCCTGCCCACATCCTCCTTTCTGGACACTTAGACGTCAGGTTCCCCAAGCGGCAAGGTTCCGTGAGGAGCACCACCAGCTCCTTAGGAGAACTGGCACTGCTCTGGCTCCTCTGACAACTGGGGCTGGCACTGCGGGCACCACCAGGTGAGCCTCTGTAACCCATCTTCGGGCCCAAACGCCTCCTTCATGACCTGGTGGCCAGCAGGGCACTGTTCTTTCTGGTAGACCTGTGTGTGCTGCGGTCTGCCTTGGAACTTGCCCTGCAGCCAGGCTGTACTGAACTCCACCACGTGATCCACCAGGACCTCCCGACGCGAGGCACTCAGGACTGAACCGAGAGAAAGGGGATGGATCCCAGCTCTGTACAAGGCTTCATTCTTAATGATGTTCCCTGAAATAAAGCGGGGGAAGGTAAGGGAAGGACAAAGGACACATGGCATGATGAAACCACCCACAAAGTTAACAAGGCAGAAATCAGCTCTTCCATGTCCTGGGGGACCCTAGACGGGTCTGCGATCTCTGACTCCATTTCTCTGTCTGTAAAATGGAGTTGACAATTCCTACCTTTAAGGTTGCTGTGAAGATGAAATGAAACTCATGCATGGCCCGTCATGGCAAACAGGCTATCAAAAACGGATCGGGCATCTGACTGCCTGCACTTGAATCGCAGCTCAAGCAGATCCTACCCACGTGACCCTGACAAGCTCCTCAGCCTCAATTAGCTGCAGTTTCCTTATCTGTAAGGCAGGGATGGCTTACCTGGTTTTTGTGAGCATTAAATGAGAATTCACCAAAAGACGCTGAGCACAGTGGCTGGTATGTAGAGTACTCAATAAGTATTAACTGTTGTTATTATTTAAAATGTTGGCCTGGCGCATTCCTGTAATCCCAGCACTTTAGGAGGCAGAGGCGGGTGAATCACTTGAGGCCAGGAGTTCAAGATCAGCCTGGACAACATGGTGAAACCCCATCTCTACCAAAAATACAAAAATTAGCCAGGCATGGTGGCACCTGCCTGTAATCGCAGCTACTCAGGTGGCTGAGGTAGGAGACTAGCTTAAACCTGGGAGGTGGGGCTTGCAGTAATCTGAGATTGTGCCACTGCACTCCAGCCTGGGCAACATGGCAAGACCCTGTCTCAAAAAAAATTTTTTTTTAAATTAAAAACAAAATGTCAAGCATAGCTAGGCACAGTGGCACACGCCTGTAATCCCAGCACTTTGGGAGGCAGAGGCAGGAGGATCATTTAAGCCCACAAGTTCAAGACCAGCCTGGGCAACACAGTGAGAGCTTCTTGTCTCTACAAAAATTTTAAAAATTAGTGAGGCGTGATGTCATGCACCTGTAGTCTCACCTACTCAGGAGGCTAAGGTGGGAGGATCGCTTGAGCCACAGAGGTTGAGGCTGCAGTGGGTTGTGATTGTGCCACTGCACTCTGGCCTGGGTGACAGAGAGAGACCCTGTGTCAAAAAATAAAATAAATGAAATACCAAGCATAATGCTTGTTATGTAGAAAGTGTTTCGGGAGCTGTTATCTTATTATTTTTCTACTCCTGCCTCATTCTCTGTGAAGCCAGCCTCGATCCCTCCTTCCAGAATCAGTAACTCTCTTGGGAATGTTCCAACCATACTCTTTCAGCTCCACCAGGCATTCATTGCAATCTTTAGTAACCCACAGTGGACTGAGTCCATGCTTGCTGGGCCATTATACAATGATCTCCTTAAGGAGAGGTGGTGAGCGTGACAGAGCTCAAGTGAGTGTCTGTGTGTTTGGAGTGAGTGGGTGAAGGAAATTCCTGCTGTTTCCAAGAGCCTCATAGTCACACTCCTCATTACACACATCAGTCTCTCCAGAATTCATTGACAAAACACCTGGATTCACATCTCAGCTGCACCATTTACTAGCGATGTGTTCTCTGCTTCAGTTTCCTCATCTGAAGGAAGGGAAAAGCACTATAACCATCCTACAGGACAGCAGTAAGGACAAGAACATGTGCCTGGCACATCAGAGCTGCTTGGAAAACACTGGCCGTTATTAATTACTACTGTTACTGTTAGCTCTTGCCATATATACCCAAAAAGCCACTTCCGACGGCTCTTCGCTCCTGAGTGCACAGGGACTCCCATGGTCCTAACATGAAAATGCAAGGCAAGTGCCTGCTGTACCACCTGGCCTCCTCCGACCCTCGTGAAGGGTGGTGAGCAGGCAGCAAGGCCACATGTTGGATATGGAGATGACTCTGTCACCACCAACCTGCCTGATTGCTTCAGCAACCAATTTTGGGCACAATTATTCCCCTACTGTGAGTAATAAGAACGCCACGCTGTCATAGTCCCGCTAATTAGCTGTTATATGTATTTTTGAAATTGTTCAGCACTTCTCCCTATCCTGAAATGCTCACAGTTTCACTGCTCACGCCACTGCAATAGAGAGAGGGAAACAGCTTCTTCACTCGCGTCGCATAAGAACCCAGTGTAGACTGAGTCATCTCTGTGCCCTGGCCAGGGCAGGAAGCTCCATCCACCCAAGAGCAGCATCCCTTAGAACACGCGCTCACTGCTCTGTTAGCAGCCTGCACGACTTCAGTTCCTACAGACACAGGTCAGGCACCTCCTACGTGCAGGCGCTGCACTGTGCAGTGGAGGGTACAGAGGTGCCGGAGACATGACCCCACCCTTTAGGAGGTGATGCTCCAACGCTGCTGGCAGAGGGCTCACAACTGATAACACAGTTAGGGTGTGGATTCTGAAGCAGAGAGACAAGTTAAAAACTGCCTGATCTAATGCCCTCAGTCTAAAAACAAGGGAAGTAAAAGAAAGGAGATTGAGCAAGTGGCACCTCAAAACCAACAGCACTGGCACAACTAGGGTGGCCCTCAGGTCTTCTGACTCCCACAGGACCGACTTTTCCATGAAGCAACTCTGTGGACTCACCCCTTTCCCATGAGTCATACCTAGCCCTGAGAAGTATCTCTGGTCCAGCAGTGTATAGCAGACAGGCTGAGCCTGGCCTAGAGCTTCTAAGGCTTGTCCTCGATGGAACTTCTCAGACAGGATGTCACAGGTGGGTGTGACCACTGGGGAAGAGCTCCAAGACAACTGACAATTATAAAATGCCAGGAAGCCACCACCACCAAAGTGCAGGACCAACCTGGGAAGAAAGAACAGGTCATATGTACACATCGTTACCACAGTATAGTCAGAGCACACCCTGTGGCTGGGTCATACACACATACACACATCCCCACATCGTTACCACAACATAGAGCACACTCTGTGGCTGGATCATACACACATACAGACATCCCCACATCGTTACCACAGTATAGTCAGAGCACACTCTGTGGCTGGATCATGCACACATACACACATCCCCACATCATTACCACAACATAGTCAGAGGACACTCTGTGGCTGGATCATACACACATACACACATCCCCACATCGTTACCACAACATAGAGCACACTCTGTGGCTGGATCATACACACATACACACATCCCCACATCGTTACAATATAGTCCAAGCACACTCTGTGGCTGGATCATACACACATACACACATCCCCACATCGTTACCACAACGTAGTCAGAGCACACTCTGTGGCTGGATCATACACACATACAGACATCCCTGACTTACAATGGTTCACTTTTAATTTTTGATTTTATAATGGTACAAAATCAATGCACACTCAGTAAAAGCCATACTTTGAGTACCTATAAAACCTTCATTTTCAGTACAGCATTCAATAAATTACGTGAGATATTCAACATTTTATAGAACAAGCTTTGTGTTAGATGATTTTGCCCAACTGTAGGCTAATGTAATTGTTCTGAGCACATATAAGGTAGGTTAGGCTAAGCCCAGATGTTTGGTAGGCTAGGCATATTAAATGCTTTTTTGACTTATAATGTGTTTTTTTTGAGATGGAGTTTCATTCTTGTCACCCAAGCGGGAGTGCAGTGGCACTATCTTGGCTCACTGCAATCTCTTCCTCCCAGGTTCAAGCGATTCTCCTGCCTCAGCCTCCCGAGTAGCTGGGATTACAGGTGCATACCACCACACCTGGCTAACTTTTTGTACTTTTAGTAGAGATGGGGGTTTCATCATGTTGGCCAGGCTGGTCTCGAACTCCTGACGTCAGGTGATCCACCTGCCTCGGCCTCGTAAAGTGCTGGGATTACAGGTGTGAGCCACCACACCCAACCTAATATTTTCAATACTCCATATACCCTTTCCATATAGAAAGGATATATAAAGCTAATTTTATTTATTTATTTATTTGGAAATAGGGTCTTGCTCTGTTGCCCAGGCTGGAGTATAGTGGCACAATCACAGCTCACTGCAGTCTCAACCTCCCTGGCTCAAACTACCCTCCCACTTCAGCCTCCCAAGTAACTGGGACTACAGGTATGCACCCCCACACCCGGTTAATTTTATTTTATTTTTTTGTACAAACAGGGTCTTCACTATGTTGCCCAGGCTAGTCTCTTACTCCTGGGCTCAAGTGATCCTCCTGTCTCAGCCTCCCAAAGTGCTGGGATTACAGACAGGAGTCAGTATTATACCTGGCAAGCTAATAGTATTTATTTCAAAGACCAACAAAGTAGATAAACTCAGGCCAGCCTATTAAAGAAAAAAGAGACAAAGCAAAGTAAACATAAAACAGGTACATGAGAAAAGAGACCTAACCAGGTAAAAAGAGATTTAAAAATAATGGCATGATACACATTCACTCTACGGCACTATATCTGAAAACCTAGGGGTGAGCCTCCTTCGGGGAGCACATTTCAATGCCTCCAGCTGGTGACTAATCCAGGACTCAGCAAAGGGCAGGCTCCTGATGATGACAGGTTTGCTGGGGGTTCTAAGGAAAGTTTCCTCATCTGAACTTCTAAAAATGATCTGCTCTTCTTCTGGATTTTTTGGTGTGAATAAAATCCTGGAGCTGCAGTAGCCTCTTGCTGCTGGTCTAAGGAGAAAACCAATGCGTGGAAAGTGCAAAGCCAGGAGAATCACAAAAACAGGAAGCCAGAACCTTGGAACGGCAGCCCCAAAGCCCACCCTCCTTCTGAACTTCCAGTCATGTGAGCCCAAAATCTCCAGACCACAGAAGCTACTCCGAGTTATTTTTACAGCCCATAGCATCCTATGGTACCTACGTCAGGCCACACAAATAAAGACTACACTTCTAAACATTTTTACAAGTTATAAAACTTCAGAAAATAGAAGGCATGTGACTTTCTCTGGGGGCAGAAGGGGCCTTTTTTTAGCAAAAGGGGAAACCTACAAGCAACCAAGAAAAATACCCACCGTTGATGATATAAAAATTTAAAATCCCAAATGCCAAGAGACATCATAAGCACAATCAAAGGACAGAGGACAGACTTGAAACAATACTGGCAACACATGTCACAAAAACAAACAGACTTTCTGTGCAAAAGCTTCATTACATTGATAAGAAGTACACAAACGACCTAACATTCATGAGATTTCAGCTCAGCTAGCACTTTCCTAAGGCCAGAAAAATGTACAGCCCTAAGAATATGCATTCCCTCTGACCAGCAATTACTCCTCTGGGAATTGACACTGAGGACATATCCTAAACCTAGATAGAGTCTTATGCATAAAATGTTGATCTCAACATTCATAGATTATAAAAACTGGGGCCAAGCATGGTGGCTCACGCCTGTAATCCCAGCACTTTGGGAGGCGGAGGTAGGCGATCGCTTGAGGCCAGGAGTTCCAGACCAGCCAGCCTGTCCAACATGGTGAAACCCCGTCTCTATTAAAAATACAAAAGTTAGCCGGTGTGGTGGCACGCACCTGTAGTCCCAGCTCCTCCGAGGCTAAGGCAGGAGAATTGGTTGAACCTGGGAGGCAGAGGTTGCAGTGAGGCGAGATCGTGCCACTGCACTCCAGCCTGGGCCAACAGAGCAAGACTCCGTCTCAAAACAAAGCAAAAAAACTCATCAAGCTGAATACTTAAGATCTGCATTCTACTGAATGTTAATTATATCTCAATAAAAAATAAACACACAAACAATATACTTAAAATAAAACTGGGAAAATCTTCTCCCTAAATTCAAAGCACACTAGTCAGGAGTCAGGCAATAAAATGTTCTTCAGGGACAGTCCCCCCTCAAGTGCCACATTTGCTGGGAAAATTCTCCCCTTCTCCCAGCCACCTCTTGGTGCACAACCCTCTCCTGCATGCAGACCACAGTCTACTTCCTATCACAGGTAGATACAGAGGTGGCCTCTCTCCCCAAGACAGCAGGGCCCTGGGGGGCAGACTGGACGTCCTCAGTATGTCCCCACTGCTGAAGTCCCAAACCCCACCAAGCAGGGCCCTATGACTATCAGAGCCCACGAAAATCAGATGGCCACACCATTACCTCGGGGAAGGGTCCCTCCAGTCCCCCCTCTTGTTGGCTTTCTTGGCTCTGGAGAAATCGTTCACCCAAACGCTGCCAAACAAACCAAAGCTGACACGCAGCCACCTCCCAGCATCTCCTGCAGGGGCGTCTCTCTCCAAATACTCAGAATCATCCTCGCCCTGGGGGACGAGCTCTGCAGACCGTGAGGATCCATCAAGGGTCTTCTGCCCGCTGGGCTCCCCGACCTGCTTTGGGTCCGCAGCCCCTTCCTTCTGCACTTCTTTTTGTGGAGGCTCTGGTGTTGGGCTGCTGCCAGGGGGCCCCATTTCTTCATCTAGATCAAATCTAAGGAATAATTTCTTTCCATGGACCTAGAAAAAATGAACAGAGATCCAAGCCTTACAGACCCAGAGAGGGGAACTGGGGAATGCGGATATTTATCCTATTGCAAAGGTCTTCCTTCTCACCCCTCCTGGGGGGCCTTCCCAAATGAAGTCTTTGGACTCTGCCTTTTGCTCTTTTGCTCCAGTGGTGTGAGCAGTTCGCATGTGGTTTTCAAAGTGACTGGGAGCAAGGAGACTTAGTTGGCAGTGAAACACACCCATGCAAGATGGCAAGGCCACCCTGGAATACCTGAAGGGAATCGCTCCCAATTTTTTCATGCAGTAGCTAAGAAATGAACATAAGTTGTCATTCCTTCATTCCATTCGTAATACATTTTCTATGCCAGAAATAAGCGGTGCGTGGGAATGCACACATACAGAGCAGCTAAAGACAACACCCTGTGAAACTGGGTACCCCTCGCTACCCCCTCCACCAGCATATTGGACTTGATAAGGAAACTGTAATCAATAAAAATTAGATACTGAAACAAAAATTGATCAGTGAATCAGATCACCACTCTAAAAAGTATAAGGCAAAGGACCCACCTCATCTCACTGAAAATGATTTCAGTAGAAGAAAATAAATATAGAAAATGTGTGTTAAAGGATGTTCTGCTGTCTTTTTTTTTTTTTTTTTTTTTTCAGATGGAGTCTCGCCTAGACTGGAGTGTAGTGGCACCATCTTGGCTCACTGCAGCCTCCATCTCCTGGGTTCAAGTGATTCTCTTGCCTCAGCTTCCCAAGTAGCTGGGACTGTAGGTGCACACCACCACCCCCAGCTAATTTTTGTATATTTAGCAGAGACCACGTCTCACCACGTTAGCAAGGCTGGTCTCGAACTCCTGACCTCAAGCGATCTGCCCGTCTTGGCCTCCCAAAGTGTTGGGATTCCAGGCATGAGCCACCATGCCTGGGCCCTTGCTTTGACTTTATTTTCATATTGCACCTCCTGATATGCAATATGTAGGCCTAGATTCCAGGATGAGTCAGTTCTACACAGCCTGAAATTCAGGCAGTCTTTCAAGGAGTATAAACCAAAATATCTGGCATTAATACTGGAAATGCCTGTGTTACTTTCTTGACCACTACAGGTCCGTGCTTAAAGATCACTGTTCTGGTATGATCTTTAACTTGTTAATTAGTACACAAATTAATCTTGAAGTCCTCCACCCAAAAGAGCATTACCTTTCGAAATAATCCCAGAATAGCTTATCTGTAAATCTGAGCACAGATTGTTATCTGCCACATATTAGAAATGGTTTAACTGACCTACATAAAAAAAAAAAAAAAAAAAACTGAGCAAGGATTTAAGTGGGCATAATAGAATTTGCTGCAGAAAATATTTCTTGGTATAAACTCACCAATGTTGATATAATTCTGATGAAAATAACTGTCAAATGCCCATCATGAACAAAACATTTACTAGGTCAAAAATGTCTAGGTCAGGATGTCCTCATACCAACTATGGCAATTTCTGCTGTCCCTCTTTTGGGTTCCTGTGACACTGCAGCCACTTCAATTCACTAATCATTAATTAAGCTTATTCAATGTGCCTGGCAGTGTGCTAGGCTCCAAGGGCAAACAGATGAATAAGGCTCTGCAATGCTTTCAATGTGTTCCTCAAAAAGTATGTGTTGGAAACTTAATCCCCAATGGAACAGTGGTAAGAGATGGCAACTTTGAGATTAGGCCATAGAGCTCTGGCCTCCTGAATGGAATAATGCCAATTGCAAATGACACGGCAAGATGCCAATGCCATGCCCTTGGACTTTCCAGGCTCCAGAACTGTGAGCTAAATAGACTTACATTGCTTATAAATTATGCAGTCTCAAATATTCTGTAATAGCAGCAAAATTAGATTACAACAATCTCCAATCTTCCCTTATCTATAACATGGGTGAACTTTGAGGACTTTATACTAAGTGAAATAAGCCAGTCAAAAAAACTCCAAATACTGTATAATTCCACTGATATGAGGTATCTGGGGAAGTAAAATTCATCGAGACAGAAAGTAGAAAGGTGATTGCCAGGGGCTGCAGGGAGGGAGGAAAGGGGGAGTTAGCGTTCAACAGGTATGGAGTCTCAGCTTGGGGAGATAAAAAAGTTCAGGGAAACTGTTAGACAACGTGAATACACTTAACATGACTGAACTATATACTTTAAAATGGTTAAGACAGTAAAGTTTGTTATGTGTTTTTCATCACAATTTTAAAAATTTTTAAAAGGCGGTGGGGGTGGGAGGGGGACAACTGTGAAAACAGATACTACAAGAGCACAGAGAAAAGTGTGGCTAGGCCAGGCACAGTGGCTCATGCCTGTAATCCCTGCACTTTGGGAGGCTGAGACGAGAGGATTGCTTGAGCCCAGGAGATCGAGACCAGCCTGGGTAACAAAGTGAAACGCCCATCTGTACAAAAAAAAAAGAAAAGAAAAGTGTGGGTAGAAGCAGACGTAGCACACGGAAGAAGAGTCTACATGATGAGGGGAAGCTGGCCGTTACCTGGGCTGGGCTTCACAAGAAGAGTGGAGGGCAGAGGAGACAGGGTGTGCCCAGCTGAGGGGACATACCTGAAGGCAGAGGTGGAAACCCTACACTGGAACAGGGGCTCCTGGTCAGACACAGCAGCCAGGGCGTGCGCTGTTAGCACTACTCCCAACAAACCCGCTATAGGAACCAAAGAGCTCTCAACTCTCAGGACCAAGAGGAGGAGCAGACAGGAGATACAAAGTCCCCCCAGAAGATGAGGAACAGGCACAGGAAGGGTAACTGATGAGGGAGAGCAGAGACCCCTGCTGCAGCAGAGGGGAGCCCCAAGGAAGAGAGAACCCAGGGGACCTACCCATCGTGACCCCAGGTGACCTGGAGATGGGGAGGCCCCAGGTGCTGTGGCAAGAGGTTAAAAATGGAAGGATTGGTCCTCATACACTGCTGGTGGGATGATAAAATGGTGCAGCTGCCTTGGAAAACACTACAGAAGACACTAAAAAAGTTCAACATACTATATGGTCCAGCAATTCCACTCCTAGGAATACTCTCAAGAGAAATGGAAACATACGTCTACACCAATACTTGCATATGAATGCCCACAGCAGCATTATCCATAGAAGTCAAAGAGTTGAAACAATCCGAGTGTCCAACAACTGATGACTGGACATCACTGACCATAAAATGTGTGATATGGTTTGGCTGTGTCTCCACCCAAATCTCATCTTGAATTTTAGCTCCCATAATTCCCACGTGTTGTGGGGGGGACCCGGTGGGAGATAACTGAATCATGGGGATGGGTTTTTTCCCATGCTGTTCCCACAACAGTAAGTCTCACAAGATCTGATGGTTTTATAAAGGGCAGTTCCCCTGCACATGCTCTTTCTTGCCTGCTGCCATGTAAGACATGCCTTTGCTTCTCCTTTGCCTTCCACCATGATTATGAGGACTCCCCAGACATGTGGAATTGTGAGTCCACTAAACCTCTTCCCTTTATAAATTACCAAGTCTTGGTTATGTCTTTATCAGCAGCATGAGAACAGACTAATACTGTAAACTGGTATTGGGAGGGGGGCATTGCTGTAAAGACATCTAAAAATGCGGAAGCAACTTTGGAACTGGGTAACAGGCAGAGGTTGAAACAGTCTGGAGGGCTCAGAAGAAGACAGGAAAATGTGGGAAAGTTTGGAACTTCCTAGATACTTGTTGAATGGCTTTGATCAAAATGCTGATAGTGATATGGACAATAAGGTACAGGCTGAAGTGGTCTCAGATGGAGATGAGGAACTTGCTGGGAACTAGAGTAAAGGTGATTCTTGCTGTGCTAAGAGACTGGTGGCATTTTGCCCCTGCCCTAGAGATCTATGGAAATTTGAACTTGAGAGACATGATTATGGCATCTGGTGAAAGAAATTTCTAAGTGGCAAAGCATTCAAGAGGAAGCAGAGCACAGAAGTTTGAAAAATTTGCAGCCTGATGATGCAGTAGAAAAGAAAAACCCATTTTCTGGGGAGAAATTCAAGCTGGCTGCAGAAATTTGCATAAGTAACTAGGAGTCAAATGCTAACCACCAAGCCAATAAGGAAAATGTCTCCAGAGCATGTCAGAGACCTTCACAGCAGCCCCTCCCATCACAGGTCCAGACACCTAGAAGGAAAAAATGGTTTCCTGGGCCAGATCCAGGGCCCCCTCTGCTGTGTGCAGCCTAGGGACTTGGTGCCCTGTGTCCTAGCCCCTCCAGCCATGGCTAAAAAGCGCCAATGTACAACCCAGGCTGCTGCTTCAGAGGGTACAAGCCCCAAGCCTTGGCGGTTCACATGTGGTGTTGAGCCTGCAGGTGCACAGAAGTTAAGAATGGAGGTTTGGAAACCTCCACCTAGATTTCTGAGGATGTATAGAAACAACGGGATGTCCAGGCAGAGGTGTGCTGCAGGGGCAGAGCCCTCATTGAGAACCTCTGCTAGGGCAGTGCAGAAGGAAAAGACGGGGTTAGAGCCCCAAGGCAGAGTTCCCACTGGGGCACTGCCTAGTAGAGCTGTGAGAAGAGGGCCACTGTCCTCCAGACCCCAGAATGGTAGATCTACTGACAGCTTGCACCCTGCCCTGGAAAACACACAGACACTCAATGCCAGCCTGTGAAAGCAGCCAGGATGACGGACTGTACCCTACCAAAGCCACAGAGGCAGAGCTGCCCAAGGCCGTGGGAGTCTACCTCTTGCATCAGCGTGCCCTGGATGAGAGACATGGAGTCAAAGATCATTTTGGAGCTTTAAGATTTGACTGCCTCACTGGATTTCAGACTTGCATGGGGCCTGTAGCCCCTTCGTTTTGGCCAATTTCTCCCATTTGAAACAGGTGTATTTACCCAATGCCTGTACCCCCATTGTATCTAGGAAGTAACTAACTTGCTTTTGATTTTACAGGCTCATAGGTGGAAGCAACCTGCCTTGTCTCAGATGAGACTTTGGACTGTGGCCTATTAAATTAATGCTGAAATGAATTAAGACTTTTGGGGACTGTTGGGAAGGCATGATTGGTTTTGAAATGTGAGGACTTGTGCTTTGGAAGGGCCTGGGGGTGGAATAATATAACTCCCATGATTCCCATGTGTTATGGGACGGACCTGGTGGGAGGTACCCAGTGGGAGGTAATTGAATCATGGGGGCTGTTCTCGTGATAGTAAATAAGTCTCAAGAGATCTGATGGGTTTTTTGTTGTTGTTGTTTTTCAGATGGAGTCTCACTCTGTTGCTGAGGCTGGAGCGCAGGTGCGATCTCAGCTCACTGCAACCTCTGTCTCCTGGGTTCAAGCAATTCTCCTGCCTCAGCCTCCCAAGTAGCTGGGATTACAGGCGCCCACCACCATGCCCAGCTAATTTGTGCATCTTTAGTAGAGATGGGGTTTAACATGTTGGCCAGGCTGGTCTCAAACTCCTGACCTCAGGCGACCTGCCCACCTCTGCCTCCCAAAGTGCTGGGATTACAGGCATGAGCCACTGCACCTGGCCTGACGGTTTTATAAATGGTAATTCCCCTGCACAAGCTCTCTTGCCTTCCACCATGTAGGATGTGCCTTTGTTTCCCCTTCGCCTACTGCCATAATTGCGAGGCCTCCCCAGCCATGCAGAACTGTGAGTCCATTAAACCTCTTTCCTTCATAAATTACCCAGTCTTGGAAGGGGAGAGTAGAAGGAGCTTGGTTTCCAATGTTGCTCCTATACCACCCTGGACTGTTCCATTACTGGAGGAGGAGAAAACCATGAGCTAGAGTAGCCATTTTTCTGAGTCTGTTATGAGTAATCCAACACAACTCCTATATAGAAAATGGAGAGCTGACAAGAAAAGGATGTGCCAGACAAACAGATGGCACAGAGTGCAGCCAAGCTCCCTCCTGCCTCATCAACTCACCCTGCTCACTCCACCTCCATCGGCCCGCCTGTAACTGCTTCTCAAGCCTGAAATGCCCTTTCCTCCCTCTTCAGTCCACTGAAATCCTCCAGCCTTCAAGGCCCAACTCAAGTCCTACCTCCTGCACATCTTCTCCAGGCCACCGGGACCTCTTCCTGTCAGGGTCATTACCTGGGCCTTTATGATGTGCTCTGCCCTCCCCATTTAGCATAGCTTAATAGTGTGGCCTGTGTCGATACAAGCCGTATGTTCTCAATTCAGTTCTAAGTTCCTAGGGTCAGGGACCCGCCGACAGGGAGAAGCAGGGAAGGGCGCTCACTTCAAAGCACTGCCAGGCAGCCCCGAAGGTTCCCTGCAACCTTAGGTTCCCTGCAACATGGTTTTCTGCTTGGTTTACTGGGAAAGCAGCTCCCAGTCCCGTCTACGGGTTCCTTCACCGCACATCCATCTGCCCACCCATCCACTTGGGAAATATTCTCTTACAGCCAGCTCTGTGGCAGACACCCTGGTAAGTGCTGGGGATCCAGAGACAAGAGACAATTCTGCCCCTGCAAACCTCGAAGGACAGTGTGTACAAAGAGGCCACAGTCCTGGAGGCCATGGGACCCCGTGCTCTCACCTGTTCCTTGCCAGCCACCTGAGCTTGGGCTAAGTACTCCCTTCTCCGAGCCTCAGTCTCCAAAGGAATCAACTATGGGTACAGGGCTACAGGATCTCTTCCAGTTCTAACTAACAACGGTTTTAAAACCTCTGTGTGTGTGTGTTGCGGGGGTGGGGGGTGAGGGCAAGATGGAAGAAAGGGAACTAGTACTTATGGAGTACCCGTTATGTGCCAGGCATAAACTCTACTTAAAACAACAACTTTAAGAGGTCAATGGCTTATCTCCATTCTACAATAGAAGAAAGAGCTATGAGATGAACATGCTTAAGAGCACACGGCTAAGCAGCAGCAGAGCGCGTGAGCTCATCCACAGGCACCACCCGTGCTTCCTACGTGCCGGCACTCAGCTAAGTGCTGGGGGCACAATACTGGCGAGGAGCAGCCCCTGCCCTCTGCATCTGTCCTCTCCCCTCAACAAGCAGAACAACTCAGTAAAAAGGGAAGAACAGGAGGAAGTACATGATGTCCTGGAAGCACAGAGATGGAGTCTCCTTCCCACCTAAAGCAGACAGGGCAGGCTTCTCTGAGGATGCAATGGCCAAGTGGAAGCTGGAAGACCAGGAATTACCATTATAAATTGAGGGAACAGGGGCAGAGTTGGGAGAAAAAGGAAGAAGTGCTTGAGCAGGGGGCAGCAAGTGAAAACCACGGACAGAAACACTAAGAAGAGCCAAAGGCAGTTTCATCGATCAGAAGACAGGTTTGGGGCAGGATAAGAAGGCTAGAGAGGGAGGCAGTGGTGAGAAAACAGGGAGCTCCGTGAGCCCCTGGAAGGATGAGCTGGTTTGAACCTAGATCTGAAGGTTCTGCTCTTTTCTTTTCTTTTTTTTGAGACGGAGTCTCACTCTGTCACCCAGGCTGGAGTGCAGTAGCACAATCTCATCTCACTGCAATCTCGGCCTCCCGGGTTCAAGCAATTCTCCTGCCTCAGCTTCCCGAGCAGCTGGGATTACAGGCGCCCACCACCACACCCAGCCAATTTTTGCATTTTTAGTAGAGACGGGGTTTCATCATGTTAGCCAGGCTGGTCTTGAACTCCTGACCTAGTGATCCACCCGCCTCGGCCTCCCAAAGTGCTGGGATTACAGGTGCGAGCCACCGTGCCCAGCCGGTTCTGCTCTGTCCTTAATTCTCCACTGGCTCAGGGGAATAGAACACAGTTCCCAGCCAAAGGTGCCCATCAGCTGCGGCCGGAGAGAATAGGAGCACTCCAGACCCTCTGAATCGGGGTCTCCAGCTCATCCACACGTGTTCTTTACAGTTCTACAGTCCACAGCGATATCTACTTCTGGCTGAGACACGTGAGACTGAAAGAGGGAGCTGCATGGAGTCCGAGCTTGGTGGTTCCGGACTCAGGGAAGTGACACCCTGAGACATATGGGGATAGATCCTAGGGGAGGCGCAGGATGGGCGACAGAGCCAACCCTTCAGAGGAGTATTACCTCACCTGGGTGTCCTGGAGCCACAGAGACTGCAGGCTGGCGGGCTGTAGCTTCTTACTGCTGCCCCCTGTCTTGACCACCTGCTGACCCACAAAGGGGGAGACCAAATGGTGAAATTTCCTCACCAACGGCCCTTCTGGCATCCCTGTGGGCAGAAATGGGCAAAAGAGGCCACCGACTTAGCTCATTTATCTCTAGCATCTTTAACAGGTGCCAAGCATCCTCCATGCCGCCATTTTTGCTGCCAACTAACTTTAAGAGCAAGCATGGCCAAAAAGGGAGTGTGGCTGGGAGGCGGTCAGATCATAGAGAAGAGCAGCTGTGGCAGGGTGTGGGAAACGTAGCAGGAAAGGCAGCCCCTCTTACCTTTCTTCATGCAGCAAACACTTATTAAGCACCAACAGTGTGCTAGGCAGCACATCATGGGCACCATCCACTTTATTCCTGAGCGGCACCTGCCACACCAGGAGCTGGCCTTTGTTACTTTTTGCCTGGACTGTGAACCTCTAACACCTCCTGACTTTCTCTGTCCCCCTGCTCCCGCTCTCAAAAAACAGCCATTCTGACCCACTGCTGCCGACTTATTTCCCACTTTTGAAGGGACCAGATGCCGCCCTCCAGGACCGCCGACCACTAGCGTGGGGGAGGTGTGCATGAAACGACCAACACGCAGACAGAGCTCAGAATCATAAGTGAGACCCCCAGCCACGTAGGTAAGCCCGGCATAGCTACAGACAGTTATCTCTGATCCCCGAGAAACAGCTGTGGTTCTGTTCTAATCACCACGCAGGGCTCCCAGGGCCACCTCTACTCTCCCTGCCCCCAAATCATCCCAGTCCACTGACAGCCGCCTACATGAGGCAGTCTGAGTGGTGTACACCCGGGCTGTTCGGGCAGAGGAGACTCCCAGCCTCACCCGGGGCAGCTGCCTAACCACCTGTTCCTGCACCAGCCTCTCTATAAGTTATGATGAAAATCGAAAAGAACTAAGTAGATATCGGGCAGGGGGTAGCTATTATATTTCAGTGATTCTAAAAAACATTTTAGAATACTTTTAAAATCTAAGAAATGGTGACGGCTCACAATCTCGGCATTCTCATATTCGGCAGCAGCACATTCAATAACGCGCATCTTACACTCGCTGGTGCCGATTCGCTGAGATGTACTATTTCCCCTCATCAGGCTTTCCAGACACTCCCCAGGGAATCCTGACAAAACCGCCAGGCTGGAAGGAGACGTGCCAAACGCTGCTGACCTTAACCAGTTGGATGCCTGATCCTCTTCTACGGGGAAGCTTCTGGAAAAGCCTTCATCTGAAATGCACCAAGTCCTGAAAATCTCCGGACACGTGGGCATGTTTCGTTTAGGGATTTTTATGGAGATGGACAGGTGGGAAGCAAGCCGCCTCTGCAACAGCCTTGAAAGATGAGACGCGGAAGGGACTTCGAAGAGTCGCTGAAGATGCCGCGCCCACCCTCCGGCCCTCCCTGCCCGGGGGCTACCGAGGAGCTCGAGGCTGGCGCTGCGCCAGCCAGGGAAGAGGAGGGGTTGTCTCCGCCGTTCTCTTCCGAGTGCCCGAGGTGGGGGGTCTAAGACCACTGCTTTCCCAACTCTGCCTCGGGGTGCGGGGAGAGGGGCGCAGACGCGGGTCTGAGGGTCAGTGGGGGCCTCCAGGCGTGGGCAGCACCTCCGCAGGCGGCTGAGACGGAGGAGGGCCCGGGGCCCGCCCTCCCTTCCTGTCCCCTCCCGACTTCTCCGCCAGGCCGCAGATCTACCGGAGGGCGGGCGGCTGCACTCACCGGCTCCGGGTGGGTGGCACGTCGGCCCGACCCAGCACCGCTACGCAGCCCGCACAGCCGCTCCAGCTGGGGGCGGAGATTTCCCGGCTCGGCGGCCCATGCGGCCTCCGTCCCCTTAGGGGACGCCCCTGTAGGTGGAGGCTGCGGGGCTCCTCCCCCAAGTGGGCGTGGACTCCGGCCTGGAGGGGGTGGCGGGGTGCGCGCAGGCGCAGGGCTCATTCCCTGGAAAGTGGGTCTAGGTCGAGGCTGCTCTTTTGTGGGTGGGCGAGGGGTTCCATCCCGGGGGTCGCTGGAGGCAGGGCTGCATTAGAGGGTCGCGAGTGAAAGCAGGGATGGAAGAAGGGTGCAGGCTGGGACTAACATTGGAGAGACGCTCTTGGAAACTTTTTTTTTTTGCGGGGGGAGATAGTCTCGCTGTGTCACCCAGGCTGGAGTGCAGTGGCGCGATCTCGGCTCACTGCAACCTCCGCCTCCTGGGCTTAAGCCATTCTCCTGCCTCAGCCTCCCGAGTAGCTGGGATTACTGGCGCCCGGCTAATTTTTGTATTTTTAGTAGAGACCGGGTTTCACCATGTTGGCCAGGCTGGTCTTGAACTCCTGATCTCAGGTGAGCCGCCCTCCTCGGCCTCCCAAAGTGGTGGGATTACAGGCGTGAGCCACCGCACCCGGCCCTTTTGGAACATTTCTTGTCTCAAGGAGACAGTTATAGGGAAAAGTCAATGGGTGTGTGAATGGGACAGCCTGGGTGTTCCCACAATGGCAAGCCTTTCTGTGGGTTCTGCTTGGCCTCCGAGCCTAATGAAGTCGGGTGCAAAGGAAACAGGTGTTCAAGACTCGTGAAATGTTGAACGGGTGGGATTTTTTTGCTTTCTATTATTTGAATTTTATTACTTGAATTTTTACTATAAGCAAATTTTGCTTAAAGTATTTGTGTATTAAATTTTTTATTTCATAGAATAAAAGAGATAAAACAATAGGCTGTTTAAAGATACATATGTTTTCTTGTCTTTAGTTCTCGAAGGAGGATGGGGAGCCAGCACTTTCCAGGAAGTTGGGAGGAAAGTCTGGGGAACTCCCCAGCAGGTGTTCAGGAAATAGGCTGGGGTGAAGTCACCATGGACCCTAGCTGAGGGGTCCCTGGGGAAGGACTTGGTCAGCACAGGGAAACAAGCCCAGCCCACCGTCAGAGACATGGTTGTGTCCTACTGATTGAGAGGGAGGTTACAAGTGGCCTTCCCACAGTGGTCACCTACTGAACAGGCTAGGGCAGGAGGTGAGGAGAGGGAGGCCTGGGGAGGCCTAGGGTATAGGGTCCTCATCTAGAAAGGCATCTGGAGGCAGAGGGGATGAGGTTGGAGGGCATGGGGTTTGCAGGAGGCATCCCTTGAAGAGCCTCTGGTCCCCCTCTTTCTATGTCCGGCCTTTTCTGGAGAATAACGACCCCCCCACCCCCAGGATGCCCCTGCTATAGGATCAGGCTCACCACAATGGTAGCTTCTGGGCCCCCTAGTTTCTCTTTCTGTAGAGTGGCTGAGCCGGGAGGGAAGCCGTAGCCACAGTCCTCGCCTTACCTGGTGGAATGAATGCCTGGTGCCTAAAGGGGTTCTTCTGAGGCTAAGGGGCTATGCAATTGAAAATCTCATGGTTCACAGCTTGGCTCTGTCATTGATTGTTATTGTTTATTGAGCGCGTACTATGTGCAAAACACTGTTGTGAGCTCTTTGCATATATTGCTTCATTATTAGTTGTGGGGATACAAGCAAGTCACAGTATCTCTGACTTCATTCATTAAATGGGATATCTATTAAATGGTATTATAGAAATATCACAAAGCCACGCTTCTCAAACTTCAATGTACCTATGAATCCCCTGGGAACCTTGTTTAAATGCAGATTCTAAGGTCTATACCAGGGCCCAAGATGTTGCCTTTCCAGCAAGCTGCTGGGTGACGCTGATGCTGTGGTCTAGGGGCCACATTTTTGTTTTGTTTTGTTTTCCGTGACATAGTTTCACTCTTGTTGCCCAGGCTGGAGTGCAACCCAGGCACGATCCCAGCTAACTGCAACCTCTGCCTCCTGGGTTCAAGGGATTCTCCCGCCTCAGCCTCCCAAGTACCTGGGATTACAGGCACGCACAAGCATGCCCAGCTAATTTTTGTATTTTTAGTAGAGACAGGGTTTCTCCATGTTGGCCAGGCTGGTCTCGAACTCCTAACCTAGGTGATCCTCCCTCCTTGGCCTCCCAAAGTGCTGGGATTACAGGTTTGAGCCACCGCGCCCGGCCCTAGGGGCTACATTTTGAGCAGCAAGAATTTAGAGCATCAGCTATTGGCAGTTGGTAGACACTCAACAAATTGAGTGAATGATTCAATTCATCCATGTTATGTGAATGATTAAATGAGATACTAGCTAAGAAACACACATAAACTGTAAGTATATGCAAGTGCTATGCAAGCATATGCAATCATCATTCTAAGACAAAAAGGCTGAATAATCTGCCTGGAAAAGGCCAGCCTAGAATAGTGACTCCACAGAGGAGTGGCTAGAAACCTGCTCCCATACCAGGCTGCCTGGGTCCACATCCCACCACTCAGCTGGGAGAGCCTGGGCAAGTAACTCACTCTTTCTGCATCTCAGTTTCTTCATCTGTAAATTATGACCTTACTGATTTATTTTCTTTCTTTCTTTCTCTTTCTCTTTTTCTTTCTTTCTTTCTTTCTTTCTTTCTTTCTTTCTTTCTTTCCTTCCTTCCTTCCTTCCTTCCTCCCTCCCTCCCTCCCTCCCACCCTTCCTTCCTTCTTTTCTTCCTTCTCTCTCTTCTTTCTTTTCTTTTTTTTTGACAGTCTCGCTCTGTCACCCAGGCCGGAGCACAGTGGTGCGATCTCGGCTCACTGCAACCTCCATCTCCTAGGTTCAAGTGATTCTCCTGCCTCTGCCTCCCGAGTAGCTGGGATTACAGGCGCCTCCCACCACACCCTGCTAATTCTTGTATTTTTAGTAGAGACAGGGTTTCACCATGTTGGCCAGGCTGGTCTCGAACTCCTGACCTCAGGTGATCTGCCCCCTCCTCGGGCTCCCAAAGTGCTGGGATTACAGGCCTGAGCCACTGCACCCGGCCTCTGTGGGATTTCTTGAAAGGATTCAGTTCCATCACTGCATTGGGTCTGGTGACTGCACTGGGTCTCCAGCACTGGATCTGGTGTATAGCATCACTAAACGTTTTAGAAAATATTATTTGTATTATTATTATTAGTAGTAGTAGTAGTAATATTTGTCTGCCTCCTGGATTGGGGCAACCCCCAAGCCCACTGGAGTGGGCCTCAGCTCCAAAAGGATGGGCGCCCAGCTTTCTAGGAGGCGCAGAATCAATTGCTCCCCCTTCCTTTGTGCCCCTGTTTTTTTTCCAACAGAGCTAGAGTTGTAATGCACATGAAAATAGATTAAAATACAGCCACCCCAAAGAATGCGAGGAAGGGAGTGAAAGAGAAAAATACTAGGATCCTGTAACGGATTGAGTTGCTGCTGAGAGTTTGGGGATTCTGAAGCACACGGTGAGGGTCCATGTGGCTCTACGGGCACCTCAGGAGCAGGGGCTGAGTGAGGTTCCGCAGGCTCTTCCAGTTGTCCCTTTTTGGGGGTATGTGGCCATGAACAGTAAGCCCTATTCCCCAATGTCTCTAGGTCTTTCTTTCATTACTTATAAGTTGGGAGAATTTGGAACCAAGGATTCTCCTCAACTCCTAGAAAGACACTGAAAGACTCTTCCTCTTGGACTGCCGTCTAAACCCAGACTGCGCAGGGCTTCCCATTTTGTAGATTTCCACTGTTTAGGAGACACAAGAGTGGGGTGTAAAAGCCCAGATTCTGGAGTGAAATAGATGTTGTTTGAACCCTGATTTCCACTTACTAGCTCTGTGACCTTCAACAAGTGACTAAAAATCCGTAGGCCATATCTTTTTTATGTGCAAAACGTGAGTGGGGGGATATGGAAGTGTTTCCTGCGGCTATAGAAAGCTGCTAGCAGCGTTTGACATGCAGTCATGTTCGATTAGCAGCAAGTGATTTTTGTTGGCAGAATTTCGGGGCTGCTGAGGGATTGACCGCTGGAAAACTCAGGCTGTAATGGAAGCTGAAAGGGAGAACACGTGCGCCCCCGCATGGTAGGCGCATTAACTGCAAGGGCAGTACCCTGGGTCGGTCCCATGGCCCTCCTAGTGAGGGTGGGCGGTCAGTGAATGTTGCTCTTCCTCACACCAGCTCTGTGGCTTTGGGCAAGTTCCCTTGACTAAGAGACAAAAGGATTTCAACCAGATGGTCTGGAGACCCGACATGATTTGTAAATGAGTCAGGCATGGTACCTCAATCTGGGCTTCCTTTCCTTAGCAGGGTTCAGTTTTCTTTGTTCCATTCAGTCTCTCCGGCCAGCTGTTGGAAACTTAGGGGTGCTAACTTCCCAGTCATTAGCAGCTTGTCTTCTGGGAGAAATTCAGTTTCCAAGGCTACTTTGAGGAACAATGCTCTTTGGATGTATGATTCTGGAATCATTTTTTTAAACCTCATTAACTGGGTCACAATGAAGACACTGCTTTCTATTTGAGACTCGAGACACCAATTTTTTTTTTTTTTTTGAGACAGAGTCTCGCACTGTTGCCCAGGTTGGAGTGCAATGGCATGATCTTGGCTCACTGCAACCTCCGCCTCCTGGGTTCAAACAATTCTCCTGCCTCGGCCTCCCGAGTAGCTGGGATTACAGGCGCCTGTCACCACGCCCAGCTAATTTTGTGTATTTTTAGTAGAGATGGGGTTCCGCCATGTTGGCCATGGATGGCCTCAAACTCCTGACCTCAGGTGATCCACCCACCTCAGCCTCCCGAGGTGCTGGGATTACAGGTGTGAGCCACCGCACTTGGCCAAGACATCAATCTTGAGTCTCCAGAAAGAGCATTTTCAAATCTTGGGGCCCTGAGGTGTCATCTGTACCAATGAGAGTGTGTGAGGCCCAGAGAGAGGGGTGAGTCATTTTCCTCCAATATGTGATTCCGTAGCTGCTGGTCCAGTCTTGGACACCTGAAGCTATCCAGGCCAAACCATTTTACAGATGAGAATGCTAAGGTCAGAGCAGTTGGGTGAATGGCCCAACAGCACACAGCCAGCCCATGACCAAACTTGTGCCGGAAGACAAGTCTCAGAATTCCCCGTTGTGGGCACTTCCGGTCCCCTCCTTTTTTTTAAGGAGGCAGAAGCGCAGGGGTCTATGGATACAGGATCCTTCCAGGTGTGTGTGTGCGGCAGTGGCCCCTCCTGGAGGCCCAAGGACCCAGAGGAACCCACAAGCCATTGAAAAACAGTCAGAAAACATCTAAGTAACCATCCATTTAGTATCTGTCACAAGGCCACAAAGTAAACTAAATGGAATGTCTTTGCCTTAGGCAGGAATCCAGCTTGCTGTATTGACTCTCTGGTACTTGTTAGCAGAGATGAACCGTTATGATTTTTGTTTGTTTGTTTGTTTGTTTGTTTGTTTGTTTGTTTGTTTTGAGATGGAGTTTCTTTCTGTCGCCCAGGCTGGAGTGCAGTGGCGGGATCTCGGCTCACTGCAGCCTCCATCTCCCAGGTTCAAAGGATTCTCCTGCCTCAGCCTCCCAAGTAGCTGGGATTACAGGCACCCGCCACCACCCCCAGCTAATTTTTGTATTTTTAGTAGAGATGAGGTCTCACCACATTGGCCAGGCTTGTTTCAAACTCCTGACCTCAAATAATCCACCCGCCTCAGCCTCCTAAATTGCTGGGATTATGGGTATGAGCCACCATGCCCGACTTGTTCATTTTTAAATTGAGGTATAATTTTCATGCGTTTGTTTTTGAGCTACAAAAAATGAGGAAAACCCCAAATGATTAGTTAAAACTACTTCAAAACATGGGACCTGTGCTGGGTGTGGTGGCTCACACCCGTAATCCCAGCACTTTGGGAGGCCGAGGTGGGCAGATCACTTAAGCCCAGGAATTTGAGGCCAGCCTGGGCAACATAGTGAGACCCTGTCTCTACTAAAAATACAAAAAAATTAGCCAAATGTGGTGGTGGCACACATCTGTAGTGCCCAGCTGCTCAGGAGGCTGAGGTGGGAGGATCACTTGAGCCCGGGAGGTGGAGGCTGCACTGAGCTATGATTGCACCACTGCACTCCAGCCTGGAGGACAGAGCAAGACTCTGTCTCAAAAATAAAAACAAAAACAAAAATGGGGACCATGGCAGGGGTGGGAGTGGGTAAAGGGGACTCTGCCAGTGGGAAGGTTGGAAGCCACTCTGAGGAATCCCCAAGGAAAGCTATACAATGGGCGACTGTGGAGGATATCACAGAGGATTCCAGCCCAGAGTCTCCAGCAGGGCCCGGGAGCCTCGGAGTTTATAGCAGCTCCTTCCAATGGAAAAGCATGTTAGGGGCAATCTGGACCCATTGCTTTGCTCAGCAGGGCCCTGGCCCACTTAAGGTTCTTGATTTCAGTGTTTACCGACCACATCTATCCTCCATTCCAGCTTAACAGTTTGAGATCATCAAGAGCCCAAGAAGTAATGGATATTTTCCATTTTTATTAAGTTCTCAAGGAAAAGGAGAGAGGAGGAATGATAAATCTCAGTTTATTATTATTATTATTATTATTTGAGACACAATTTCACTCTTGTTGCCCAGGCTGGAGTGCAATGGCATGATCTCGGGTCACTGCAACCTCCACCTCCCAGGTTCAAGAAATTCTTCGGCCTCAGCCTCCCAAGTAGCTGAGATTACAGGTGCCCACCACGATGCCTGGCTAATTTTTTGTATTTTTAGTAGAGATGGGGTTTCGCCATGTTAGCCAGGCTGGTCTCGAACTCCTAACCTCAGGTCATCCACCTGCCTCGCCTCCAAAAGTGCTGGGATTACAGGAGTAAGCCATCGCGCGCAGCCAATGTTTTTTTTAACATCTCTAATTACAACTCACTTTCAGCAAATTCGTCCTGAAGAGGCAGCACCAGAGACTACGGTATCTTTGTTGTACGAGCAGTATGCTAATATTGTCCACTAGTATTGTCCATAGTATTGAGCTGCTTCTGAATTAACTCCTTATGTCAGCCATTCACTTATTAGGAAGCTGCGACTGGTTCATTTGACTTGAAACGTGATTAGAACTGGTGCATCCTGTTACAAACTGCTTATAGATCCAGCGGGCTGTGTGTGTGTGTGTGTGTCTGTGTGTGTGTGTGTGTGTGTTTCTGTGTCAGAGGGAGGGAGAGGGAAAGAAGTTTATCAGGCAAATAACAGCAGCCACAGCGGTAGGACGGAAGACAGTCATCCCAGAGGAAATGGAGCGAGTGTGAGTGCGAGTATGAGAAGTGACTCATTTATCACTCATCTTGGGACGGGAGCAGCCCCCTTTTTGTGTTCATCTGAAAACCCCCCGACCTGGAGCTTACGATCACGAGCACCAGTATCTCACAGGCTTTTTCGATTCTTGTGTTCTGGTTAACTTGGAGCACAGCGGTGCCATCAGTACTTTTTGCAAAACTAACCCCCACACACACCCCCGCCGCCCCCGGGTTTTAGCCAGAGAAGTGAGCTGGCAGTGCACGGACCAGAAAAAAGAATGGACTTTGAAAAATGAGGGCTGTTTTACTATCATCTTCGCTTTGAAGATTTTTTCTTATTTGTTCTCAAATAGCCTTTTTGCAAATGCCACTGCCACTGCTATCTGGAGGAGCAATGTAAAAGTCACAAAGGAGCCAGAGCTCATAGGACAGCACCATGTCCCTGGAGGATAAGGGACAGGGCCTCAGTGACCGAAATGGGAGCAACAGTGTAAAGTGGCAGACAGACAACCGAAGGAGATTCCTGGAGATTCCACTTCCCAAGCTAAGCCTCGCAGGCATGACGCATACTTGTGTTGTTACAGGGTGACGGGACATTTGTGCTCCAGCTTCAAGCAAGCAAGGCAGGGATGCAAACTGAAGAATAGGCGCCAATGTCACAAAATGATAAAACAAGCAAACCAAAACCAGAACACCCAGACCCACTCCAAAAGAAAGAGCTTTCCGAATGGCTGTGTCCCATGCACTTGGTCCACGAGTGAGAGCTGGGGGGCTCTGCAGTGCGGGGCTTGTCCTAATACTCCCCACCCCTGGCTCCATTTGGTACATATTCAGAGGTTGTAAACTTATTATTGTTTTGAGATGAAGTTTCGCTGTTGTTGTCCAGGCTGGAGTGCAATGGCGAGATCTCGGCTCACCACAACCTCTGCCTTCTGGGTTCAAGCGATTGTCCTCCGCTTCCCCAGTAGCTGGGATTACAGGCAGACGCCACCACACCCGGCTAATTTTGTATTTTTGGTAGAGACGGGGTTTCTCCATCTTGGTCAGGCTTGTCTCGAACCCCTGACCTCAGGTGATCCGCTTGCCTCAGCCTCCTAAAGTGCTGGGATTACAGGCATGAGCCACCGCACCCAGCCTAAACTTATTTTCATTACTGTTAAGCCAAACATAATCACAGCATAATCCCAGCTAAAATTAATTTTGTTACTGCTCACCTATCTTAGAGGCATATAAGTCTAATTTTAAAGATAAATGCTCTCCTTAATTGTTAAAGGACTTGATGCGGGCTTCAAAAGGTTTTGTTTGTTGTTTGTTTCATTGTTTGAGACAGAGTCTCGCTCTGTTACCCAAGCTGAAGTGTAAGTGGCATGAGCTCAGCTCACTGCAGTCTTGACCTCCTGGGCTCAAGCGATCCTCCCACAACCTTCTAAGGAGCTGGGATCACAGGGGCACGCCACCATACCCAGCTAATTTTCTACTTTTTTGTAGAGAGTCCCCCTCTGTTGCCCAGGCTTGTCCTCACCTCCCAGGCTCAAGCAATCCTCCTGCCTTGGCCTCCCAAAATGCTGGGATTACAGGGGTGAGCCACCGTGCCCAGCCCCACTCCACATACTTTTAAGATGAAGTGGTTAAGCACCCCTGTGGCCTAAGGAGGTGAAGACAAATGGATAAAGGAGAGGAACTGCCAGCCTTCTCTCTCATTCTTGTGGGACATAATTTGCCCCTTAGCCTGTTTGGATCAAACCATAAAATGGCAAGAGCTCCTTGCCCTGGAGGGACACACTTTTAAGTCAGACAGGGCTAGACAGAACATTTTCTTCCAGGTAGATGGAGTCTCTTGCTCCAGACCCTGAGGTCTGGAGGAGAGCTCTAAAAATGCCCTCAGATGGTTGGGAGCGGTGATCCATGCCTATAATCCCAGCACTTTGGGAGGCCAAGGTGGGAGAATTGCTTGAGCCCAGGAGTTTAACACCAGCCTCAGCAACAAAGCAAGATTCCATCTCTACAAAATAAAAAATTAGCTGGGCATGGTGGTGTGCACCTGTGGTCCCAGCTACTCAAGACACAGGCAGGTGGATCGCTTGAGCCAGGTAGGTCCATGATGGCACACAGCACTCCAGCCTGAGCAACAGAGCAAGACCCTGTCTCAATAAATCAATAAATACATTGAGCAACTTTTGTTGGACCACAAGGAACTCTGTTTATGGATAGGTACAACCCTCTCCCAGGAAATTAAAGCCCAGCGGTGACCCCCATCTAATGTCTCATGTTAGCAGGGCTGGGATGAGTGTGCTTTTCGGGACCCACTGCTACCTAAAGAGGGAGCATTGGCCAATGGCCAAAAATAAAGTAAGCAGCTGTGAGTGGGTCAGTGCCTACACGGCCTCAAGATTCCCCGGGAGAGAACAGCAACGCTGAACCTCCCAGTGAAGACCACTAAGGGACGAGGGAAAGAGGAATACAGATAAATTTATTAGTTAAATACTGATTTTCCAGCCATTTCACCTTAAGACAATGTTAACAGGTTTGTGGGTTAGGGAGGGTATACGAGGGGGCCTTTGGAAGAAAACAATGTAAATGATGATTAAAACAGAATCTTGGTTCAAAGGTATTCTCTGCTACAGCCAGTAGGATTTTGGAGTGAGGGGTCTGGGCGTGTGGGGAGGCGTAGTAATGCCACAGTCAGCTACAGCTCTGCTGAGAAAGAGGAAGGAGTCTCCTTGAGCTCCAGCATCAGGGGCAGAAACAGCAATGTGCAGAGGAGAACGCGGCAGATCCCGGAGCAGCTCAGAGTCGGAGGCTCCCTCCAGGCCCCCCTGCCGTGTCTTAGCAGTCGTCTTCTTTCCAGGAATTCTGTTGTGTTGTGTTTGTTTGCTTCGAATTCGTGTTGCAGAATCTCTGGCTTTTTGCCTCCTGGACAAAAGACTTCTGCCGGGGCGAGGCTGCAGGTCCTGAGGGACTCTGGCTGCCATCTGACCAAGGGCTAGGAGGAGCAGACAGACAGCAGGTGGGCCAGCCCTTGGGACACTCCTGCCCCCTGACCAGGACTCTGTCCACTTACACTCTCCCCAGAAGGACCTCGAGGCTGGGCTGAGTGCTTGCCAGACTGGCTTGAGCAGCAGAACGTTTTGTTCTTACTCAGAACCCCTCTATGTGTGACACGGTGAACGAAGGGTCTGCAGTGAACTCGAGGGGGTGCCGTTTGGCTAAACTACCCAGCTCTTGTTTTGCCAGGGGAGAGACATGTACAAGCTGCGGGCAGAGCTGAATCGCTCAGAGCGGGAAGAGGGATTTTTATTTTGAGAGATGTTGGAAGTGAAGGAGCAAAGGCCGGCAGCAGGGGGAAGGCACCTGGGGGAGAAGTTGCCAGCTGCATTTTGATGAGGCTGTGCTGTGGTGGGTTAAGTGCCCCTGTAGCTCCCCAGGAAGTGTTCAGTCACTTGTATGTCACACCCCACAATTTTGGAGTCAGATTTGGTATTAGGGATGCAGGGCGGTGCCATGCCTCAAGCGGATGGATGGGGCAAGGGCCTGTCCCCAGGGGCCCGTCGCATCCAGGTACATGGCAAACAGATGCCGTCATTCGGGCTGGAGCAGGGGTCCCAGGGCCCGGCCCTCCGCTTGTTCTCAGATCCTCGGTGCTAGAAACACAATGCAAAACCCACGGTCTAGGCCACAGTGGGGAACGCAGGGGACAAGGACATCTTGGGAAAGAAGTCTCCAACTCACAGGAGAGATGCAGTGTGCTCGTGCTGAAGGGTGGGCTCCCTCCAGTCCCATCAGCGTGTAAAGGCATCTGAGAAAATCCAACACCCGCTTCCCCTAACCAGATTGTCGACTTCAAGTTTCTTCCCAGTTGTTGTTCTGGAGTCATTACCAGGCAGAGGAGGCCGGCCCCTGGGAGCCCAGGGCCTCCTTCTTTGCTATCCTCCAAGTCCCAGGTCCGTGCAGGAATTTGAGGAGGGAAGAGGGAAGATTACGCAGTGATTATGTCCCCGTGACTGTCGGCCAAGACCAGGCTGTTCCAAGAGTCCTGCTTGGAGCTGGTCTGTGGAGACTGGCTGACGGGAGACGCATAGCCTTGTGGGGAGAGCTTCAGGGCCGAGAGGACAGGGTGGATGGAGGGCCCATGGCCAGACATCGCACTGACTGAGAACGTCTGAAAAGCAGAAAGCACACGATGAGGCCCATGGAGACGCTCCTGAGGGCTTGGGAGGTCTAGGCTGGGGAGGGTGCCCTGCTATGCAGATGTCCCCAGGATGGCTTCAGCCCTCAGGAAGGGACCAAGGAGCACTTCTCTCTGTTTCTCCTGATCCCGGTGATCTAGGCATGAAGGGTCTGGGTGATGCATCAGCTGCTTCTGAGCACAGTATACAACCAGGGCTATGACCCGGTGGCCCTGTGGATACTGTGGTTGCCCAGAAGGCTCTGATGGTTACAGGAGACACTTTCTACCATCCTATCACCACCACATCCACTTTCCAACAAAGAAGCCATCCACCCGGCCCAGAAGGGGCTCCTGGTGCCCCTGGTTCTGTGGGATCAGGTTCTCCCAGACAATAAGAAGCTCACTAAGACACGGCCTCCTTCAGTTAAGAGCAGAGACGAGATAACAGCCAGGGCTGGTCAAAGGAGACCGTGATCAAGCTTGGTGCATCCTGGTCCCAAGAGAGGGAACTGCAGAGGGGAGGAGGCAGGGAGGCCGAGACGCCATCGTCCTCCGCCAGAGGGAACATGGGCTGCCCCAGGGCGTCCCCTGACACACGTGCAGAGCTGGGTCTCATGAAAGTGGCATCCTGCCTGTGACCTCCCCACCAGCCTGCCCTGCCTGCCCTCTGCAGGATCCAGGCCTTTCCCCATGCCAGCTTCCTCCTCCTTCCCCACCCTCCCTGTTGAAGTCTAACCTCCCTGCACGTAGGAGGCAGACTTGCCTAGAGAACCTCCGCTCGGCCTCCGACAGCGCAACCACGCCTCCCCTCGCCCCAGCACGCAGTCTCATTCAGGTTGTACTTCTGTGTTGTTTTCCGCCCCTGCCACCCATGCTGTATGCCAGCCCTGGACTCCCCTCTCTTTGTTTCCAAAGATGATGGCATAGAGGAGCTGTTAAAAAATTGTGAGTCACAGTCATGTCCACATCACCATCTTGATAAGATGTCCTGAAATACAGCCCGATGCAGATGCCCCTAGCCTCGTGCGGCCCTGAGGGCACCACACAGCTCAATGGCTGGGTCTTCCTAGCGCAGAGGGTAGCTCACTGCTTGCACCTGTGAGGCCTGGCTGCAAGTCCCACCCAGTACTAGGCTGGCCTCTGGGACTCTGCAGTCGGCCTCCCCACAAACAGCCCTGGCGCCCCAGCCATGGCGCGTACCTGGGACACGGAGCTGCTGTGCCCGTAGTGAGATGACAGGCCAGGCTCCGTCTTGATGGGACGCATCTCCTCGCTGCTGCTGGTGGTGGCGTTGCTGGAGTTGCTGGAAGCACCGCTGGCGGGAGGAAGGCTCTCACTGCCTGAAGGAGCTGGAATGAAGCAGAGTCAGCACACCCAAATCAGCGGCAGGGACAAACGAACAGCCGGCAGCCTGCGAGACAGCCGGGATGGGTGCAAGCTAATGGCTTTATCTACATTTGCCGGGGACAGCAGCAGAGGTCCTTATCTGCGGAGGGCTACAGTTCTCACAGGGATGGCTTCTTCCCCCTATCTCATCTCAAACCCTTGAGGCCACGTGTGTTTCAGGCTTCAAAACTTTTTAAAAAAAGATTCTTCCTCATTCAACTTGAAGATTCACATTTTTAAAAATCCAAATACTGTGTATTATTACAGAATACCTCCAGCAGGGCCTGAGATAATACTCTATAATGAAATACAATAATATCCCCACAGCAAAACACGTGAATATCATACTGAATGGAGTAAACAGAGACTATCAACAGCCTAGTGTCTGTTCAAAATAGGTTTTGCTGCCGAATCTTGCTTCCTGGATTTGGAATTTTGGACTGGGAATCGTGCGCCTGAACCGTATGTCTTCTCTATCTGTGATTGCTACGTGAGAGGAAATAAGGTTACCCAGGGGACATAGGGGACTCGTCAGCAGTAGGGAAGCAGGAGGAGAGGTGGAAGACCACAGGTGTGAGACACTGAAAATTCCAGTAGGAAATATGCCTGCCAGAAGGGATAAGCCATGGTTGAATGTACAAAAGCAGAACTTTGATCATGTTCTTGGTAGTGGAAAGGGCCCATTTATCTGACTCTGTCATGCCTTAGGTTAGAAGATAAATTTTTCGTCAGATCAGCCAATTCATTTTCTCTGTGACTGCAGCACCGACCAGTCAAATCTTTAACTGGGTAGCAGTACTGAGTGAGGAATGTTTTGGTAGGGAACATAAACGTATTAAAGAACAGCCGTTGTTCTGTCAGAAATTTATATATAATTTTATAAATAAATCTAATTTAAATTTAATAAATAGTTAATATATTTATTAAAAATAAATTTAAAAAAGAACAGCCCTCGTTCTTTTTAAATGTATTTCTTTTTTTTTTTTTTAAAGACAGGGTCTTGCTCTGCTCTCCAGGCTGAAGTGCAGTGGCACGATCATAGGTCACTGCAGCCTCAAACTTTTGAGCAGCCCTTATTCTTAATCTAGAAATTAAGAAGGCAGAGTGGTATATTGAAGAGAACATTGACCCAGAAGCAGAAAAACTTGGGTTTTAATTCTCTACCCATTAACAGCTGTATGACCCTCGTTAAATCATTGTCCTCTATGAGCCTCAGTTTGCTTGTTAGTAAAATGGGGTCATAAACTGGTTCTCATGGAGTCTTACTTTCATGGAGATAATATTTCTGAAGGGGCTTTCTAAAGCACAAAGCACTGCATGATGTTAATTATACATTGGCTTAGAGATCAATCTGTTAGGGACATGATTAATTGGACCCTGCCCTCCTGGATCCCCGTTAGCCCAAAGAGAATTGAAAGGAACTGAGCTTTTGGGTGGCTGCAGCGCCAAAGATGAAAGGACCGAGTAAAGTTCCTCTTTCCTGCAGGACCTCGGCTGGTCCAGCCTGAGCACTGGGTCTTTGCAGTCGGCAATGATCAGGCCCCAGCTTGAGTTGAGCCTGCTTCGAAAGCTCCCAACACGTTCCATGGCAATTGTTACTTTTTTGCTGGGCTCTTCATCCTGTCCTGAAAGGCCAGGGATGTCCGATGCTGTCACCACCCCCTGGCGGCCCGGGCTGGCCTGCCTAACCCGGAAGATATGATTCTTAGGCACTCTGAGGGCTCCTGATGTACTCATATAATCACTCACAGATCTTTTCCTCACCTGCTGGTGTCTTAGATTTATTCAGGTTCTTGGGCTTCCGTTTTCTGGTTTGGATCCCCTCTTTCCGCATTGCAAGAGGCCTGGGGACCTGGAGGGTCACAAGTAAATATATAGGGTTTTCCATTTCTGCGTAGTCTGCTACAGCATTGAAAGACACACACCTGCTGCGAGAAGGCAACACCTAAGCAATCTCTCCACAAAGCCTGGGGCCCAGACGGGCTGCACAGGCCCCTGGAACTCAGCGAGAAAGAAATCAATTCCATTTTTAAAAAACTTATCGAGCACCTGTGTGATGTGATGGCTACTTTACTAGAGCCTGGAGAATAGGGAACTAAAGACACACAGCTCCTACCCTCAGAAATTCACAGACAAGGAGAAATAACCAGACTCTGGTCGGTGATGTAAAAAGACAGAGAAACACTAAACTCTGTCCTGGGGTGAGGAGTGGGAAGGAGGGGCACGTGAGGATATCAAGGAAGGCTTCAGTGTGGAGGTGACACCTGAGTTTGTAAAAGGTTTTGAGTAGACAGAGGCAGGCATTTCAGGCAGCAGAGACAGACTGTTCAAAAGCCTTTATCATCCACACAAGGACCCTGAAAACAAAAAGTGGGTGCTAGGCCAGGCACAGTGGCTCATGCCTGTAATCCCAGCACTTTGGGTGGCCGAGGTGGGAGGACTGCTTGAGCCCAGGAGTTCGAGACCATCCTTGGCAACATAGTGAGACCCCATCTCTACAAAAAAGTTTTAAAATTAGCTGGGCACGGTGCTGCATGCCTGTAGTCCCAGCTACTCAGAAGGCTGAGATAGGAGGATCCCTTGAACCCAGGAAGTCGAGGCTCCAGCAAGCCGTGATCGTGCCACTGCACTCCAGCCTGGGTGGTGGAGCAAGGCCCTATCTTCAAAAGGTGTGAGGGTGCAGCGGTGCTATCAATTATTGTGCTGGGAAAATTGGCCTCAACAGCAACAGTCCCAGTGAGTTGAGATGTAACATCACTCTACTTATTGCAGCTCTGTACTGCATTGGGTCTGGCTGGAGCCATTGGTGCTTCTGTGAATGGTGGGGAGCAGTAAGAGACTATGCTAGAGACTGCCCTGTGACCAGGTTCTGAGATAAAATGTCCCTGGACAACACTTTGACCACAGTTCTGTTGGGAGGCAGGCCCCAGAGCCATTCACAGATGCCTAAGCCAGTCCTGGGGAGCAGGACTGCAGGGTGCCTTCCCCACATCTGGTTTCTCTTAGGCTGAGCCAAATCTTTTAGCCCCTTTTCTATGCTGTGCTTGTCTACCATGTGGGATTGATAAAGGCCACACCTGCAAATACAGAAAGAAAAGCAATTACTGCTTCAGAGACATGAACACGCAATGGTTAAGCGAGAAATGCACCAGCATATGTGAACTTGAACTGGCCTCCTATTTAACTGTGGGTAGATGGGGTGGCACTTGCACCCCCCGACCCCACCATCTGCACATCTCTCTGTGACTCTACACCCAGACCCCTATTTCCCACCTTGTGGAAGGGTGTCCTCCCCCACCCCATCCCCCTAGCTATGCCTCAAATGTTCAAACCCATTCTGGCCTCAGAAGAATCTCCCCCTCACGTTAATCTCCATTCACTTAGGTATGCTTTTTTTTTTTCAGTTGCAGTAAAATGAAACACACCTAACTTAAAATTTACCATCTGAACCATTCTGAAGTATATTGCTCTGTAGTGTTAAGCGCATTCACACCGTTCTGCAAGCCTGACCACCATCCCCAGAACTCTTCTCGTCTTGCAAAACTCAAACTCCATACCCATTAAACATCACTCCTCATTCCCCCTTTCCCTAGCCCCCGACAGCCTCCATTCTACTTTCTGTCTCTATGGATTTGACATGTGGTGTCAGGGGCCAGAATTCCCTTCCTTTTAAAGGCTGAGTAATATCCTACGTGTATGTATATCACACTGTGTTTATCCGTTCATTTCTCCGTGGACACTTGGGTTGTTTACATCTTTCTGCAATTGTGAATCATGCTGCTATAAACAGCAGTGTACAAATAGCTCTTTGAGGCCCTGCCTTTAATTATTTTGGGTATATATCCAGAAATGGTACGCTGGATCATGTGGTAATTCTATTTTTTTATTTTCTGAGAATATAATCTTTTTAATACCTATATAATATTTCCCAATAAGTTTCTTGTACCATTCCCATATTGAAGAACAATAGTTTAACCATTTTCCTTCCAAAGGTTTTCTTTCCTCCATTTTTGCTATTACAGTGATTAACAAACATCCTTGTATACATGCTTTGTAGAAATATTTTCTTATGAATGTTCATAACTTTAGCCATTTGCTTGTTCATTATAACAAGAAATCATGAAAAGATACATGAGACTAAGTTAACAACAGCCCTCTCACTCTACTACCGTCAATCCTATCCCAGTGAGGCAAATGGATTTAACAGCCTGTTATATATTCTTACATTTAAAAAAATTCTCAAACATCTGTACACATATATATCTATTGACTTGGTTTGGCTGTGTCCCCACCAAAATCTCATCTTGAATTGTAGCTCCCATAATTCCCACATGTTGTGGGACCGACCTGATGGGAGATAACTGAGTCACAGGGGCGGTTTCTCCCATACTGTTCTCACTATAGTGAGTAAGTCTCATGAGAGCTGATGGTTTTATAAGGGGAAACCCCTTTTGCTTGGCTCTCATTCTCTCTTGCCTGCTGCCATGTAAGACGTGCCTTTCACCTTCCGCCATGATTGTGAGGCCTCCCCAGCGATGTGGAACTGTGAGTCCATTAAGCCACTTTTTAATTTTGGGTATGTCTTTATCAGCAGTGTGAAAACAGACTAATACACCTATACGTGTATATTTGTGTGTGTGTGTTCACCCATCCACTGGTCTGTCCACCCATCCATATGTATGTCTGTTTAATGCACCTTCGACACTCATAGTATGGGGTCATGCTACATATATTTCTTTGCAATGTGCTTTTTCATTTTCTAGATCAAGATACATGGCCCTAGATTATTATTTTTAAGTTTCTTCTCAATATTCCACATTTTGGGATATAGCAGAATTTTTTCAACCATTCCTTTATGGGGTTTTAAGGTTGTTTCTAGTTTTTGCCACCACAAACAATGCAGCAATAAATGGTTCAAAGGTCATCATGTACTGGTTATTTTTTATAGGCTAGTTTCCCAACAGTAGACCTGCCAGATATAATGGTGTTCATGGTTTCAACCTTAAAAAATACCACTAAGTTAATAGATGCAGTAATTCAAATACAGATCAATAATATATGAGAGTATCTAATTCCCCAAATCCATAGCAGCAAACACTTTAATTTTTGCCAAGTATATGGGCAAACTAGGGACTTTCATGGTCATTTTCAGGTACATTTCTCTGATTTTTAGTGAGATTCAGCATATGTGCACATGTTTCATGGCTATCTGGGCAGCTTCTGTGAGATGTCAGTCCATATCTTTTGCCCATTTGGGGGAAGTGGGGAAAGATCAATTGTTCTTTTCTTATTAGGCTACAAGACCTATCTGTTTCTGGTTTGGTTTGGTTTTAATTTAACTTGTATTTGAACAATTAAGACTTGCATATGTCCCGTCTAAGGTACCAAGGGGGTACACAGCAAAAAGAGTGTCCTTCCAATCCCTTCTCCCCAGGACCCCAGTTTTTCTCCTGGAGGCACCCCATGTACGTATATATGCATACATGTGACCATGTGACCAATCTCTACATATCCTACCAGAGGTGTTCTGTATATGTGGAAGCAACCACCTATAAATTATATTCTTCCTCATATTTATAAAAATAGTGCCATAGTAGGTAGTGTTGGGCACCTTGCCTTTTTGTTAATATTGTATAATGGAGAATGTTCCAATAAAAATTAAAGAGCTTTGTAGAAGCTCCTTGTAATTCTGGAAATATTAACCCTTTTTCTGATACTGTGTGTATTGGTCTTTACTTTCCCTAGGTATCATTTCCAGGCACAAACAGTAAATATTTACAAAATCAAATATATCTAACTATTCTTATATGGCTAAAAAGTTTTAAAATCTTGTTTAAGAAGTTCTCCCATCCCCAAAGTTATATAAATACTTTCCCTTACATTTTCTTCCAGTGTTTTTATTGTCTGATTTTCTTTGCAGTATTTTATTATCTAATATTTTTATTTTTTTGGAGACAGGGTCTCACTTTGTCACTCAGGCTGGAGTGCAGTGGGACAATCAGAGCTCACTGCAGCCTCAAACTCCTGAGCTCAAGCCATCCTCCTACCTCAGACTCCTGAGTAGCTGGGACTAGAGGCATGCACCACCATGCCCAGCTAGATTTTTTTTTTTTTTTTTTTTTTTTTTAGTAGAGACAAAGTTTCACCATGTTGTCCAGGTTGGTTTTGAAATCCTGAGCTCATGCAATCCTTCTGCCTCAGCCTCCCAAAGTGCTGCAATTACAGGCATGAGTCATGATGCCTGGCCTTACTTTTAGTTTATTTCAAAGATGTTTTACATGTAATATCCTTAATTCACCCAAGTTTATTTTTGTTTAAGGTAGGAGGTAGAGGTCATGCTTTCCTTCTGTTTTCCAAATGAACAGCCAATTTTGTCAATACAACTATCCTTAAGCTTCTTATCCACTGAATCGAAACGTCACCTTTGTTACACATCAAACTGCTACATATAAATGTAGCCTGCTCATCTGTAAAACGGAAAATTCACTTATACAATGTAAAGGACGGAAGAGGCCAGCAAAGTAGTTGAAAGCCCCTTCCAAATCTAAGTCTCTTTGTTAAGAAGGAAAAATGAATGCTAGTACAAAGGAAGAAGACAAGGGAGGACTGAGAGATGGGCATCAGAAGGCAAGGATGCCGCATGGGCGCAGGACCCACGTACCCCGTGGAGCTTCATGTAGAGGCCGCAGGCATTGCACACAGGCTCGCCCTCCGCATTGCGGCGCCACAGCGTGGTGGTGGTGGTCTGGCAGTTGGCACAGGAGAGGCCCACTCGGCGGGAGGCGGACTGCAAGACAGGAAACAAATGCTTCATGTCCAAGTAAAAGGTGTGCACTGCCCTTCCACCTCGCGTGTGGCTGCGGAGCTGGGCCTCCCTAACGGGAGGCAGGGCTGGGCCCTAACGACCCTGCATGAGATCTCTGACCTGTGACGGCACCTAACTCTCCTGTCACCTGCGCCACTGCGAGGAATAAATCAGAACAAGGTTTCTGCTGCCCGAGGAGAGCGAACGTGGGCATCGAGACCTGGTTTCCAGTCCTAACCATCATTCACCGTCAGGCGAATAACCAGTGAGCGCCGGGCACTGCCGGCAGGAAAGCTTCTCCTGAGAGGAGAACTGACCGGGGCTGCAGGTGCCGGGGGCAGGCAGAGAGTGAGGAATCACGGTGTCCAAATGGTATCAAAGTCTGAATGGCCCTGGGACCTCAAGAAAGGGAGGCACCAGGTTTATCCCCTCTGTTCTTCCCTCCTTAATATAGTGCAAGCTGGTTGGTGTTGACCAGAATCAAATTATATTAAAAAGGAGCAGGAAGCCAGGAGCCAAGCCCCAGGCCCAAACTCTTCCCTAGCCACGGGGCCCAACACAAGCTGCTTGCACTTCTGGGCTTTGGGATTTATCAACTGATCAACTGAGGTCAGGGTAGAGACCAGCCTCTGAGGTGACCTTCCTTGCAGGGTTGGTGTGGGTGGAGGAGACACTCCAGTCAACACTGGACTGGGAACCAGGAAACCTGGATTCTGGTTCCAGAGTTCTAGATGGGAGACTCAGTACCTGAGTGGCTGTGGGCAAGGCCACTAGCTTTTCTGAGCCTCACTTTCAGTTTCTGTGTGCCGAAGAGGTTGAACTAGACAGCCTGGATCATTCTGGTGGCTCCAGCTAACTCTAAAGTTGTGAGAATTATTATGGGGCTCTCACCCACGTAATCCCCGATGCACACCCTCAAGTTCCAAAATTCAAAACCAGAGGATGTCCCACCAAGGCGAGAGCTCCGCAGCCAGGTGCCCAGAGGAGGCTGCGAGGCACGTGCTTACCAGCCGGCGCTGAGGCTTGATGAGCGGCCGGTTGATGCCGTTCATCTTGTGGTAGAGGCCGCAGGCGTTGCACAGATAGTGACCCGTCCCATCTCGCCTCCAGAGCGGGGTGGACATAGCCCCACAGTTGACACACTCTCTGCCTTCTGAGAAGTCGTCAAACATATCTACTGAGTTGGGGGGAACAGACAAGAAAAGACACAGAGGATTAATTCTTTGTTTATGCCCAGCTCTCACATCTGAGAATCTAGAGCGCACAGAAACAATGCCCTTTCCTTGGAAAGAGAAGACCACCTCGGGCTGCTCTTGCTCTTCCTCACTCTGACTTCAGCCCCTGCTCCCTAATCCCAGACACTGAGAGTTCCCCTGAGCACGAGAAGAGGAAAAAGTTGCAGTGATCACCCACGTCCTGGGCTGGGAGGCGGGACACCTGGATTTCAGTGCAGGTATCACATTCAGAGCCTCCAGCCCTAGGCCTCTCACCTCACACTGAGGTCCACGCAAACCTTGCTCTCTCTTTTTCCCTTTCAAAGTTAGTAAGATTACTTTTCCTTTTGCATAAAGATATAATAAATATTTACCTTAGGAAAATTAGTGCCAAAATATATAAAGAAAATCCAGATTGTCACTAATGTTTTGAGCATTTGGTTCTATTGTATCCTTTGTAAGACTGTATTTATTTTATTCTTTTTATTAGAGACAGGGTCACTCTGTCACCCAGGCTGGAGTACAGTGGTGCAGTCATAACTCAGTCCAGCCTTGAACCCCTGGGCTCAAGCGATACTCCAGCCTCAGCCTCCCAAAGTGCTGAGACTACATGCATGAGCCACTGTGCCCAGCCCTTTGTGAGACTTCTTTTCTCTTTTTGAGACGGAGTTTCACTCTTGTTGCCCAGGCTAGAGTGCAATGGTGCGATCTCAGCTCACTGCAACCTCTGCCTCCCACGTTCACGCGATTCTCCTGCCTCAGCCTCCGAAGTAGCTAGGATTACAGGCATGCGCCACCACACACGGCTAATTTTGTGCTTTTAGTAGAGACGGGGTTTCATCAGGCTGGTCTCAAACTCCTGACCTCAAATGGTCCACCCGCCTCAGCCTCCCAAAGTACTGGGTGAGTACACCACACCCGGCCTTGTGAGACTTTCATATGTTGATCCATATTTTTGCCAAGCTATATAATTCTGAGTCTGTGTGGGTCGTTTGCTTAATACCAAAACATTTTCCCAATGACAAATTCTTTATAAACTCATTTTATAAAATTCTTTATACACTCATATACCATTGTTCCATCATATAAAGGTGCCATCATTTAACTAGTATCATTCAGCTATTAATCTTCATCCAGTTTTGGATTCTTGTTTCATAAACACTGCTCCTTACTTAAGTCTGTGCATTTCTAGTTATTCCTTAAGATACTCTCTGAGAAGTAGAATTTCTGAGTCAAAGGCACTAAATTTCTTTTTCAGTTCTTGGAATTTGCTAACTGTCCTGCAAAAAAAGCTTCATTCATTCATTTTTTCTGTTTTAATATACCTGTATGGGCTGCCATATCATAGTTGGACATTTTTCTTGCTTATTGGTATATAAAATAAAGGTGCATATTATAAGCAATGGCACTTTAGAGCTGCTCACATAAGCGTAGCATCTCCCCAGCTACCACAAGGCTGCCGGGGTCTGCCGCTCCCTTCACTCGCTCACCCCTCCCCGCCATCACCTTTATCATCCATGTCTACAGAATGTTACAATTGACAGATTCCACCTGTGTCCATTCTCCTCACCCTCGTGAGACAGGCTGGGCCAGTTTTCTTGCTCCCCGTAGTCTCTATAAAGCCTGGCTCACCATCTCCAGAAGTCTCTCTGACTTCATGTTATCCTAATTTGCTGTCCCAAAACACATCTACCTTGGTCTCCAGATTCTTCCTATGCTGCTGCCAGAGGCAAGGGCAGATTTTTCTCTAGTGAAGAGGGGTGCTTTTATTGAGTTGGGAGGACAGGTGGTAAAGAGCTCTCTTTCCAACAGGACCCAGCTCGGGAGTGGGTTGAGGTTGCGCATTTTGCTAGTTATGTGGCCCAGCTACTTGCTCTAGGGGAATGTGGGCCAGAGAAGAGGATGGTGGGGGGCCCTCCCCACAACTCTGGGTACACAAACAGTCATTTGCACCTGCAAACAGGTAGCTGTGTGTCCACACCAAGTAAACAGTGTGCAGGTGTAAGGGGCTATTTGCTCAGGCCAGGGAGCGGAGCACAGGCGTCACAGCAGAGGCTATTTTTACACCTGGGTCACACTGACAGCCTCCACCAAGGTCGCCTGCCCTCAGAGCCGCCCATGAGATGCGGCCACTCCCGCCCATAGCTTGCTCCCAGCTGGACCACCACAATCAACACTACTGTTGCCACCTCTACAGTCCGTGCCTATGGGCTGTCAGCCCCGCTTCTTTCATCCAGGCCTGCCCATGAGGGGATTAAAGAGGCCAGGAATTTACAGAAGGACATTAGACCAAGCCCACTCCACAGCAAGAGGCGGGCGCGGGCAACGTCGTCGTTTTGTTGGGTGTTCGCAATAAACACTGGGTGGCGCTACCATCTCAAAATTGAACCAAGACACGCGGTCTAGCCTGAATCGCACTTGGACATAGAGGCCTTGTAAGATCACCTTTCCATTCCAAACCTAGTGCAACCCTCCCATTCTGGTTTCCTTTTTTATTTTATTTTGCTCTTTAGAGACCGGGTTCACTCTCACCCAAGCCGGAGTGTAGTGGTGCAATCACAGCTCACTGCAGCCACCAACTCCTGGCCTCAAGAGATACTCCTGCCTCAGTCTATTTTACTTTTTCTATCTTTTTTTTTCCTTTTTTTTTTGAGACAGAGTCTCACTCTGTCACCCAGGCTGCAGTGCAGTGGGCATTGCAACCTCTAGCTTCCTTAGAACCTGGGACCACAGGCACACGCTACCATCCCCAGCTAATTTTTGTAGAGACAAGGTTTCACTGTGTTGCCCAGGCTGGTCTCAAATTCCTGGGTTCAAGTGATCCTCCTGCCTCGGCCTCCCAAAATGCTGGGATTACAGGCATAAGCCACTGCACCCAGCCCTATTTTTCTTTATTATGAAAAAATTTAAACATATTCAGAAGGGGACAGAATATGAAAACGAACTCTTAACTATCATCCAGCTTCCAATCATTTGTGGTCAATCTTGTCTTACCTGTACCTCCATTCACTTTCCCCCACATTGTGTTACTGAAGAAAATCCCAGACTTCTATTATTTTATTCATAAATATCTCAGTATGTTCCTCTAACAGATAGAGTCACACTCCTAAAAATAAGCAAACTGGCCTCTCTCCTACATTCTGGTTCATTTAAGTGAAAAACATCTCATAATGTGTTCCTCTTGTTCGGAGGGGAGATTCTCTTTTCTCCTCACAATTATTGTTTTATATGCAGGAATGGAGTCTTTTTTTTCTTTTTCCCACACTACACTGATGTAAAGAAAAACTTTTTGTGAGACAGGGTCTCACTCTGTCCCCCAGGCTGGAGTACAGTGCTGCGATCTCGGCTCACTGCAGCCTCAACCTCCTAGGCTCAAGCAATCCTCCCACCTCAGCCTCCCAAGTATCTGGGACTACAGGTGCATGCTGCCATGCCTTGCTAATTTTTTTTTTTTTTTTTTTTTTTTTGGTAGAGACAAGCTCTCACTGTGTTGTACAGACTGGTCTTGAACTCCTAAGCTCAAGCGATCCTCCCACCTCAGCCTTCCAAAGTTCTGGGATTATGGGCGTGAGCCACCATGTCCACCCCAGAACTGTGCCCACCCCAGAATCTTATTAAAGGACGCAGGAATCCCTGGAGCGTGATCTCAGCTGCCGACTCACCTCTGGCTGCCTTGAGAGCCCAACACACAGGTGTGCCTCAGCAGCTCCTGCAGGCTCACCTCAAAGTTGGGTTATGCATTCAAGCAATTATTTTACTGTCCAGGTAAAGTCACTGGAGGTTGCCAAGTATGTATTTGCCACCAACAAATATTTACTGAGCATCTGCTATTTAATCACTCTGATAGATGTCACAGGAGCTAGGAGGGAACCCAGGTCTCAGAGTGCTAATGATCTATTTGGACAAATTGGATTTGAATATCAATAATGACTAATAATATTAGTTCATTTTTAGAACACACCCTCAGCAGAGTGGGGGACTCATGGCAGACCCTAATTGTCTAGGGCAGAAAGTGTGGAATTCCCACCAGCATAGAAGTCCCATTGCGATAGAAGGGTCAGGGGTTACCAAAACAGCCAAAGTAAAGGCTATGCTTCCTAAAGACATCCAATAGTCAACCTCCTACACCTCCAAATCGGCAGAAGTTTCCATATTTCCAACCACAAAATCCTGCCATCCAACCTGCTCCATGAAATGTTACACATATTTTTAAACAATTATTACCAAAACAAGGTAACCATAGAGGAAAACGTTGGCCCTACAATGTTAAATCACAAACACAGCACTAACTAAGTCCCAAACTAGCACTGACATCTGGTATGAACCTCGGTAAGCACCACTTCTCATTCCTTCCTACGAAAGGCACTGAGAGGAACTTCCCTGGGGGCAAGAGTGATTCCGAAGCCAGGGGGCACAGCTGTGGCCTCGGATGCAGCCCCTCCCACCCAGTGCTGGCATCCCGGGAACTCCTCCAGCCACTTGGAAGGCATCACCCACGTTTGGAGGAAAGACTTGTAATAATAGTTGTAAAGTACTTTGCAAATGAGAGGAAAAACTTACAACAATGGCTGTAAAGTGCTTTGCAAACATCAAATGAGATAACAATGATGGATTATTGTTAGGAGGCTGAAGTTGGAGGGGTCAGGAGGGAGTGGGAAAGACCAGGACAAACTTTGGCGCTGGTTATTGGAGGAGGGGAGGACAGATAAAAGAGCTAGGAGACTGGGGAATCTGACCTTTCTTAAACCACTGGGGCTATACTCAGAATTGTCTGTGCTCTCAGCGGTCAGGTTTGAGACTGCAAGCCAGGAACCAACTGACAGCAAGGCTGACCGCGTTCACTTGTACTCAGTCTCCAAGTTGCTTCTCATGGGAAGTATTAATTAATGATTAGTTTAGCAATGAAAAGCACAAAATAAATTTTGTCCTAACTCCAAGGATGGGGATCTCACTCTTCACTTCCTCCCATACCTTGCTAAAAAAAGTTTTTTTTAAAGAGGAAACAAAGTCTGATAGTCTGATTTCTCAGCGAGCCGGTGCAGTATGGATATTCCTATCAATTAAACAAGCTGCTCCCACCCTAGTGCCTGAAAGAAGAATGCAGGCCAGGAGGTTGAAACATCCCACCCCTGACTTCCCTACAAAGAACTGACGCAGCCAGAGGCAAAGACACCGACCTCTCCTCTCCTCTGACCTGCTCCATCCATCTTGGGGAACCCACCCACCCCAACAAGGGGAGGCCAGTCAGGGCGGGGAGAGGGAAGGCACGGGAGGAAGAAAGGGAGAGGAATCAGAGGCCAGGGTCACGGTTCCGCTCTCCACTCCCTCCCCTGGGCACTGCTGGCCGCTGGGGAGACAGCTCAGGCCACTGCTGCCGCCCCATCGGCGCCACAGAGCCTGGTCTGCTCTCCTGCAGATGCTCCCCTCAGACTTCCACCTGCTGGGGAGAGCTGGTGTTGAGCCCCAGCCTGTGTTGGAAGACCCTCACCCTCATGCCTGGAGGCAGAGTTGATGGGTCTCAGCCCCTTCACAGCAATGCCTGAAACTCAAATATCTGCCATGCGTCTGTATACGCGCCCCTGTCCAAGTGCTAGACGTAACGAACATGTTGGCAAAATCCATGCTAACTCCTTGCCCAAAGTTGTTTTGGTCTAGCTGGGGATGCACAACTCAAAAATAATCACTACCTTTGTGATGACAAACGGCAGTGGGCCTGGGCCTCACAGTGGTGCCCAGCCCACCACCTCCAGCTTCAGATCTTCAGCATCCTGGACGTTCAGGGAGAGACACGTCAACAGTGGAAAGGGCCCGTGCCCGGGGCAGCTGGGCAGTGCTACACAAGAGGGGCCAGAGGGGGCCAAGGAGATACAACACAGAAGGCTTTCTTGGAAAAGGCCAGACCCCAGCCCAGACTGGGCAGGAGGGGAGGGACCTGCCCAGAAACCGTTCCCTGGGAACCAAAGGGGCTTCAGAGCAAAGTCTCAGCCCCACCCAAATGTCCCTTGCTGAACCCCAGGCCCATGTCCCATCCAGAGTTCACCAGAGATGGAGCCTGGATTTCCCGACAGGCCCGGATCTGTCCCTGCGGCTGGCGCCTGGGTGTGGGGCACGAGGCCCAAACAAAGCCTGAGGTTTTCCTGGCAGCTCTTGAGCCCTGGGTCTTCTGGGCTTCGTCAGGCTCGGCAGATGCCTGTGACAGGAGGCTGTCACGGGGAGGCCCACACAGCTCCAGCGGCGCTCCGGCCGGGGATGAAATCACCTATTTTGGAAGCTCCTGCAGCTGCTGAACAGAGGCGGTTACCAGTTACCGCCCACCTTGCAGTCACCCCACAGAGTCCAAGGCCTCTGCTTCTGACCCTTATAAAGGACAAGAACCCAGGACGTCAGCTGGCTGGAGTGACAGAATGTGACTCAGTTTTGTTTTGTTTTGTTTTTCCTAAATCACAAACAGGCAAGGACATTGTGAAAGGGAAAGGGAAAGGAAAAAAAAAAAACAAAACACCAAAAACAAGAACGGAGGGAGGGGGGAACGTAGAGAGATAGAGGAGGAAGAGGTTGAAGAACAAATGATAGGGGAAAATACACCCGCTCATATGCAAAGAGGTTTTACAAATGACAAAGAGAAAGATGAGCGTGAAGGCTGTAACAGGCAACCACACCTGTCACTGGAGGAACTGTGGAAAGACTCAAGCCCCTGACACCCTGGGCCCCAGCGGCTCCTCCCTGGAGGTCTAAGAACTCCCAGCACCTCCACACCTGCCTGGTCTGTGCTCATAGTAGGGTGAGCGTGGGAGGCTGGTCCAGGAGAGGATGGCAATGGAGGAAAGTTCATGAGCTTTAGAGAACAGATCCTGCCCAGGGCCACAGAGCTAATCAACAGCAAAGTGGGATCGAACCCAGGCTGGGCAGTCAGTCTCTTAACCGCAGGCCAGCGTCCCACCAGCGCTGCCCACAGATGCCTTGGCCATCCCTGACCCCTTCCCCAGCGGCAAAAGCTGGCAGCAGATGGAAAATCAGTCTCAATTTGGCCTGAGAGCAGCAAGGGCTGCAGGAGTTCAGAGCGCAAGCATGCTGTTTTCCCATCTTGTCTGATCTCAGAAACTTCCCAACATCTCTGTCTCAATGCTTCTCAGCTCACCCACTTGGGAAACGCTTCCTGGCCTTCATCATTGTCAAGATTAGATTTTGAGACCTTCGAGAACCCCTCCATGTGGGCCTATAATTACAGCATAAAGATTTCCCCATAAAATGCAGGATCAGTTGCTGGCTCCAGGAGAAATGTAGGATGCTTCTGAATTCAAATCTGAGCCTCTGCAATCACAATGCCATAGAGCTAAGTCCGCGAACTTGTGGACTGTTGCATTGCTCTCACAGGGACTTTTTTTGTTTGTTTGTTTTTTTCAATGGGGTCTTGCTCTGTCACCCAGGCTGGAGTCCAGCAGCTCAGTCATAGCTAATTGCAGCCTTGACTTCGCGGCCCCAGGCGATCCTCCTGCCTGAACCTCCTGAGTAGCTGGGACTACAGTTGCACACCACCACGCTCAGCTAATTTTTCTAGCATTTTGTAGAGATGGGGTCTCACTATGTTGCCCAGGCTGATCTTGAACTCCTGAGTTCAAGCAATCCTCCCGCCTCAGCCTCCCAAAGTATTGGTATTACAGGCATGAGCCACCACTTCTGGCCACAAGCACTTTCTTGAAACAAGTGAAACAAAAGTATGGTGGTGAATAAGACTTCATTTGCTGCATCTCGACACTAAACATGCAGACTCCCAGAAAATGGTCACCATGGCCCCTTCCCACCAGAGAACCGCAGGCTGGGATACCATTTTAAAAACAGGCAAAGGGTCAGGTGTGGTGGCTCATGCCTGTAATCGCAGCACTTTGGGAGGCCGAAGCGGATGGAACACTTGAGGTCAGGAGTTCAAGGCCAGCCTGGCCAACATGGTGAAAGCCTGTCTCTACTAAAAATATAAAAAGTAGGTGGGCATGTTGGTGCACGCCTGTAATTCCAGCTACTCGGGAGGCTGAGGCAGGAGAATTGCTCGAACCCAGGAGGCAGAGGTTGCAGTGAGCCGTGATCATGCCACTGTACTACAGTCTGGGCGACAGAGTGAGACCGTGTCTCCAAAAAAAAAAACGGAAAAGGAACAAAGAAAAGAAGGCAATACTGAAAGACTGCAGTGAGCTCTACATTTCTATTTGAAAACTCTCCCGAATGGCAGCATTTTGCCCCTATACCAATACATTTTTTACAAAGACTGTCTTGCCAGCTGTCACCCTCAGGTGAAAGAACTATGGAGTTTTCATGGGGGCCTCCATGTGGGAAGCTACGATCAGTCCCAGAGTGGAGGGGCCTGGGCCTCCCAGCTGCTGTGTTTGCAGGGACCCTGCCCAGCAGTCCCCACCCCGAAACCTGGGACAAGGTTCTCCTCTTTGTGCCGTCCGCCTCCCCGGATTAATATGGGAGCCCTGTGACCTACCATACAAAATGGGACACTTCTGAGGGGAGGGGGCATATTACTAATTATTCTGAAAGCACAGTCTTCACACCAGGGTGTGTGGCCACCCTCTGCAGACCTCACTGTGAGACCTGCATCCGTGACATGCTGATCCCTCCTCTCTGTGTCTCCCTAGTGTCCCGGCTGACAGGTAGTACGGCTGACTTGCCCCCTTCCAGAAAAGCCACACGCAGCATGCCAGGAAAGAGGCCAGGACAACGCATTGGGCACTGGGTCCTGCAGCTCCTGGGGCTTCCGGCTTCAGGCTCAGATACAACCAGGGGAGCCCTGGCTGGGGATCAGCACTTGAAAATATTTGCTCCTTCCTGGCCTCTGGGGACTGCATGCGAAGGGTGCCCCCGCCGCTGCTTCCCTGTCCACTGCCTTGTTGAGTCGGCTCTCTCTGCACATCCCCAGTCCTTCTGTGGGAGAGGCTGCGAGGGTCCAGGAGCAAGGGGCAGGTGGCACAGTGGTACAGTCTTAAAACCTGCAAGCTGGGTCTGGGCTATTTCGTGAATATCCATAAGAGAAAACCAAGGTGCAGAGCAGGCCGGGCAAGTGCCTCATCTGAGCTCCCAGTCCTCGCCTTCCGCACACGACAGAAACTCCTCCGCACACGACAGAAGCTCCGCACACGACAGAAGCTCTGCACACAGAGCCATCGAGTTTCAACAAACCCAGTGCCTAGAGAGTCCCATGAGGCGGCCGAAATGACGATGGGACAGCGTCACTCCCAGGGCTCGGCTTCCGGCCAGCTGGGCTGCCCGGCCACTGAGATGCCATGTTCCTGGACACACAATATAATTCAGCTGTGAGAATTATCTATGCAGGGCCAGAAGTTTCCGTGTGTGTGTGTGTACACATACATGTGTGTATATAAAATCATATATGATGGATGTATATGGAAAATCACACCACGTTGCACTAAAAGCCAGCCCACTCTTGCTAGCAATAAAACTGCTCTAATAATTCACTGGAATAAACTTTTTTAAAGGGAAAATATCTATTTTTCAGGTATTCCTGCCAAATACTGGAAACAACCAAAACGCCCAATGGTAGAGGAATGAGTACAAAAACAAAGTTTCACCAAAGCCATACGGAAATTGGAGTTGGTTTATTACATGACAATTGGATAGACTATGTTCTTCAGATTTTCTCTTCCTGTAACATGGTTTAAATTAGTTAAATATGCAGTTAATTAAGCAAGCATCTCTGCCTAGGCACTGCAGGATTGGAGATGTTTATTTTCTTCAATTTCCTGGGATCCTCCTGGCCGGAAAGAAAAAGTACAAAGTACTTTTTCCACCTCGGTCCCAGCTGCCTCCCACCACAGTGGCATCCCCATCTGGGCTCAGGCATCGCTGTGGCACCAACTGTTCCTCCCACTCTACAGAAAGAAAGGGAGAGGCCCTCCCTTCGGGGTACAGTCCCAGCCAGGGTAGAATGTACATGAAGAGCTTTCCAGTCACGCTGTGGACAAAGTCTGGCACTGGTCCTGGATCCTCCAAGTCACTGTGTTGTGATGATGCCCCTCTCCAGGCTCCTCCCAGCTTGCCTCAGTCATAGTACTGTGCCCTGGGGTTGGGGGATGTGGGAAAGCAGACACCCTGGGCATTGATGGGAAGTGTGACATGCTACAGCCCCGCAGCCAGTGGGGAAAGCAATTTGGCAATATCTTATCAAAAGTATAAATGCATGTGTCACTTGATCCAGAAACTCCACTTCCAGGAATTTATCCTCCAGATGTACTTCTGTGTAAAATGGTTTATATACAAGGATATTCACTATGGCATGTCCTTCCATAGCAGAGGACTGGAAAAACAACTCTTACGTTCATCAATACCGGACTGGTTAATTCAATTAAGGCACACTATGTAGCCATAAACAATGATCTTGATGTACTGATATGGAATTCTTGCAGTATATGCTATGAAATATTAGAAGGCATGGACATTACATTGATATTCTCTTACAAAAAGAAGGGGAGAAGAATCTATACATGGATTTGTTTATATACAGAATGAACATTTTTAGGAGGACAGACAAGAAACTGATCATGCTGGTTGTTTCCAGGGAGGTGTCTTGGTGGCTCACGGAAGGACTTCTCATTGTTTGCTGTTGTGTACCTTTTAAATACTCAACTATGTTTATGTTAATGTATTTCTTATTTGTGATAGTGATTTTTTTTTTTTTTTTTTGAGACAGAGTCTTGCTCTGTCACCCAGGCTAGAGTGCAATGGCATGATCTTGGCTCACTGCAACCTCCACCTCCCAGGCTCAAGCAATTCTCCTGCCTCAGCCTCCCCAAAAGCTGGGATTACAGGTATATACCATCACGCCTGGCTAATTTTTGTATTTTTAGCAGAGACAGGGTTTCACCATGTTGGTCAGGGTGGTCTTGAACTCCTGAGCCTAGGTGATCCGCCAGGCTCGGGCTCCCAAAGCACTGGGATTACAGGCGTGCGCCACCATAGCTGTCCTATGATTATTTTGCATGTTAAATAAAATACATAAATATGTCAGGGGCTAGCATCATCACTCTTTCATGCAGTAACATTTTTAATTTAAAGCTGGGCAGGTTCCATTTTCAGATTTTTCCATAAAAGCATCTTTTCTCCCACCTTCCTTTCCTACAAAAGCATCTTAATTCCCTAATGGGAAAATGGAACCCATTTCCCAAGTGGGTCCTCAGCTTTGCTGCACTCCTGAAGCTGTTGACCCGCTGTCATCTTTCACAGCACCCTAGCTCCTGTCCCAGCGAGCCCCAGCCTCAGCCCCAGGGAACCCTGGCCTGGCTTCTAATGCTGTGATATGGTCCTGGTTTCTTTTATTTATTAGGAAGATTGCAATGGAGCTTTGGCCAGAGGAGACTTAAGCTGGGCTAGTCTGGGCCATTTGACTCTGCAACCCCAGTTAGGAGCTGGCAGGACGGAAAGGGAATATTGAATAAATTGCCAGGGCAGCTCCCTCAGGGACCGAGACAATGGGTCTGCAGGGAGAGGCTTTTCCTTCCAGGCCCATGGCCTGCCGTCAGGAGGAAACAACTTCCCCTTCGCCTCTGGAATGGCAGCAGCAGCAGCCAGCTGGGAGATTTATGGAGATATAATGTGACCTCTTTATTGCCCTGAATGCTAGGGAGGCATTTCAGGGGAGATTTACGCCTTTCAGAAGAGGAGGCGAGCAAGGGTGTAGAAATTTATACGTGGGGACTGTTTTCCCCTCTCGGGGGTGTCTGGGGGATTACTTAATCAAACCGAGGTTAAGCTCCAATCGCCATCACTTTACATCTTCTTCTCCTGCTAATCCACCGAGTCACCCTGCTACCCTGAAAGCTTTTTGCATGAAATATGGAGTCTAAGCCAAGTTGCAAGGGATCTGTTTAGTTCTAAGTTCAGTTAACACAAAACAAAACAAAAAATAAGAATGAAGACCACATTACCAGGGCCAGGAGACAATGCCCTGCAGTCGTGGACCTGGGCAGCACACATTTTGCCTATATAGGCCTCAGATCTTCTTTGTAAAAGGAAGGTGTTAGACCAGATGACTTAGGTGCTTCCTAGTGTGAAAAGAATCTAGATAATATCAGATCAAATGCTAACGCTATACCTTACTCTGCACCAGTGATTCTTCTGTCACTTTTTTTTTAAGCTGCAGAACTCTTTCTTCAAAGAAAATCTAATCTGAGGAAGCCCAACATTAAAGACAGAGGAATGCAATTGACTGGGTGAAAGGGTGGCTCCGCCTTCTGCCCACCACTCCTCCAGGTCCACATCCACACCCCCCGGGGTCTTGACGAAGGTCCTCCAGCCTCTAGAGGGCGCCCTGGGCTGCAGAGTTCCTGCCAAGCGCTGCTCAGGGCTCTCCTGATGCAGTGAACGGGGTCCGCCCCTGGCTTCGCTATCAGAAGCCACGCAGACCAGACTTAAAGGCAGAGGCAGGGGCAATTCCAGACGCAAGTAGAGGTGGACGCCTTAGCCAACAGTCATTTCACCTCTCTTGGTCTGGTCTCCACAACTCAAAAGTGCAGTAGTTGGAACAGATGATTTCTAGGCTCCTACCTGTGAAAGCATTCAACGTGGCACTGCATTCTAACTCTCATTTATGTTTTTAGTCCCTGTCCCCTTCAATTTGTGTTTAAATTACGCAATTTTTAATTGCTACAAAAATTCAAACAGGCCAGGCATGGTGGCTCTGGCCTGTAATCCCAGCCCTTTGTGAGGTCGGAGTATGGCTTGAGCTCAGGAGTTCAATACCAGCCTGGGCAACATAGTAACACCACATCTCTTAAATAAAATAATAATTAGCTGGGCTTGGTGGCCCTCGCCTGTAGTCTCAGCTACTCCAGAGGCTGAGGTAGGAGGATCACTTGAGCCTGGGACTTCAGGCCTGCAAGCGAGTTATGATCGCACCACCACACTCCAACCTGGGTGACAAAGCAAAACCCTATCTCAAAAAAAAATTTTTTTTTTCAAACAGGCAAACGGTACAGAAGAATGTCACGTAGAAACAAAAGGTCTCAGCTAGGCGCGGTGGCTCACGCCTGTAATCCCAGCATTTTGGGAGGCCGAGGCGGGCGGATGACCTTAGGTCGGGAGTTCGAGACCAGCCTGACCAACATGGAGAAACCCCATCTCTACTAAAAATACAAAATTAGCCAGCGTGGTGGCACATGCCTGTAATCCCAGCTACTGGGGAGGCTGAAGCAGAAGAATCGCTTGAACCCGGAAGGAGGAGGTTGCAGTGAGCCGAGATTGCACCATTGCACTCCAGCCTGGGCAATAAGAGCAAAACTCCGTCTCAAAAAAGAAAGAAAGAAAGAAACAAACAAACAAACAAAAAGTCTCCACCATCACCATGATCCCATCTCCAGGGGCAGAGGTGGCTAACAATTTTCCTGTTTTTCCAGATATCTTCCACTGCATTAATTAACATTTTTATTTTTAGAAATTTTAAAATTACATAAAAACACAAAGGACACTGTAACAATTCTGTTTATTCCCCCACCATCTGCTATCCAATCACTATATTGAATTTAGTGTATATCCTTCCAATTAATCTATATACTTCTACACACAGGGATAAATGTTCCTCTGAAGAACATAAGCATTGCTTTGCAATTTTAAAGATTTACATGAATGCTTTCTTTAAAAAATATGAAATATTTCAGTCACTGAGAAAAAAATATATAGCAAACACTCTTAAACCCACCACCAGCTTTTTCAAATCTTTGTTTTACCATATTTCCTTCAGATGTTTTTAAAGAAATACAACATTGCAGATACAGTAGATGCCTCTGTGTAACCCACAATTCCAGTCTCTTTTTTGCCTATTATGTTTCCCAGTTTTAATTATACATGTGGATCTGCTTTATTTGAGTTGATTTACAGTTTTCCATTATATTAATAAATCACATTTTACTTGTTCATTTCTTTATGGTTATGGACTAAACGTCTGTGAATAACCCAAATTTAGATCTTGCAATCCTAACCCACATGTGATGGTATTTGGAGGTTGGGCATTTGGGAGGTGAACAGGCCATCGGACGGAGCCCTCATGAATGGGATTAGTACCCTTATAAGAAGAGACAGAGGCTGGGCACGGTGGCTCACTCTTGTAATCCCAGCCCTTTCGGAGGCCGAGGCAGGGGGATCACCTGAGGTCAAGAGTTCGAGACCAGACTGACCAACATGGTGAAACCCCCCCATCTCTACTAAAGATACAAAAATTAGCCGAGCATGGTGGTGCATGCCTGTAATCCCAGCAACTCAGGAGGCTGAGGCAGGAGAATTGCCTGAACCCAGGAGGCGGAGGTTGCAGTGAGCCGAGGTTGCGCCATTGCATTCCAGCCTGGGCAACAAGAGCAAAACTCTGCCTCAAAAAAAAGAAAAGAAAAGACAGAATAGATATCTCCCTACACCCACCCCATGAGTGGATGCAGTGAGATGATGGTCTTCTGCAAAGCAGGCTTGGGTCTCTCACCAGACACCAATCTGCCAGTGCCGTGATCTTGGGCTTCCTGGCTTCCAGAACTTTGAGAAATAAGCGTTGTTAAAGCCACACATTCTATGGTATTCTGTTACAGCAACCTAAACTGGCTAAGACACTTACTGATATATATTCAGATTGTTTTCAGTTTTTTGCTGTAATAGCAATGCTTCATCAGGCATCCTTGTACATGTCTGTTTATACACATGAGAAAAGTGTATCTAGGATATAGGAGATATATTTTAGCCATGTTCAAATGTATATGTATAAAACACTTATGCTTGGTTTGGTGCTGTTTAAGCTGTTATGCTGTAACAAACAAATAGTTATTTGTTTGCTGTTCACATTACATGTCAGCTGCAAGTTGGCCGAAATTCTATATGTATGCTTCAATTGGACATGCAGGCCGAAGGCAAAACCTCTATGTGGTTCATGCCAGCCTCGTGGCAGGGGGCAAAAAGTAATGACAGAACCACGTAATGGCTCTTAATGCCTCTGTGTGGAAGTTGCATAGTGACTTCGAGTCACATATTCTTGATCAAAGCAAGTCTCATAGCCAAGCCTGTGTCATCGGGGTGGTGGAAATAATCCTCACCAGAAATGGGCTCCCTCAGTACAGGAAAGAACAGAGCAGTGTGCTGAACACACGTGGGATCATACCATGGATACTCCTCTGCAGCTGTTTCTGCAGGGACGCATATCTGTTTAGACATTTTTCCATATCAGCACAGATCTACTTCTCTCTTCGAAGAGGATTTATTAGTTTGGCATTGTTAAGGCACATAACACTTACATTCTACTCCATAATTCTCACAGCTGTTTAGCTGTACATGATATTTGAAAGGATTCAATGCTAATGCCAATCTTTTTATGCCACAGCCTCCCCATTCCTAATACCTTGGCTGCATTTCAGCAAGTAATTTTTCACTGCTACACACAACAGGGCTGCAATGAACATCACTGCTTTAGCTTCCGTGCCAGTGTGTCTCTAGTTTGTTTTGATTTCTGATAAGGCAAGTTCCCCTTTCTTAAGTCTCCTTTTAAAAAATTATCTTGGCTATTCTTGTACAATAACTCTTTCATATAAATTTTATAATCAGCTGGACACGTTGTATTTAAGAAATCTTGCTGGGATGTTTCCTGAGACTGTGTTAAATTTATAGATTTGTTTGAGGGAGTTTGGAATAAAGAATGCTGCCAACTTTTCCAATCCAAGGATCTAGTATCTTTCTCCATTTATTCATGTCTTCTTTTATGCCCTTCAGTAAAGCTTTATAGCTCCCTCCACAGGGAATTTACATTTGTTTAGTGAAGTTGACCAGTATTTTATCTGCAAATAATGAAAACATTGCCGCTTTCTTTCCTATCTCATTCATTTTATTAACAAGGAAATTTACTCCTGGCAACCCTAACCCACATGTGATGGTATTTGGAGGTTGGGCATTTGGGAGGCGAACAGGCAGGAGAGCTGAGAGGTATGGACCAGCTCTCGAAGTCTTTCCCTCCATGTGGTCTGGATTTATATTATATTCGGCAGTTTTCTATAGTTGGGGATATGAGTTATCTCTTAATTTCACTGCAGATAAAAGTTTTACTTGATTTGGGGGGTTCTTTTCATCTGATGTGCTGGTCTTCGGGGAGGAAAGGGAGAAAGCAAACCTTTACTCTGCTAGCCTTCGCAGGAAGTCTCTACCTCCTCTTCAGACCAGACACACATCCTCCTCAAATTCCGTCGGCTCCTCTTCCTCTAGCCTCCAGACTCGGGTTCACCTGACGTGTTCATGAATCTTTATGGCAATCAATCACATCTATCTTGAATTATCTATTTTATCCTTGTTTTGCAATAGCAGTTAGTTTTTTGGTGTTACTTCACGTTTTCTTCCCAACCTCTCTCCTTCTGTTTTGTTTTGTTGCTCTAGCCTCAGAATTCTTTAGCCAAGCAAATCAAACATTTACAAATCAAATATAAAGTAGATGAAACGGAGCTTCTCTGCAATAGGGGCCCCACAGACCCTGCTCTCAGCCTTCCTCCCATCTAAAGCACCTGCACTGAAATCAGTGCCCCTGGAGAATAGTTCGATGACAATACGTCTAGTAGTTCCATCTGCCTTTTTACAAATACATTTCACTTACTTGGCAGACATCTTAGGTAGAGCATGAAGCTGCTACAAAATCTACAGTCTTTTATTACACATGGTTAATAGCTTTAATCCAATCTGATTTGCATTCCAAAGAAATTTTAAAAGTGCATCCACTCCTATATTTTATGAATGTGACTTAAAATTTTAATGCAGATTATAAATATGATAGATTTGCAGATCAAAACTCGGTTGCTTGTAGTACAACATTTAAAAATCACCATTTTCCACCTCCTCACCAAGGATAACCTTCTCCTTAGTGATCAGCCCTGCTGTGATAGCAGGATAACACTGAGGCTTGGGCAAAGAGAAACACTGAAGAGCCAGAAAGGCAATCTTGTAGAACCAATTCTGGATGGCTAGTTCTACCTAATCGTCCATCAATGCTACTTACACCTTTGGCCAAAGAAGCAAATAGAATGAAGTGTTAGGAAAAAGGTTTTCACAATTTACTTTCTACTTACTAAGCTTGTACACTGCCTCTCCATTTTTCTCTTCTTTAAATTGTGATAAAATACATATAAAATTAGCCATCTTAACCATTTTTAAGTGTACAGTTCAGTGATAGTAAATGTGTTCACACTGTTGTGAAACTAATCTCTACAACTGTTTTCATCGTGCAAAACTGAAACTCTGCACCCATTAAACTCTAACTCCCCATCCTCCCGCACCCCGATCCTGGCCCCACCACCTGGCAACCCCTCTTCTGCTTTCTGTCGTCATGAATTTGACGGCTCTGGGGGCCCCACAGAAGTGGGATCATAGAGTGTTTGTCCTTTGGTGACTGGCTTGTTTCACTTAGCGTAATGTCTTCAGGATTCATCTGTTGTAGCAGTGCAAGACTTCCTTTTTAAGGCTGAGTAATACTCCACTGAGCACACAGACCACATTTGTTCATTCATTCATCCACGGATGGACACCTAGGCTACTTCCACCTTTTGGATATTGTGTCTCTCTCTTTTAATCAATAATGCGCTCATTTTTACAAGAAAATAAACATTGGGAATAAATGTAAACTCAAAATACATCAATCAAATGTGGATCACTGTGGTTTTGCTGATCCAGCCAGGAAACTCCTCAAAACCGGGTCTTCATAAGACTCAGTCTTCCAGGAGGAAACTCAGAGGCAGTGGTAGCTGCAATATTATTCTCTTGCTGACCAAGAGTGAACAGATTACAGGTAAGGAAATGAAAAACCAGAAAAGTCAGGACCAAAGGAGAATCCTGCAGCAACAAATGGAGAGGGAAGGAAGACTGCCCGAGAAGCTCGCCCTGACAGAGCCGTCCAGGCACGCGGGCTGCACCTCAGTGGGCACTGGGCCACATGCCCTGAAATGTGAGCTCCCAAGGCAGATGACACGAGACAAACAGAGAGGGCACTGGCCGGGGAAGTCAGGCTGACCTAGGTCCCGCCAGCCTCGGGCCTTCTGTGGCCTTGGGCAGGTCCCTGTGACCTGGGTTTCTTCTCCTGCCCATGGACATTACAGTTCCTGCCCACAGGACAGTCGCTGGAATAAATAACAAAACAATGCCAGGGCAGCAGGAAACATCCTAAGCGCTCAGTGTTGGCTGGGCCTCAGTGCTACCACCAAATATCATCCCTTTTCCCACAGCTGCTCTGCTGACCAGGCTGGCCATGGCCTGAACACCCAGGAGCCATCCTCCTCTTCGCTGTCTGCACCTCTGCCTAGTTCTTGTCCTCAGGCCCCTACGTGGAGGCCAGACAAAGCTCCCAGCTCCTGACCAGAACAGTACAAATAATCACTCTTCAGATCCCCCTGTTTCACATTCTATTCCGATTTTTAGTAAAATCATTAAAACATCCCCGACAGTGACTGTTCACCTTCACTGAATCTCACAGATCATCAGAGGTAGAAGGGCCCATAGATCTAAGAGGTGTCTGGTTTCAGTTCACTCATCTTCACAAGAATCGAAAGCCTAGGCAAGCCCACTTGGCTCCTCTGAGATGGACACCACGTCCCTGTCACTCCTGCAGCGAAGACAGCTGGATCCTTACTCCAGCCCACAAAACCACTCACTGAGGCCAGGCACGATGGCTTATGCCTGTAATCCCAGCACATTGGGAGGCTGAGGCAGGAGTATCACTTGAGCTCATGAGTTCAAGACCAGCCTGGGCAACATGGCAAAACCCTACCTCCAAAAAATATAGACGTTAGCTGGGCATGGTAGTAATTCCAGCTACTCAGGAGGCTGAGGTGTGAGGATTCCTTGAACCCTGGAGGTAAAGACTGCAGTGAGCCATGATCACGCCACTGCACTCCAGCCTGGGCAATGGAGCAAGACCTTCTCTCAAAAACAATAGAAACAACGACAACAAATAGTAAGTGGTAGGAATATCCAGGAATTATATATTGGGTTTAAAAACCAAAAATGTATAACGACTAACTAATAAGTAACTCCTCATTTTCCTTCCTTCTCCAAACTCACTCAGAATTGAGCAACCACCATGGGTCAGATGCATTTCCAGGCGGAAATTCACAAGGCAGCGGACTTAACCCCTGCTTTTCAGCGAACACAATTTTGCATCATGATAATTCAAGCTGGAATGATTCACTTATTTCCAGAGATTACTAGAGACCAACGCTGTGAGGGCTTTCTCAGAACACACACTACTGAACTACACAGTCCTTCTTCCTTTCTGTGTTCAACCTAAGTAGCTTCTGCATTTTTTTTTTTTTTGAGACACAGTCTCGCACTGTTGCCCAGGCTGGAGTGCAGTGGCACAGCAACCTCTGTGTCCTGGGTTCAAATGATTCTCCTGCCTCAGCCTCCCAAGTAGCTGGGATTATAGGTGCATGCCACCACGCCTGGCTAATTTTTTGTATTTTTAATAGAGATGGGGTTTCACTATGTTGGCCAGGCTAGTCTTGAACTCCTGACCTCGTGATCCGTTCACCCTGGCCTCCCAAAGTGCTGGGATTACAGGCATGAGCCACCGCGCCCAGCTGCATTTTTTCTTTTTGTTCAAACATCACTGGAGAAAATCATCTGGTCCCAACTCCCTCAGCTAGATCTTTTTTTTCTTGCTCTGTCACCCAGGCTGGAGTGCAGTGGCACGATCATGGCTCACTGCAACCAGGTTCAAGTGATTCTCCTGCTTCAGCCTCCTGAGTAGTTGGGATTATAGGCACCTGTCACCACACATGGCTAATTTTTCTATTTTTAGTAGAGAAGGGGTTTCACCATGTTGGCCCGGCTGGTCTCGAATTCCTGACCTCAAGTGATCCTCCCACCTCGACCTCCCGAAGTACTGGGATTACAGGCGTGAGCCACCACGCCTGGCCGTCAGCTAGGTCTTTAAACTATTCTAAAGCTATGACTATAACCCCAATTAGTCTGTGCTTATCTAAATGTGCCCCCCTATGTAAGAGAAATTATAGACAGTAAGTTGGATATGGGGTCTATGACCTAAATGTAGATTAATACTGAGAAGGAAGGCAAATTCTCACTAATATAAAACCCCACTTAATTCAACTTGGCAGCCTCCTGTGCAATCTAACCCTTTATGGTATTGAATCCAGGGCTGGGCACAGTGGCTCAAACCCATAATCTCACCATTTTTGGAGGCTGAGGAAGGAGGATTGCTTGAGCCCAAGAGTTGAAGGCTACAGTGAGCCATGACCATGCCACTGTACTCCAGCCTGGGCAACAGAGCAAGACCCTGCCCCTACAGAAAGTAAAATGATAATTAAAAAAAAAAAAGCTGGGTATGGTGGTGCACACCTGTAGTCCCAGCTACTTAGAAGGCTGAGGAAGGCGGAGTGCTTGAGCCCAGAAGTTCAAGGCTGCAGTGAGCTATGATCACAGCACCGCACTCCAGCCTGAGCATCAGAGCAAAACCCTGTTTCAAAAACAAAACCAAAAATAAAACAAAAAAGATACTATTTTCAATATTTCCTTTAATGATAATAGCATTTATTAATGGTTGGCTTAATGACTAATATTTGGCTGGGTGCAGAGGCTCACGCCTGTAATCCCAACACTTTGGGAGGTCAAGGGCGGTGGATCACCTGACATAAGGAATTTGAGACCAGCTTGGCCAACATGATGAAACCCCATCTCTACTGAAAATACAAGATTAGCTGGTGTGGTGGTAGGCGCCTGTAATCCCAGCTGCTCGGGAGGCTGAGGCAGGAGAATCGCTTGAACCTGGGAGGTAGAGGTTGCAGTGAGCTGAGATTGCACCACTGCACTCCAGCCTGGGCAACAAGCGTGAAACTCCATCTCTAAATAAATAAATAAGTAAATGCAGACTAACATTTATAGACACTTACTACATGCCGAGTACTATGCTTTATGAATAATATTTCTTAGCCTCTATGGAGTAGTTTCCATTCCAATTTTATGGGCATGAAAACTGGGTGACATTATACGGGGTAAAGCTGGATTTTTTTTACTTTTTTTTTTTGAGACAGAGTCTCACTCTGTCACCCAGGCTAGATCACGGCTCACCGCAGTCTCCACCTCCCAGGCTCAAGTGATCGTCCCACCGCAGCCTCCCTAGCTGGGGCCACAGACAGACACTACCATACTGGGCGAATTTTTTGTATTTTTAGTAGAGACAGGGTTTCATCATGTTGCCCAGTCTGGTCTCGAACTCCTGAGCTCAAGCGATCTGCCTGCCTCAGCCTCCCAAAGCGCTGGGATTACAGGTGTGAGCCACCGCACCCAGGCTAGCAGGAATTTTAAATCAGGTGCCTGACTCCAGCTTCTTTAACCACTTACTAGACTCTAGTGCCTCTCCTTATCAACTGTCAAATAAAAAGTTGGCGGTCCCCATAAAGATTATAAGCAAAATCCCTGAAAACAAATGAAAAAAGGGTCTGGCTAATGGGCTCCCCCTTCACCAGGAACAGCTGCTTATATGGCCAGCTCTCCCCCCTTCCCAGCAGGCGGGTCCATTCTCCTCTTCCTTCTCCCCCCATCCTCTGCTTTGTCCTGGGGAAAGGGTCCCCATTATTAATGCCACTCCTGGAGATGTGTTTACACAGGGGAGGAAACTCAATATCAACATTCCCCGAAGAAAAGTGTCTTGTCACTTCTGTGAAGGTTTTCAGGCAGTGAGTCACTATCCTCCAAGACTGACAGGCACTTACCGCCTTTAAACGCCTTTAAACAGGGTCTGAAGGGAGCTTGTTTCCCTGTGACGTTTGTTATGATGAGGCTGAGAGGCATGGCTGGCACGCACAGCTCTCCTGGTGCCTCAAGGGGCTCTCCAGGAAGGATCATGGAGAATCTACACAAAGTGAGTTGGAGGGAAAAACAGTGGGCTGAGGCACCCAAGATGGGAAAGGACAAACTAGATGAGTGAAAACTCCGGAAGTCTCTGCAAGCTGGCAGGGAAAGATTGTGAGTCATCTGCTCCAGGTCCAGAACACTGATGGAATGTAAAGATGGCAGGGGGCCTTTGGAAGCCAGGAGGGCACCATCAGGGCCCAGCAGAGCATCAAGGGATCAAGTGAGGATGCAAGGGGTGTCTACAGGCAAACACGGGGGCACACGCCTATCCACTTCCTCATCTCCCTTGCCTGGCTCTGGGCCTCCCAAGGCCTCCAACTGCATCAGAAGGCAGCTCTGCAGAGCTCCTCCTCCACCCCTCTGCACCGCCCCCACTCCCCTGGGGGCTCTCTCCTGCTCTCAAGGGTTCAAACAGAGACTGGAGTATCCCACATGTGCACCAGCCCTTAGCCCTCAGAGTCCAGCCACTGCCACCTGTCCCCCTGTCCCTGGGACATCTCCACCTGCACCTTTCTCCCTGCCTCAGACCCAAGAGGTCCCCGGTGTTGGCCACACCTCACTGCCCTGTTCCCGTGTTACTACCTTTGAGAACATAATGTTAGAACTTTCTGCGCTCTTCTCTCGCTTCCTGGCCTTCTAGGTTTTGGGCGCCTTTGCTACCTCAGTCTCCCTGGCGTCTCTCAGGGTCCTTCTCCCTGTAAAACTGGCCAGGGATCCACATGGGCTCATCCCTGGGCTTCTGTTTCTCAGGTTCCTTTTACAAGGATGGCTCCGCTCCCGCCGAAGATGTCTCAGCAGAGCCTTTCACAGAGGTCTGAATATGTGAGCCAAAGCTGCCAAATGCTTCAGGATGGATTCCGGGCTGCATCTTTTCTGTGAAGGAATACGTGCATGTGTCCTGTATGTACCAGGTGATGGTATTCCGGACCCCAGAAGGAAATGTGGCATAATTCTTGCCCTGAAAATACTTCCAGGCTAGTGGAACTATAATCCAAATAAAAGGACAGCACCAGAAGGTAGAATGAGAACAGAGGCCACAGGCTGACGCTCAGGAATTGTGGCTGGAGATGAGTCAAAAGCTGCATGCAGAGACAAGCCACACAGAGATGCAGAGGCCAGAAGCCACCCCACCCCCCGGGCCCAGGCCCCTTTCCCGCCACTGGCTTTCATGCACTTGCAAGATGCACCTTCTGCTTCCCTCTTTGAGGCCATCAGTACCAGATGGATTGCCAAGGTGCCGAGTAATAATGGCTTAGGGTCAGCACTCGCTGTGAGCCAAGGCTGCTGGGTCCACGCTCTTCCCTGCCACGACAGGCAGGCAGCAGCAAGTCTGACCTCCAGAGTGAAGAGCGAGGGGCAGGAGTTTCACGAACCTTGGCCATCCCCACTAAGACCAAGACTCACCCCAGCCTGCGCAGTAAAACCCAAGCACTCTCCAGAAATACTGTAGAACTTGCTCTTCTCCCAACAGGAAACCAGGCAAAAAGAGGCCTTCGGTTCTGCAAGTTCCCTCCCTGGCAGTGGCATCCACTTCCCAGCGTGTGCCCGGAGCCGGAGGCTTCTGAAGGTGGGGGCCAGTACGGAATCAGATTCCCCAGCCCTTGCGTGATGCACGGGGCTTCAACAGGACTGGGGGTGAGACAGTCTTTCCTAACTTTCACAACCTACTCAAAATGTACTCAACTCCCTATTCAAAAGTTCCTCCAGACTTTCTCCACCCAGCAAATAAAGCTATTGGGAAAACATGGATCTAAGTCCCTGCTGGGGAGGATGATGACATTGGCCTGGGCCACATGACCGGATCCCATTTGCTACAGGGTATCCCTCCTCCCTCATCTCTACCCCAGCCCCACAGGGACTGCATGGGCTGCGCACGAGGCTCCAAGGACAGAGCGTGACTCCTTCCATGACAACACAGAAGGACAGCAGAGAATGAAAGGCGGTGAAGCAAACGTGAAGGCCACCCCTGAGCGGGCAACGTCAGGATGACCCACCCCCAGCCCGTGTACACTGCGGGCATGAGGGGCACATGGAAGGCGTCTTACACATACAGCTCTTCCCTTCACACTGTGGCTACAGGAGCTCAAGAGAAAGACGATGGCCACTGGCTCCCCCATGGCCTTCCTTCCCTATTTGGCCTGTGACTTTCCTTCCCTCCATGTCCTCTGTCATCACCCACTCACTCCCAAGGCTGGGTTAGGCCTCTGATCGCCTCCTCTCTCAAGACTCTGCCTTCAGCCTCCATGTGGGCAATGCATTTGATACACACACACACACTTCTTTGTGCATGTGTCCCTAAGGCACTTATTTATTCATGCCTGCCCATGTGCCACCAGCTCACGAAGGTGATGAGGAGCCCACAGCCAACAGCTAGAAACACTGGAGGTGAGCCCAATGTCAAAAGGCAAGACAAGGCAAGCAACACAGGGCGGGTTTCAGGACTCGTACTGCTGGTGAAGTGTTCCTATTGTTACTCAGAGATGAGGATGTTATGACATACAGAAAATGAAGAATTACGTTGGAGATGTTGAGAATGGGATTTTTGGAAAGACTGACAGATGTAAAGATGCCATGAAGGATATAAAATGGTGCAGTCTCTGGAAAATGGGATGATGGTCCCTAAAAACCACATAGCATTACCCTAGGATCCAGCAATGCCGCTTTTGGGCATATACCATAAAGAAGTAAAAGCAGGGAGGTGAATAGATATTTGTTCACCCATGTAAAAATGGCGGCATTATTCACAATGGTCAATGGGCAGACGCAACCCAATTGTCTATGGAGGGATGAATGGATAAACAAAATACAGTATCGATCCATACAATGGAATATTATTCAGCCTTAAAAAAAAAAGACATGCTGCATTCTGACATGCTACAAAATGGAGAAACCTTGAAGACACTATGCCAAAGGAAACGAGCCCGTCACAAGAGAATACTGTGTCCTTCCATGTAACTAAAGTAGTTACATTCAGAGAGACAGAAAGCACAATGGGGGCTGCCTGAGGCTGGAGGGAAGGGGATACGGAGACGTTATTTAATGGGTACAGAGTTTCACTTGGGAAGATGCAAGAGTTCCGGAGACTGCTGGGGGTGATGGTTGTACAATACTGTGGATGTACTTAATGCCACCCAACTGTACACTTAATAATGGCTAAAACGGTACATTTTATCTTATGTATAGTTTAAGATAATTTTTTTAAAAAGATGAATGAAGCAAGTAAAAGCCTTTTAGCCCTAAATTTGAATTGAAAGCATCAGTATGAAGACATGCTGTATTTTATCTTATCTTTGGGGTAGGAGGGGTACGTATTTCCTGACTCTGCATGTTGAATGACTAACCCAATAGCAATAAGCCCAGCTGGCAGAGCTAGCTCTGAGATTGATCTCCAAACGCCATTCCTCACTAACAGGAGCCAGGTTTCTTGGGGCAAATGGCCAAATCCAGGCCTGGCAAGAGAAAACTCATAAAAAGAGATTAGGACATTTTATAGGATGGAAAGCAAGAAACTATTAAACTAAGATTTTGTCAAAAGAGCTCAGTTTAAGCAAGTTCCCTCTAGCAAAGATAGGACAATCTGAACATCAATCAGGATATATGGATAGAAACACATCATGCTTGTTTAAACCCATGAGGTTTTTTTGTTTTTTTTTTTTAACACAGGGTCTTGCTGATTGCAGTGGTTGGACCATGAGTCACTGCAGCCTCGAACTCCCAGGTCAAGCAATCCTCCCACTTCAGCCTCCCAAGTATCTGGGACTACAGGCACATGCCACCACCCCTGCCTAATTTATTTATTTATTTATTTATTTTGTAGAGACAGGCTCTCACTATGTTGCTCATGCTGGCTTCAAACTCCTAGGTTCAAATGATCCTCCAGCCTCAGCCTCCCAAAGTGCTGGGATTACAAGCATGAGCCTCTATACTCAGCTGAAGTCCATGAGTTCTTAATCATGCTGAAAACAATTTCATTTCATTGGTAATTGTTGAAGGATGCTAGAGAACTAATTTGTTCTTTTGAACAATGAAAAGTAAAGCGACTGTAGCAGGCATGTATCCTGCCTTTCCTAGACAAACTGTACCTCCAAGTAACCAAATATTCAATAAGCTAAAAATGTGCTTGTTGCTATAGAAGAATTCCAGCTAACAAATGAAGAAGGAATGGTGGCAGTAGAATATTACCATTAGCAATGCCTAACAAAGTAAAGGGTCTAGGCAATGAGCATCCAGGGCTGCTGCCATCACAAACTTGAATCTGAGTGTGCCTATTTTTCCCATCACAGACTTACATGAGCAACAGGGGACAGAGGAATATGTTCAATGTCATGAAGAGAAGGCAGTCAACAAAATCCAGTCTGCAGAAGTCCTCTGGGAAAAGCCTCATTTCTTTAGCAAACAGAATGCAAGGAGAAGAAAAGGAGATGAAAGAGAAACCCATAGATTAAAAGAAACTTAACAGGCATAACACAGGCAATGCTTAGACCTCATTTAGATCCTGATTGGAACAAGGCATTAAAGACAATTAGACAAACTGGGAAATTGAACAGTGACTGGATATTGAATGATATTAAAGAGTGACAATTTGTTTCAGGGTGATAACATGGCAGTGGGGCTGTATTTTTTAAAATAAAAGAGTCCTCGTACTTTTCAGACATATATACAAAAGTATTTGTGGGTAAAATGACATGCTGTTTGGAATATGCTTCAAAATAACACTGTGTGGGGGAAAGTGAGTAATGTATAGATTAAACAGCTGGTCATGAAATGATATTTGTCAAAGCTGAGGGATGAATATTCTACTCTCTATTTTTATTATGTTTGAAATTTTTCACATTAAAAAACTTATTTAGGTGGGGTGTGGTGGTTCACACCAGTAATCCTGGCACTTTGGGAGGCTGAGGCAGGAGGATCGCTTAAGCCCAGGAGTTAGAGACCAGTGTGGGCAACAAAGTGAGAGTCTGTCTCAAAAAAATGTTTTTTAACCTATTTAAAAGGTAGAAATTGAACTTAAAATTAAAGGAAGGGTGATGGATCAAAGTGAGAGAGGTTCAAATGAGAAAGAAAGATCGGTTGATCTGAGCCCTTCCTCTTCACCTCTACACCTCCTGGGAGGTAGGTGAATCCACCCTACAGGGTCTGGCAATCCATCCTTGCATCATAGTATTGTCCCCTGTAATTATCTATATTGTAATCCTATGTCATCCCACCACCTTTAGAGAAAGTACAAGAAGAGGGCAGAATTACAAGATGCTTGACCTTCTGGGTCAGACGAACACTCCTCTTCCTTCCCAGGGCAGGGCTCCAGATTTGGGGACTAAAATTGGCTTGAGTTTTGTCCCCTCTTGGCCCTCAATTTGAACTCAAACCACACAGCCGCCGTGCCCTGCTGCCGAAGCACACCACATAAATCCTCCAAAACTGGCCTGTAGCGTGCGGCTTCATTTTAACCAGAGTTCCTTCTCCGATGGGAAATGGGTGACTCAGCGGGAGGCGCTCATCACCCTGCTTGGGTGCAAAACAAAACCAACAGCCAGGAGCTTGCGCCTTCTTATACCATAACCAAAGCGCTATATCTGAAGTGCTGCTCGAATCCTGCTCACCTTTCCAGCATTCTAACATCCCTCAACGCCGTGCTTCTGCTTGCATTCCTGCCTCGCGCCCTCCACTCGGGACTGCAGAACAGCCTGATTCAAGCTAAGTCCTGGGCTCAGAATGGCCTTCCTATAGGCAGCAAACGCCTACTCATCCTTTAGGATGCCACAAGTCTGCCTTGCCCAGGAAGCCTGGCCTTGACTTCAGGCGCCCAGGCCAGTTTCGGTATCCTAAGGGCTCCGTAGAACCCACTTTCGCCCCCTTGCGCTTCAGATCCCCTGCCCCTAAGAGTGCACATCCACGTGTTCCCTCCCCTAGCAAGCTCTAAGTTGCTGGGATTCGGAGACACTTCTGTTCATTTTGTATCTTTACAGCCTGACCAGCGCCAGGCTCACAGGGAATGGGGAGAAGTATTTATTGGCTGGTGGATGGATGAAACAAATCACGCATGTGGAGCTGGGGTGTGAAGGGAGCTGAACTTCTATGAAATCTCCACCACTGCCTAGACCTGCAGACAACACTCAGTGGGTTTATTAACTGAAAAGCAAAGCCCAAGCAGCAGGAAACTCAGAGCACCTGAGGTCACTTTGCATAAGAAAAACAATGCAGCCGTATAAAAAAAAAACCAGATCAGGTCTCTTGAGGGAACATACATGGAGCTGTAGGCTATTATCCTTAGCAAAATAATGCAGGAAAGGAAACTAACCGCATGTTCTCACATATAAGTGGGAGCTGAATGATGAGAACTTATGAACACAAAGAAGGAAACAGCAGATGCTGGTATCTAATTGAGAGTGGAGGGTGGGAGGAGGGAGACGAGTAGAAAAGATAAGCATTGGGTACTGGGGCTTAATACCTGGGTGATGAAATAATCTGTAAAACAAATCCCCGTGACACGAGTTTACCTATGTAACAAACCTTCACATGCACCCCCAAATCTAAAATAAAAGGTAAAAAGAAAAGATGAGTCCATCAAACCCAAGATTTCACAGAGTTGCTTAAAACAAGGCAGGCAGCCGTGGAAACCTACCTGACACAGGCAAGCATGAATTCGAGTTTGATGTCCACGCAGGCACAGGAAGGCTTAATGTTAATGTGGCCTCTGTGGTACCGGGAAAGACAAAGTCAGCCTGAATGACTATCACGGGGCATGCCGGAAGACACTCGATTTTAAACATCTCCAAAGGGCGGTAGAGCAGTCCTTCTCACCATTGCTGTACCTGACCTGAATTCTTCACCTTACAAATGGCCACACAAGCAGAGAGAGGCAGTGAGTCACACCGCAGGAAGAGAAGGGTCTGGGAGAGGAGCCCAGGGTTTCTCCGCGCCAGACCAATGTGCTTTCACCTCCCTGCGGCTGCTGGGATCTTGGGTCACCCCTTTTCAAATAGCAGATTTCAGCGCTGCAACTCCCATTCCCCAGTGAGGCCTAGTAAATCACACGTCCTGGGGGCACCTCGCTTCAAGGACCCTAATTTAAAACTTACAAATATGCTTTAGTTTTAAAGTGGCTATAAATTATATACCATAAGATTAAAAAATATGTTTTTACACCCAACTCTTCCATTCAGCTGTTATTGACAGTGCTGGTCAATTTCTCATTTCTGCTTTATTTAAAAATGGCATCAGTGTTTAAGGATCCAATCTGGGTCACTAATTTTACAGAAATTGCCATCAGTGCTGAAATGACTTTAAACAGTAACTTGCACGACTACTTAATAATGTAGTTATACACATACCTGTGTATGTAGGATAACTGGAAGTCAAGGATTAATGCCTAACAGTGGTTATCTTTGGATGGTAAGATTACCAATTATTTTTACATTGGTTTATGTGAGTTTTCCATTTTTCTATAATAAATATACATTGAGTTTCATAAAATAAAGAAGTTTCCCTTATACTACTTGAAAAAAAATTACTACGTGTTTCTCTGAAGCCATTTTTGCCTGGAAAGCATTTTCTTTTTTAAAATAAGCAGTATTTTCCTACATCTGTGCACTCCGTGGGAACTACATTCTTTATTTCGGGTCAAGTTAAGTTCTCCCCAAATGCTAGGGAAAGGTTTTATTTGTTGTTTGTTTTCCCCGCCTACTCAATTTTGAGGGGCAACCTGTATTATTGCCTGTCTTTACCTGGTTTGATTTATGATCTTGGAAGTCAGGTCATTCTTTTCTAGGTCAAAGAAGGAAAAAAAAAAAAAGGACTCCCCCACCTAATACCTGATAAAATATCTGAAAAGGTCATTGCAGACCTTGACGGAGACACAATTTCAACCCAAGCTGATAAAACAACAACTAGCAAACTTTTATCAGAATAAAATGTAACTTTGCCATTTCCCAGCTCAATTGATGAACTCTTTTTTATCTAAAATGACAGATATCATAAGATAGGAAAACCTCTAGATAAGCAACCAAATTGAGTTGTTTGAATCAGATCTGATTGTCTGCCCCTGGTTCAAACTCCCACACCTGCTCGGAATGGGTCAATGAGCGCCTCCTGGCATGGTCCCGAGGGGTTTGGAAACATTGCAAAAGTGGTGAACTTTGAGACTTCAGCGTTTATTCTGCGATTATAATTAACCTGCTCACCAGTTGCTATCGATCAGTTCTAAATGGAGGCGATAAGGTTTGACTGGATTTCTAGAAGTAGAAATGGAGATTTCAACTGGGGAGTAGAAAGGAAGATTTAAAAAATAACTTAAGGACTGATTAGATTTTAAGAAGCAAAACTGGATTTGCGATTAGGGGATCCCAAAACCCATGGCTTTGATCTGCCTGGAAGAATCGTGAGGAAGCTTGAGTACAAAGGAAAACTCCAAAATTCAAAATTCCCACCAAATTGTGGTAGTAACTTCTTGATTTTTTATCCTCCAAAATAAAATATATCTGTAACTATTCAATGTGGGTTACAGACAGCCTCAAATTTTACTTGCAGAGGCTTTTCAATGACTTTAAACACACAGAATGGCCCACCTGTCTGGATTTTACTCCTCCTTTGGAGGGAAAATATATTTTAAAACATCAGGTCAATTCTTGGGCTCCTGCAAAATGCAGAAGGCCAGAAAACCAAATTCCCATCATTCAGATAAGAAACTTGAATATCGTGGCTCAATTCTGATTACAGAGCAGTAATAGATAAAAGCATAGGCCACCTGCCAGAAACAAGAAAACTTCCACTGATGGGCTGCTACATTCAGTTCAGACCAATTCCACGGGGCTTTTCCTGCCTGGGGTTTTAGTCATTGTCTTGATCCATGCCCCATTCTTATCTTTACTAAAATCATCATTATTGTGCTTTTATTATGATTTTCTCCTCTTCTTTCTCTGCTTTTACCACAAATATATTTGAAATCTTCAGAGAAAAGGGAACACAGAGGGTCAGTTATAGATTTCTCTTAGGAAAGGGATTTTTGAGTGAGCCATATGGTTTTGCTCTTAAGCAGCCAACAGTTCCCCTAGAGTTAGGAGAATCCTCCCATTGGAAGGGTCTGAATCCTGGGAAGTCTCTTTAGTTCTCTGCACACCAGAATCCAACGGCTAGAAAGGAAGTTTGTGCAACACTGGGATTCCTAACATTGCATTCCTGAACTGCAGAGCTTACAGTTGAGGAATGATACGGAAGATTCCGTAGGACGACATTGCTCCTAGAGAGACAGTGATTGGTGGGAAGCAAACGGAAACTCAGACAAGAAGCTACCCTGGGGAGAGGAAGCGGATGGGAGCGACAAGTCATGGAAAATCCTAAGGTTTAATAGAGCCCTTCAATCACACATAGCTTCTGGTTCTGAAGAGCCAAGTGCCCTCATATCAGATTTGGCAAATACAAAGTGTGGGGAAAGGGGGAAAGTACAATCCTGCAGGTTGGACTTACCTGGGTTCCAAACCAGGGCTGTTTACTACCCACGGGGACCTGAGATTACAGGCTCTTTCTGGGTATCAGCTTTCTTTCCAGCAAAACAGAGATCATCGTATCTACCTCTTGGAGAAAGACTTCAAAGTCCCTGGCATCAGATGATTTCTTCATTGACAGGGATCCACCTTACTGTTCAATGGAATGACATGCAAGATACAGGCTACTCTCGCTAAAAAGTTGTTAGCCAGTATCCAAACGTGAATGTGCCAAAACTTATAAATGTATTTTGTATAAATTAAAACAGATTCAAGATTATTCCTATTATAACCCCATTTATATTTTCTTCCCTGCCTTCTTTAGAAGGTAACAAAAGAGTAGCTCTAGAGATAGCCATTAAATTACTCTTAGTAACCAGTTTATGTTGTATGGCATATGGGGCCATGTCATGGTCTACCAGAGGTCAATATAGCAGAGCGATACTCCTTCCCAACAGAGCCTTAACAGCTGGTTCTGCAGGCAGGCTAGGACAAATAAGTTCCCAAAAGACAAATAGTTTCAGATGTCAGAAAAGTTGCTTCAAGTTCTTAAAGCAGCAGCTCGCGTTGGCAAGAACTGCCCTCTTCTGGAACAAGGAAAGGAAAACTAGCATACTTCCTCTTTCTTATGCAGACACAAGCAGCTACATTTGCAACTGGCTTCAGCTCTAAATTCAGTACAACTAAATTGTCTTAAAATTTGTTTAAAAGAATCACCTTGCCCTGGAGGAAGGTAACTTGTTCTTCACACAATCCCACCGCTGCAGCCGGTTAGTGGTTTTCAGGCAGGTTCTAACTCCAATATAACCTGAGGGAAAACTGCCTACCTGGAGAGGTCACCATTGCCTAGTACGTGACTGTTTGTGCCCACAAGTGGGGAAGCCACAGTAGTGTGGGGCTGGGGTGTCCGCCCATTGCTGATTTAGATCCACTACCAGCACTGAGACCAGGAGTAGAGATTTCCCCCTCTCAGTAAAGCAACCTCCTGTGAAATAAGCAAAATCAAAAGCCAAATACAGGATTGCCACTGAGGATGGTTTTGATCTGCCTTGAAGAATCTTGAGGAAGCTTGAGCATAAAGGAAAACCCCCAAAATTGTAAAAGAATAGGTAAAAGACAAATTTAATAAAAAACAACTTATGCCTTAAAGCAGTTTTCCTGTGCATCCATAAACACTAAATAGAGAATCTTCTTTAAAAAAAAAAGAAAAAGATGCTACTTTCAGGTTGATTCATGAATATCATGTATCTGTTTTTTAAAACTTAATTAGTTTAATATGTTTTTAAAATTAGGTAATATAGTCACATTCTCCAAATTCAAAAGGTTTCATTTGCATACCCATGTTCATAGCAGCATTATTCACAGTAGCCAAGACGGAGAAGCAACTCAGGTGTCCATCCATGGATGAATGGATAAACAAAACGTGGTCTACACATACAATGGAACATTATTCAGCTTTAAAAAGGAAGGAAATTCTGGCACATGCTACAACATGGATGAATCATGAAGACATTATGTTAAATGAAATTAGCCAGAAACAAAACGACAAACACTGTACGATTCTACTTGTGTGAGGTCCCTAGAGTGGTCAAATTCATAAGAAAAAGAAAATAGAATGGGGGTTACCAGGGGCTGGTGTGGAGAGGAATGGGAGTGGTATTTTAATGGGCAGAGTTTAAGTTCTAAAGATCTGATACACAGCAATGCAAAGGTATTTAACACTACTGAACTGTATACTTAAAAGTGGCTAAGATGATTTGAGTTGTTTTTTTTTTCTGAGATGGAGTCTTGCTCTGTCGCCCAGGCTGGAATGCAGTGGTGTGATCTCGGCTCACTGCAACCTCCAACTCCCGGGTTCAAGCAATTCTCCTGCCTCAGCCTCCTGAATAGCTGGGATTACAGGCACGTGCCACCATGCCCAGCTAATTTTTGTATTTTTAGTAGAGACAGGGTTTCACCACATTGGCCAGGCTGGTCTCCTGATCTCACGATCCGCCCGCCTCAGCCTCCCAAAGTGCTAGGATTACAGGTGTGAGCCACTGCACCCAGCCGATGATTTGAAATTTTTACATTAAACTTAACTTTAACTTCCCTGTATGTTAAATGTATTTTCTTGTTATTAAATGGATTAATAAGGCACAGAAATGAGTATAAAAATGATTAAGGTGGTTAAAAAATTCAAAAAGTTCCAAGGCATGCATAGTGAAAGTCCCTTTTCTACCATTATCCCTCACCTACCCGCTTTCCTCCCCACAGGCAAATCTGTGTTACAAATTTTTTGTGAGATTTTGTATTTTCAAGTGAATATAATCTTTTTCTTTCTTTTTTTTAACACAAACAGTAAAGTGCTATATACACTTCCTGCATTTATAAATGTCTTTGTGAGGATTCCATACATTAGATAATGAACTTCATTATTTCTTGCCTACATAGCTTATGGTTTGTATGTGCCACGTGCATAAAAACATTCCCCTAAGGATGCACATTTAGATTATTTCCAATTTTGTTATTACGAGCAATGCTGAAATTAATATGTGCCGGTGTGCTTGTGGAACAAATCCCTAGAAGTGAAAATTCCGGAGTCCAGGCTGTCTACTTTGCAATTTTATGGCTACTACACCTAAGACTCTCCATAAAGGTCAGAGCGATTTACACTCCCACCCACAGGTATCAGAGTTCCTGTTTCCCCACACCTCAGTGTGTTTGTTTTCTTAGTGCATTTAAGTTAGAAAAGAAATGGGGAGGGATACAGAATAAAGCGTTATCTAGAACTGTCTCCCGGGCATCATTCCACCTGAGTGCTTAGAAAGTGCCTAGCAAATGTGGCCTGACCTTTTGATGGGACACAACTGGGCAAGTGACAGGGCTCACTAGAGGTAGTGACACACCCCTGGCCACCCCAACACACCTTTCTTATTTAATTCGTTCTCAGCTTAGCACCACAGACCAACCCCAACTCTGACTGACCTGCTCAGGGTGGTAACCGGAAAGTTAAACAACTTTGGTTTTCCTGAAGATCGACAAATCATTCTCCAGTCTCACAAAGTTCCCTGCACAAATGAACCGGCTTTGAAAGCCACTAGCGTACTTGATAAGCAGGTCCCAAAAGATCCAGAAAACACTTCGGGGTTTTTCACTGACCTGCACCATAAAAAAACTCTGAGAACACCTTGAATGCCCCCACTCCATCCCTAATGGGGCAAAACTTCTTTTAAATAAATTGTTTGAATAACACAGTGATATACTGTACATGTATTTCATTGTGTTGTTATTTTTATCGACTCTAAAAATGATTCAAACTTTTTGAAATCCTTGGAGAATATCATAATTGCTTATGTCTCCATTACACAAAATAATTGTTATTCCATACTTAAATATATTTTCCTAGCCTTTCCAGTAACACCTACCACCATATATCCGTCAAGGCATATTTACAATCTATTTCCATTTCGGTCTCCTTTTCAGCCTTAAGTACTCACAAGCATTAACTGGTATAAAAATCAGCTTCACTGAGGTGTAATGTACATGCAATAAAAGACTCCCATTTTAAGAGCACAGCTCCACAATTTTGCCATATGGAGATACACGTGTAACCACCGTGACTGGGTTCTTTAAAAGGAAACAGCTACGTTCTCCGGCTACGTCCGTTTCACAGGCACATGCAGATCCTATCCTAGCCCTGCAAGGCAAGAACTATCCGCAGAGCTCCACCACAAGTGCTTCCAGCGCCCAGGAGTTTATGATGAAGACAAGCCATATTCTATACTGCATTTCCACACAACCACAATTGTCTAGGAGTGTTCTTCTCACATCTAATATCTGCTCACCTTCACTAACACAGAGTTAAAAGGTCATGGTCTTTTTTTTCTTTTTTTTTTTTGCTTTTCAGAAATTTGGACACAGTCATACTCCATCTTGCTTTCATCCACTCAGTGACTTCTCCAGCCTAAAAGCCCTGCTTTCCTCCAGTGGTTCCCTGAAGTTTCCAGAACCCTCTTCCATCCTGCCCACCGTTCCCCTAGGGCTCTCCAGTTTGCTTCTTAAAGGACTCACGCAGCCATTCTGTGTGGTTGGACCCAGGCAGGGCAGAGTCCTGGGGCAATTACCACCAAGATCCCTACGCAAATATTTGCTAAGTGCCCAACATGTGCCAGGCACTTAAAAATGAGTAAGACTCTGTACCTGCCCTCAGTAAGGTCACATAATTCCATTCATGCAGCCTAATTAATGATTTTAACATTTGTCTTAGGGTCGTAGCTCATATGGAACTTGGAGTGAATTAAAGTTCACATACATTGCAGTCAGGCCACACTTATTTCTTCCAACCTAAGTTCAGGGCTTTACAGAGGCCCCTGTTAACTTTTATTATTTATTATTGTTTTGATTTTTGCCCTATTCACATAACCAACATAAGAACTATGGCAAGATATTGTTAAAACTACAGCAGTTACATAGAAAAAAAAAAGTGTTCTCTTGTTTCTCCTCATTGAAATTAAAAACAGTTTCTGAGTTAAGGTTAATTAGTCTGTATAGTTTTACCTATTGTGACAAATATATTATTTAAATCAAAGGCCAGGTTGCATTGTATTATTTCATGGTACTACACAACATATTAGTAAAGCAGAGTATATCCTTTCTTTTTCTTTTTCTTTTTTTGAGACAGGGTCTTTGCTCTGTTCTCCAGGTAGGAGTACAGTGGTGCAATCACGGCTCACTGCAGCCTCAACCTCCCTGACTCAAGCGATCCTCCCACCTCAGCCTCCTGAGTTGCTGGAGTTATAGGCATGCATTACCATGCCCAGTTAATTTTTTTTTTTTTTTTTTTTTAGAGATGTGGTCTCACTATGTTGTCCAGGTTGGTCTCAAACTCCCGAGCTCAAGCAATCCTCCCACCTCAGCCTCCCAAAGGGTGGGATTACAGGTGTGAGCCACTGCACCTGGCCTCTTTTTCTTTGTCTTTCTTTTTTTTCCTATAAAATGGTCAATATTTCTTTTTTTAAAAAATTGCTGGTTCTTTTCCTGACAAACTCCTACTCACCCTTCAAGACCAAATGAAGCTGGCAGCACTTAAATGACTACTTCCAGAATCTCAGCAGAGGGAAGAATGATGCTGCTTCTCCTTTGCTCTCAGCTGCTTCTCCTCTGCTGTTTCTTCTTTGTTCTCAGCTCATTACCAAACCACAACGATGGGTAATGCACCCATTTTCACATTGAGTGTCCAACAATCTGCGTTCACTGGGGACTGTCCCAGGTTTACCACGAACAATCCCACATTCTGGGAAAACCCTCAGTCCTGGGCACACCAGCAAAATTGGTAACTCTACATGACAGTGAGTGGCTATTCAATAAAATAACCATCATTTATGAAGGGCTAAAGCCAAATTCTTCAAAAGTATTACCTTACTTTTCTAATTTAAGGCAACACTAAAAATTGTTATGATGATCCCATTTTACAGAAAAAGAGGTGAGACCGAGAGAGGTAAGTAACTTGCCCAAGATGACACGAGGCTCCTGGAACTGAATCTAGGTTTGCCCAACTTTAAAACCCTGTGCTCCTCCCACCACACTGTCTGGCCATCTTAGGGCTCAGTGGCAACTCCTCAGAAAGCTGGGGTCAGTTCTCATCTTCCCTCCATGACTCAGGGTCAGCTACTATGTGATGCTGGTCCTCACTAAAGCTGCCAGGCAGGTAGGAGAGCCCAAGTAATGGGAAGAACATATAAAAAGCACATTCACATGCACTGGTTTTTTTTTTTTTTTTTTTTTTTTTGAGAGAGGGTCTCACTCTGTCACCCAGGCTGGAGTGCAGTGGCCTCGGGCTCATGTGAGCCTCCTACCTCAGCTTCCAAAGCTGGGACTACAGGCATGCCACCCCAAGCCTGGCTAATTTTTTAAAATGATTTGTAGGGATGGGGTCTCACTATGTTGCCCAGGCTGACCTCGAACTCCTGGCCTCAAATGATCCTCCTGCCTCAGCCTCCCAAAGTGCTGGGATTACAGGCATGAGCCTCTGCGCCTGGCCACATGCACTGCTTTTAATTTCAGTTGCTTTTATGTAAGTGCCACCTGCATAACACGCTGAAGCTATGAATGCCAACAAGTTCAACATGCCCTGTGTTCCCTCACAGAGAGCCGCACCTCTCCTAAAACACTTGGCTGGGTGCAGAAGAGAAAAACCACCCTCTAGGCCAGATTCAAAGGCTGTGGACTTCATAAGCTATCCGGGAAGAGCCCAGAGAAGGCAGGTGGCAGTTCTTGGCAGAGAGACGCACAGGGAGGTCAGCTTGCCATTTGCTGACATGGGAATTTGGGAAACATCACTTCATCAGCAACCTCTACATGGCATGGCTGACATTTCAAAATCTGAATACTGTGTGCATTCACATGGTATTTCGGTTTTTTGTTTGTTTGTTTTGAGACATACTCCCTCTGTCGCCAGGCCTGGAGTGCAGTGGAGCAATCTCACTCAACCTCCGCCTCCCGGGTTCAACCGATTCTCCTGCCTCAGCCTCCCAAGTAACTGGGACTATAAGCACACACCACCAAACCCAGCTAATTTTTGTATTTTTAGTAGAGATGGGGTTTCACCATGTTGGCCAGGAACTCCTGACCTTGTGATCCGCCTGCCTCGGCCTCCCAAAGTGCTGGGATTACAGGCGTGAGACACCGCGCCCGGCGGGTATTTCGTTTTTACACTGCTGGATGTAACTCATGACTTTTAACTTCTCTCTTTTCCTTAACCAAACACCAAATTCCCTCCAGGATTGTCGGGGTTACAAAGCAAACTCTCCCTGGACCAGTCCTTTTTTTTTTTTTTTTTTTTTTTTTTGAGACGTAGTCTTGTTCTGTTACCAGGCTGGAGTGCAGTGGCGCGATCTCGGCTCACTGCAACTTCTGCCTCCCGGGTTCAAGCGATTCTCCTGCCTCAGCTTCCCCAGTAGCTGAGACTACAGGCGCGCGCCACCACGACCGCTAATTTTTTTTTTTTTTTTTGTATTTTAGTAGAGGCGGGGTTTCAACAGGTTGGCCAGGATGGTCTCGATCTCCTGGCCCAGTCCTCCCTATTTTAAGTCAGAGGCCCCAGAGGGCCCTGGAGAGGACCCCGTAAGCGCGCAAGGCCAGGGCGCCGCGCCCCGCCCCGCACTCCCGCCTGCGGGCTCCATTGTGTGGCCATGTCGCCGCGCTATCTCGCAAAAGTCGCGGCGAGGCTCGGCCGGGCCCCTCCTCCCCTGGGGGTGGCCGTCTGGCTCCCCCAAGAGGGGTGAGGGGGAGGGGAACACCAAGAGCCACAGACCGGGCCTCGGCGCCACTTTCAGGGTTAATCAGTTTGCCGGCGATGTGTATTTGGCTGCACCCCCGGGAACCTTCCCTGGCCACCCAGGGCCAGAGGACAATTTAAAAGCGCTTCAAAGCCTAGGCCCTTCTCGGAGCCAGCCCAAGACTGGAAACCTGGCAGGGGTAGCCTTTACTCTTCAAAGTGAGAACAAATGCAGAAGGATTTAGCACTTAGTAGGTGGTCAATAAACGCGAGCTTTGCTTCTCAAGCCTGGGCTTCCCCTCCCCCACAGGGTGGGCTCAATCCAAACTCACTCCTCCGTCTCTTCCCGAAATTCCAGAGGTCGTTTGCATTTTGAACTAGGGGTTGCCACTTCCCTTTCTCCCCCGGCCCGTGTACTCAGGCCCCTTCTCAGATCCCGCTGCGTTTATTTGTGAATCAGTGGAGGTTGAGACAGGTTTGCCGTCCCTCCCCGTCTGACATCCGATGGAAACACTGCATGGAACCTACCACAACGGTTATTTCCAACCCTGGCCCACGCGAGAAGAGGAGGCTCCACGCGTGCAAGCGACTGCAAAGTCTCCATTTAACTCGGGTGTCATGAACAAGCGCGTTTGAGGTCCCTATGTTCCCGGACACTGACCGGGCGTGTGCGCCCCCCCCCCCGCTGCCCGCATGATGCGCCCACGCGCTCGGCCGGGTGGCACCCGCACAGTGCCGGCTCCTGTTCCGCGCATCTCCCCGGCGTCTCCTTTGTCCATCCCTCCTTTGTTCTCGGTGTGAGACCCCCGACGGGAAAATCATCAGCTACCCCGAGGGATCCTCCAGCTGGGCCGCCAAATGGCCCAGAAGGTCTGCGGTCCAAACCATTGTAATCAGTTCCCTGCGGAGGCCCGAGGGCGGGCGGGGAGGAAAGGGGCGCAGAAACTCAGCAATCTCCAGCACCTTCCACGAGGAAATCCCAGGCCGCTGCCCCCGGCTCTCCAGGGAGCCCGCTGTCCTCCCGCGTCACCCACAGCGCAGCGCGGCCACGGTCGATGTCTGGGATGGCGGGGAGGCCGCACTCCGACCCTGACACCATCTCAGAAGAGGCCCCGGCGGGCAGGCCCGGCCCCTTCCACAGAAGCCGGTCTTCTGGGGCTGTGATGTCGCCAGCCCCGCACTGGCTTCTGCCTTCCCTAGAAACTCGAGGTAGTGAAGCACCATCCCCAGCCCAACGAAGGCGTTGGTGGAAAAACAAGAGGCCCTCGACAGGGCTCAAGACGGCCCCTGCCCCGGCCCTCACGCGCCCCAGCCCTCGCGCTCCTACTCACCGAGATTGGGGTGTCGGGCGGCCGGGTTGGCCCGGCCGGGCAGGCTGTGCAGGACCGGGCTGTCGAAGGGGCCGGCGGAGGCGGCGGCGGCTGCGGCCCAGGACGCGCCCACGTCGGCCATGTAAGCCGGGTAGGGGCTGGAGTAGGAGCCCGCGAAGCCGGCGCGCCCGTACTGCTCGCGGCCCGCCAGGCCCGCACCCGCCGCTCCGCCGCCACTGCTGTAGGCCGCAGCTTCCCGGGCCGCGGCAGCGGCGGCGGCGGCCGCCAGGGACCCGGTGGTCCCCGGGAAGGAGAAGCGCGGCGACACCGGCGGCGGGGTGTAAGCGGCTCCGTCGGCTCCCGCCTGGCTCCATCCCGGGCTGCCCTGCTGGGTCCCGGGCCCCGCACCAGACGCGGCCCCACCGGAGCTGCCGCCCGAGGCGCCTCCGGACGCAGAGCCCGCGCCTCCGCCCTGGAGGTAGGACAGGCCCAGCACGGAGGAGGGCACCCGCGGTGTGGGCACGTAGACTGGCGAGGACGCGGCGCCCGCGCCGTGCATGAAGGCGCCGGGGCCGCCCGCCTCGTAGGCACCGGGGGGCGGCCCGTGGTTGGCGGCCATGGCCAAGCTCTGATACATGGTCCCTGCGAGCTCCCGGCTTCGGTGTCCTCTCTCTCCCTCGCAGGTCAAGGAGCCACGCGGGGAGAGAAAACGACGGCAACAACGATAATATGCGTGGGAGGAACTGTCGCGAAGATCAAAAATCAAAGGGGAAAAAACCAACTCGCTTAAAAATATATACGTATTAAATCCAGCATTGAGCAAAGGGCTCTAGGCTCTTGTTTACTCCGGAAAATCCCAATTTGAATTTTTGGTGGTTCCGGAAGCTGATGTAGGAGCAGCTGAATTCACCCCAGGGCCTGAAGGTCCGGCGCACCTATTGGGGGCAGAAGACGGAGGGCAGCGTCCAGGCCTGGAGGTGGCGCACGAGCCTTCGGGTCCCCCACTCGTCACACCGAGAGGCCTCCAGGACACCCGCGGCCACAGGCGCAGAAGCTGCTAGGCTGGCTCCTTCCTCCTCGCCGCAGCCGGGGTCCTAAAAGAGGAACGACAGAAAGAGAGAGGGTGGTTCATCCCAGAGCTTTCAGAACCCACTCTCCACTTGCGTGGTTGCTTCTTCCACGCTTCAAATGAAGTCGCCACGGGGATTTGGGGGTGCAGCTCCGGAGGCCGCGCGGTGCCGGGAAGCAGGGGCCTTTGTTTTGTCCAGGCGTTGGGTCAGGCGGCCCAGGCAAGCCTGGGGAGAGGCGCCCCAGGGACCAGGGGCTTCCCGGGTCTTTGGTGTGCAGTTATTGGTTGTGATCTTGGTCAATGATTTTTGTATTGCTTGTCAGGAAGGACTTTAATGTTACCTTATTCTGCAAGCATATTTTTGTAAGTCCAAAAGTTTGGCGTTAATGCAGAGTGCCTGGGACCCAAGAAATCTCTCATCTCCTCTGTTCCCCATCTCTCCCCAAGAAAGATGGGGAGACTGGCCTAGAAAGAACTTTAGATTGTCCTTGGGGGGACAAGGACAAACTTTACACAAAACAACAACCTAACAAAGTTTTGTTTGTAATTAAAAAAAAAAAAAACCAGAAGTAGAGTCCAAATGTTTATAAGTGAACAACGGTGTCTGCTAAGCCTCCTGAAGAGGGTTCTGAAACCCTCATCCATACACTAACCATGTGGACGTCAAATCGGACAAGTTACAGGTTTCTTGCAAATAGTTACAATTTAGACGTTTTGCAAATTGTATATCAGAACCAGAAAAGTGAGAAGAATGTACAATGCCGCTCTACAGAATAACCCACTGGACCATTCTAATTCACTGAATGGGTTCTTCATATAGAATAATAAATCCACCCATAAGCAGAATCATAACACCAAGGTGGGTGCTTGGGGAAAGAGCAGTTTGTGGAACTTGATTATATACTTCCCAGCATCCTGCGTTTTGTTATTATCAGGCAATTTTTCTGATAAAATAAGAGCTCCACTTTTTGAATTACCTGCTGTCTGAATTACCTCCAGGTCCTTTTCTCTACAACTCTACTAAGTACAGGTGTCTCTCCTCATTTTACAAGAGGGAACTGGAGCACTGGAAAGTTTTGAAACTTGTCTAAGATCAAAGTACAATCAGAAGGGGTGGGGGAAGGGAATGGGATCAGTAGGGCTCCAGGGGCTTGAAGCTGTCCACCACACTCCATTTCTCTCTTTAAGAAGAGGCAACTACTCCCGACAAAGTTTTCTTTTTTATTTCAATAGTAGATTTACAAGAATGTTAACTATATATGAATCCAGGCTCTGAGACTTACGGAATAAACACCTTTAGACAAATTACTTAGCCTCTCTGTGCCTTAGTTTCCTCATCTGCAAAATGCAGATATTAAAGGTACTTATTTTGTAGAGTCATCGTGAAGCTTAGGAGTGAGGATTATAAATTAATATTTGTAAAACACTTATAACAGATTTTTATAAAACTGTCCTAACAGGCAAAAAGAAAGTTCTAAATAACAGTTGACTATTACTACAGATTTCTAGTATAATACAAGAAAGTACCTCAAATGTATATACTATAATAAATGATCATCTTTATTACTGTAAAAATCTGGAAATGGAATCTTTAATACACACTACATAATGCTTTTCACCATTTTTTGCAACATCACTAGTAATAATAATGGAATAGTACTGTATTGTATTATATAGTCACATGGTAACTCCTAAAAGCTTATTTGCTTTCAAAATATGCAATAACTTATTGGTTTGGCAAATAGTTCATTCCAGCAAGTTTGGTTAGAGAATAGATTTTTTTAAAAATTGACCTGAGGTCACCAACTTTTCCCTTTGAAAATAAAGTTAAAGAATTATGGGTTTACCTTAATAAAAGATCCAGTATTTGACTTTTAAAATCAAGTAGCTGACCTATTTCATTGCATTTTCTGGAATACTCAACTCCTGCAGTTCTTCAAGATAATGTAATTTTTTTTCTTTCATAACTTTGGAAAAGAAAGGAGATTTAGAATTTTATAATCCAACTTCCAGTATACACACAGGTAGTAACTTGCAGACTTTAAAAGGTAAATGCAAAAAATGTCATCAATCTAATATTTGTCTTTATCACATTCTCTGCCTTTTCAAATGGCTGATATAGTGCCTGAGTTGGATTACTAGAACAACAGAAGGTGGAGAAAATACTCCTCTATAACTTTCTGGAAAAACAAGGAATTAGCTGCTCTTGGAAAACGCCTCTGGCTGGTTGTTGAAATTGAGCCTGGATCCTGCAGTTGGCGGAGAAAGCCCAGCAGCTCCCGAGGCTGCCAAAATCGGGGAGTTTTTGCTCTCCTTCTGATCACTTGTCCCAGTTCACCCCAAATTCGCAGGCCAACAGGAAATGCGCTCCCCTTTCAAGAATCAACCAATAGCCCTCTTCCGATCTATTTTTCAGAATGGGAGAATTGCAAGCGCCGAAAAGTCCCCGTCCCTTTATAGGACACTCCTCGCTGGCCTGGGTTTACGCCTCCGCTCTCGGCCTGCAGCGAGGAGGACGGTCGCACGCTAGCCGGCACAACCAAGCCGGCCGCAGCAGGGGAGGAGACACAGACGTGTGCGGAGCATCACCTCCACACCCCAGGCTTTCTTTAAAAGCCTGAAACCTGCTCTCGGTTGTCTTCCTTTTCTGGGAACACAGGAAACACTTCCCCGAGGCGCTTCCCCAACCTCCACGGTGCGGGCCGCGCTGCCCCAGGGATTCCATCGGCCGCGGGTCCCCCACCACGCTCTTTCCCCAGCCAAAAGGCCCCTCCTTTCCTCAACCTGGTGGCAGTCCGCGACCCCGGCACCCCCCTCTGCCCACGGTGACCCCTGAGCCCAAAGCCAAGCGACATAACCCGGCGGATCCGGGCAGCCCCGTGGCCGGCGGAGGGAAGTCACGGCTCCGGTCCGGGCTCGGGCCCTTGGCCAGTTTCAGGTAGAAGCAGCGCGGGCAGGTGGGGTGGTGAGCTTCCAGAGGAGCATTCAGTCCCTGGACCCCAGCCCCGAGGGCGAGGAGGCCGGCCAGAAAGGGCATGAATAGTTCCGCCACTCAGCAGCCTCTCCGCACCTCAGAGCGGCTCCCGGGGGCCCCTGAGGCCCAGCGGAGCTGCCTGGCACTGCCACCCTGCGTCCCCGGAGTCGCTGGTGGGCGACAAGCCTCCGTCTACTTCCCTCCATGTGCGAGCTGCCGTGCAGCCTGTCCCGGGCCCGTCAGTCCCGGTAACTTCACGCGGCCACCATCACCACCCAGGCCCCGGCCTGCGATATGCAAACAAGGGTTGGAGAATGTGCACACGGGGACAGGGATTGAAAGCGTTCAAGTTCACACGGAAAGAATCCAAAGGCGCTTCCAATATTTCTCTGTTTTGCCCCCAAGTCTTACTTTGACTTAAAGAAGTTGCTAAGGCAAAGTCAAAAGCAGAGCAGGGGTTGGGCAATTTCGGTGAAGTGAGTAGCGCACGTCTCTTTTCCTCCCACTAGCTACCTCTCTACCTCCAGACAAGCAAAGGCGGAGAAGCTCCGAGTTTGGGGGACCGCGGGAAGGAGCAAAGAAAGGGAAGAAAAAAGCCCTACCTGCTGGGCCTGGAGGTTCCGCGCACGCTCCCCTGGGAGCCCCCGGAGCTGCAGCGGCGACGAAGCCTCTCGCGGCCCCTGCGCCGGCCGCCTCCAAGTCCCCAGCTCGCGGCTCGGGTCCCCGGCCCAGCAACTCGGCCCTAGGGCGCTGACTGGCCTGTGGGAGTCACGTGCAAGGGCGGGGCGGGGGTGCGCGGCCCCGGCTACACCTCCGCTGGGCGCAGGCTGCGGGACTGTGCGGAAAGCTCCCCCAGCAGGCAAAGTCCAGGCTCTGGGGTCTCCGCGGAAAATGCCCAAGTGCTACCGCCAGGGAGCGGGGAATCACCCGCAACCCAGCCGGAGGTCGATTGGGTTCGCTGTGGTGCCCAGGGTCAGCTTTATTAATGAGTTCCCTTTCTCCCTCCCCGCCCCCCCTTCCTGTGGTCCTCATCCCGCAGCGGCGGGCGAGGGGCGGGGCCAGTAGAGAAGAAGGTGACCTCTTGGGCTCAACTCTCGATCTTGTGTGGGGCACTGGGTCACCCGGGGTGCCCGGCTGGATGCTAGTTCCTGGGCAGGGGTAGTGGGGATCCTCCCAGCCCCGGATTCCTTGGAGGTTCAGGAGACACCCAGACTGCCTCCTAAAATCAGAGCGTAGAGACCGAAGCCTCCCTTTTGCCTTCCCAAAATCCCAGGGAGATGGTCGGGAGCCCAGGCCTCAGCCTCAATTTTATGTATTTATGCAATCTGCATCCCTTCCTGGCGACACTTCCCATCTCCTGTGGCCTCCTCTCTTCTAATCTTTCCCCCTTTTTTCTGCAGCCTGCGGCGGCTCTGCACCAATCCAAGGGACGTGGCAAGGGCTGGGGAGCCAGGCGGTCCAGGGGAGCTTCTTCATGGAGGGGGCTCTTCCAGGGTATGGGGGAGGGGAATGTGTCAGGCCTGAGTTGGGAGTCGGCGTCAGAGCCTGGAGGCCCCAGCGCAGCGGGGCTGCGAGCCGGAGAGTCCCTCAGACAGGTCTAAAGGTTAATAGAGCAATCACAGGGCCCTATTACCGCGTAAAAATAACCCATCGATTACCGCAGCCTTCAGCCCCAGATAACAGCCGGCGGGTGGCTCTCACGCTTTCGGTTAAACTTTTTTTTTTTTTTAAGGCCGCGTTTTTCTCTCCAGCACGGGCTTCTCAAGCCAGATTAGAGGGATGGGGGAAGGGGTCGGGATAACACCCTGCACGAAACCCGTGCTGCTCCGAAAGCAGGCTGGGAACGCCACCCGCTTCCGTAGTAGGAAATCAATCGTGGATTCCCAGCCTGAGTGAAGGCAACCCGGGGGTTAAGGACGAGGCCAGGACGCGGGGCTGGGTAGAAGGAAACCCCCCATGGGATCGTGGCCAACTCCTGGGGATTCTCAGGAAAATCCCAGAGGAAGAAACGAGCGCGGCTGCGCGGGGAATTCTCTTCCCTGAATGAGAGGTGCGGAGGTTCACTGGGGCGCAAACAGAGGAAAGGAAACTGAGGCTGCCTGGGGCGCCGAGCGGCGAAAGGCCTGCGCACAGGCTGGACGCACGGCAGCCGCCCCTCTAGACCCCGGCGGGCCTGCATCCCGGAAGCTGGGGGCGACACACTTAGGGTTTCTTCTCCGACTTCCCCCAATTCCTAGCCTGCTACTTAGCAGAATTGGCGCCACGGACCCGAAACGTGGGAACTTAAGGCTGAAGGGGTGCTGGGGATCTCGGAGGCCGGCGCTGCGGAAAAGCGGTCTCCGGAGCACGCTCCAATCTGCGATCCTTCGGACTCAGCGGAGAAGGAAGCAGACTCCCTGCTCCCGGTTTGAAACCGGCAATCATCTTCGTGGGGGGCGAGCGAGAGAGGCGCGAAGCCAAGGCCTGCGGCAGGGACCTGCAAGGCCTTCCTGGAGAGTGGAAAATCTGGGCTTGGGCGAGCGGGAAGCTATCCCGGCCTTTCTTTTCTCGGAGGAAATCTGTGGCTCCAGCGCTACCCGGGGTCTCAGAGCTGCCTCCCACGCGCGACCCTTAAAGGGCGAAAAGGGCTGAGTCTGGACCGGGCAGTGAATTTTCTTAGCAACAAGCCAGGGGCTTGGGGCTTAGTGTCTGGCGGGGTGCCATCTGACGTCCTCCCCACAGCCAAGGACACAGGCGGCGCTCCTACGCCGGCTTCTCCTAGTAGTGCGGGATGGGCTGCAGCGGGAGGTGCGGTGCCTTGCGGCGATCCTTCACCCTCGCCCTCCCCATCCTCCCTAAACTTCAACCCCCTGCTCTGTACACTGGTGGGGCTATAACAGGCTGTGCTGTGGATGGTGGGGCTATAACAGGCTGTACTGTGGATGGCCGCTGCCACACCGCTGGGTGGGAACGCCTGCTTTTGCTGGGTGCTTGCTTGCAAGGAACCCCAGATTACCTGAGCCGCCGCTTTCTGCCAACCCTGGGCCACCCCTACCACCTCCCACCACCCCCCACCACCCCGGTCCTTTACCCACACCTTCCGCTGGCACTCCTAGTGGACTGAAACCTGGGATCCCCTGACCCAGGAATATTCGCTGTCTCTGGAAGTCGCCTGGGACAGAGAAAATTATGTTTCTTGTGGCTTTTTCCTCTAGGTCCAGCGCCCCAACTTTCTCCCCAAGGCCTCAGCTCAAGGACAAACCAGGGGTGGTTGGCAAACGGCCTGCTTTTTTGGGGGTGTTTCCTTTTCCCTCCTTTCCTCCTTCGCTCTCCGCTCGCCCCCTCCCTCCCTTGGGCCAAGCGGGAGCCTGCAGGTTGGCTGTGCGTTGCCAGGAGCGGGGAGCATTTCAAGGCCTCGCTGGGCCGCCGGCTGGAGGAGGTTTATCGGCGCCTCTCTAGGTTCCCAGGCTTCTCTCTCGCTCCAGAGGCCGCTGGGAAGGGGGGCAGCGGGTGGGTGCTCTGAGGTCCGGCCTCTTGGCTATTTTTAAGGAAGATATGCCTGGGCTGGCCTGGGTAGACAGGCCCAATCCCCATTCAAGTCCTCTCTCGGGTTTCCTTTCCCGTAGTCTAGGAGGAGAATTTAACACTGTGAACGTCTTTGACTTTTTTTTTTTTTTTTTTTTCTAAGAACCTGGGTCTAATGACCCAGTGTCAGGTCGTCAGATTTTAGACAAACAAGAATTACTTAGGTGTACTGTACTCTTTTAAAAAATATCTCCAAGGCAAGAATAAATTGCTTTACCCTGTTCCATTAAGGCTCTTGGGACTTGAGCTGGTCCATACCCCAGAAGAGGCAAATTGTACGCTGCGTATTGTGTACAGAGCAATCTAAACACTGGTTCCCCCCAAAAATAAAAATAAACGGTGGATGCTGGAATTCACAGTGAAGCCACTGATGGTTTTCCAGCGCCGAGTTTCTGCGAGTTTTTGGTGGGACCTGTCCAAGTTTGTTTTAAACCAAGTGCCACGCCTGGGTCCATGATCTTGGCCGCTACACCCGGAACAAAAGCAACATCTGAAAAAATCTGGCGCCACCAAGGTCGCCAGAGTCTTATAATGGAAAACAAGAAACCCCAGAGAGAATCAAACCTCATTCTATGGAACGAATTCCTCCAAGATATGGACGCGCCTCTGCGGCCCTGCCGCGAGGGATCCGGACAGACATTCAAGGTGACCCGCGCAGAACGAATGCCGAGTCCTGCAACACGGCCCTTGGATTCCCCCGCTGGGCCTGGGCGCCGGTCTGCGATACTCCTTCCCTGCGCGGCACTCAGTCCTCACCCGCACGGGCAGCCTGCCCTGCACGAGCCTCCGCGGGCGCAGCGCCGAGAACCAGGGTGCAGAGCAGGATGCGTCCCTGCTGAAGGAAAAATGGAGAACGAATTCAGCTGCAAGGCCACGTCGACCTACCTTCCTTCACTTGCTATGGTCCGTGCCTCGGACACTCTTTCTTGGGGATACGGAGTGGACGTAGAGCCTCCGCCCTGTTCGCCCGGAACCGTGCTCTGCAGCCGGTTACAGACGAGAGGAGAGGAAGGAGCAATCCTTGTTAATGGTCTTGCTTTCGAAATTACTACTCTGGGTTGCAAAGCGAATACATCTTCTCCCTCGTAGACCTCCTCAAATGCTTCCTGGTGCTTCCAGCCCTGAGGACCAGAGTTTCTGGCACACCCTCTCATATTTTATAGTCACTTCCAGATTACAGAACACTTTCAAATCTCATTTTTCTCTAGGGAACAACAATATCATTAGCAAGAGGAAGGGAAAGACGGTGTTATCGCCCTCACCTTAGAAACCAGCACATGGAGGCTCAGAGAGGTTAAGGTACTTGTCTGAGGTGGCAAAGCAAGGGCGAAACTGCAGGTCTAGAACCTGGATTCCTGAATCTTAGTTCTTTTTTTTCCATTCTATTTAATATCGACTTTCTACCATGAAAACGTATTTTTAAAAACTGTCTTTTAAAAATTGTTCTGAGTTTCCTTTAATGAGCATGTTTAACATTTAAAAAATAAAATCAATGTTTAAAAAAGTTTATATCTCATAATCTGAGAGCCCACAGGAAGAGGGAAAAAAGTGGAAAGGAATCTCTGAACATTTTTGCTGAGTTCAGGACGGACACCATAGCCTTTTTGAATAGGGAGGGGCTCTTCAGGTCCAGCGTAGCTGAGGCTAGGACTGAAGCCTGGTCCAGTGCCTGCAAGTCCAGGCAGGGGCCCCAGCAGGTTGAGGAGCGCCAGCGCTGGAGGCGCAGTGGCCACGCAGGCGCCGCCATGTATGTTTCTTTTCCTGCTGCCAACCTGGCTCCCTCTCTCCCTCCCCATCCAAGGACCTGGAGACAATGGCAGCCTGAAAGAGCTGCTAACACCTACTGCCCAGGCCACCCACCACCCAGAACATAGGGAGTCTGGTTCCCAGACTGGAGGTTCTTTGAGTCTGTAAGGGGCCCTTTCTTCGGGGATTGCCTCCTCTGAGATCTCTCTTGGTGACACAGGCCCCAATTCTTTCACATATGGGGCTTTGCTACTCCCCAGTTAGAGACTTTTGAAGTCACAGTGTTGTTTGTGCTGAGCCCAGAGCAAGACCAGGGTTAACATCCCTGGACTAGTAAAATGATCTTGTGCTTTATTCACTTGTCCATGCCCCCTGAAGTTATAAAGTAATTTATATGGGGTTGGCTGTCCACACACATGCACCGATCACCTCCCTTCTACACCCCCAAAAGGTATGCTCTGTGAATGCAGTGATCAAAATCCTGGTCTGCCCAAAGCAAGGATTACAGTAGGTGCTCAATAAGTGTTGGGTGAATGATTAAAATTTTAAAAAGGGCTGTTAATAACATCCATCAAAGTTGCTCGGAGATGGAGAATGAAACATTCCCCTCAAGGGACCTGGTGCACTGGTGGGCAGGACTGCCATTTCTCAGAGTAGAATACTGGCCAGAAGTGGAGGGAGGGGCCCAGCCTGGGTGGCACAAATCTCCCTGGTGGCTTCATCTGCCTGTGGAGCTGCTATCGCCTACAAACCACCAGCTCAAATCTAGGCTGCTCCTAAGGACACCCCGGGGTCCCCAGGTCCTGGGGACTGCAGGAAGAAGGGACTTCCCTGTGCACAGCCAGGATTTGGGAAGTTGAGCTGGGAACCTGGCCAGATGCTTAGGCTGTTAGACTGGCGAGGGAGTCCCCGGGCCTCCGGGGATGAAGGCTGACCAGAAGCCAGGGGCACCCTTTCTGAGGCATAGGGAGCCCAACCCATAAATCCTGGAAGGATGGAGAGACCAAGTCAGCCGGATAGAGGAAAAAATGCAGGGTGAGGAGTGGAGGAGGAGAAACAAGAGAAGGGAGAGAAAAGCGAGAGAGACAGAGGAGGACAGGCAGAGACCAGGGCAGAGAGAAATGACTGGCCAGCAGCAGAGAGGGAGAGATGGGGATTCATTCACTCATGCATTCACTCACTCACCCACTCATTCATTTCCCATTGACTGAGCACCTTCTCTGTGCCAGGAATACTACAGGCATGAGTACTCAGCATGGAACAAAGTAGAGAAGAATTCTATCCTAAGCAGCTTACATGCTGTAAGAGAAAAACGGACAATAAGTAAGTCAAATACAGTGTTGAATGATGAAATATTATGGAAAAACCAAAGCAGGCAATGGACGGGCAGAGAGAGCAGAGACAGAGAAAGGAGAGAGACCACAGACCCTGGGAAGTTAAGGCGAGCTGGGAGTCAAGAGACTTGGCGACGCAGAGAGAGGCCAGGACCTCCTGGGAGAGGACGGACGCCAGAAAGCGGCCGGGCCTGGGTGGGAGGAGAGAGAACCCGACCGGGACGAGGTCAACCCAGAGTCCAGGGCTCCTCTTGCCCAGCTCCCGGGGAGGACAGTGGTTATGGTAGGGACACCCGCGGCTGGAGCGCCGCCAGGCCCAAGACCTCAACGCGCACATCAGGGGACTGGTGGGTCCCCCAGAGATCTGGCATTCCCTGAGCCAGCTCGGCCCGTTTCCGCAAAGGCCGCTCCCTCCTCCGCCCCGTGGTGGCCGGAACGCCCCACCGGCCCGGCACCCTTGCCCTCGCCCCGAGGTGACCCGGAGTTGGAGAAGACGCCCAGGCAGGCGCCGCGACCTGGCGCGGCGAGCAGAGACAGGAAAGTGTCAAGGAAGCGCGAAGCCCAAGTGCGAAAACAGCCTCTGGTCCGCAGGCGCGAAGACCCGGGGTCCTCTGAAAGGGGGGCTGTGCTGGGGCCGGAGGCCCGGCCGTCCGGCCATCCTCGGCGCAGGCGAGGACCCCTTCAGACAGACCAGGCTTCCCTGGCGGTGGAGGGGAAAGTGGCCTCCACGACCACCTCTCCCTCCCCAACTGCAGCAGGTGCCCACCGAGAGCGCTGCTCCCCTCCGAACACCGCTTCCCCAGCTGGGAGGTTCCTATTGTTAGAAATCATCGGTTTCTTGTAACAACAGTCTCAAGAAAGGGGAGGCACGGAGCTTGGAATAGCTAGATAGTCCTTGTTCTGTCAAAGGGTGTTCACTGTGTTCTGAACGGAATGGATTTTAAAGAAGAACCTCCCACTCCATTTCTTTGCGGCTGGTTTCCACTCATCCCCCTCGTTAGTCCTGTGCGTGTGTTTGACAGAAGGACAGGGGCTCTCCGGTTAGAGTGGGACTTCTGGTGCTGCCCCCTGTTCTGCAGCAGAGGTGCTAATGAACAGCAAGTTGCCAAAGGGCAAGGAAGTGAAGAGAGAAAATCCAAGGTGCAAAGGGGCGCAGTGAAATGGAGCCCTCCGCACCTAGGTGGAGGGCACTGGCAGGATGTCACTCAGGAAGGTGCAGAGCTATCCCGACCTCATCGCCTCCTCCCTCCCCTATTTCACACCATCTCCCCGGGGGGCCTCCGCCAGTGAGGGGCAAAGTCCACCCCTCCCCCAGGAAGTCTCTGCAGATGCCCAGTTCCAGGGGCCCACACTCTCCCTGAGCAGATGGGTAGGCTCAGGGGCTGGTGGGCTCAGAACAGGTAGAGTAAATGAAAGACTTACTTGCCACCTCAGTTTCTCAATCACCCTGTGAGCACTCTGTCTTTGCTGCACCTCTGAAGCTCTGAATTCATATCTTTCTTTCCACACGTCCAATGCAGATGCACACACCCCTCCATACACCACTTTTTGTCAGGGATTGTGACGTCCTCACCCCAGTCTTTGAACATGCCCCAGCAGATATACTATTTGCAATGAGCTTCAGGACAAGAAGAGCTAAATATAAGTTGTGTTTTAAACTTTAAACTCTAAAGTAGTATTGTTGTTATTTTCAAAACCTACAGCTTTATTCATAATTGCCCCAAACGGGAAACCACTCAAATGATCCTTAAGCAGGGGAATAGGTAAACTGAGGTACATCCATACAATGGAATACTACTCAGTAACAAACAGGAATGAACAACAAACACCCCAGCAACACTAATGAATCTCGAATGCATTCAGCTAAGTAAAAGAATATTCAAAAGATGATAGACAAAATCCATTTTCTATGACATTCTGAAGAAGACAGAACAATAGGGGCTGAAAACAGATCAGAGGTTGCCAGGGGCTGAGGAGGGGGAAGAGTTGACTGTAGAGGGGGAGGAAGAAATTTGGAGGGGCGCTGGGACTATTCTCATATCTTGTGATGGTGGTCACACAATTTGTGTGTATGTCAAGACTCTGAAAACTGTACACTAAAAGGAGTGAATTTACTGTATATAAGTTGCACTTCAATAAATCTGGCTTTGAAAAAAGCAGAAGGAAAAAGAGCACAGGTGGAGCAGGATAAGACTCTTCAGCTCCCATTCTCTCCAGCCCCATCCTGTCTTTAGTGCGAGTCCACATCCCTGGTACACGTTTGACTCCCATCTAAAATATGTTAGAAAAGTGATTTCTATACAAAAGAAAGCCTTGCATTTCTTTTTAAAGGATCATTTTTCAAGGTTGGTCCTCCCTATTGCTCATCCTCAGTCCACAGGAATGGCCACAGTGGTCCATCCTGGGTACAGCTCCAGTGCCTATCTTGAGCATGTATGGCACAAACATACGAGCGCCGGTGCACTCATGTTTTTGGGCAGGCTGCAGGAAGGGTGACGTCAGAGTGAGGGTTATCCTCCTCTCACATCCTGAAGGTCTTGAAGCCAAACAGCAGAAGCTCAGGGATTGCTAAGTCCCTTTCAACAACCTGATGGCTGCCTGGGAGAGGGTGATGGGAAGCGGAGAGAACCAGTCAGTCCTTGGAAACTGAGTTTGGTCCAGGTGTTCCCCTGAGGCAAGGGTAAGCCAAGGACTGGCCTTGAAAGAGAAACGCTTTGGCCCCTTGAGCGTAGGACTGTATTTCTGAATGGACTAAGGGAAAAGCAGTCAGTGAAACATGGCCTTTTCTGTACAAGATGATATCGTTCTGCAGAACCCATTACTCTGGCTCTTATTTATTTTATTTATTTTTTTTTTGAGATGGAGTTTCACTCTTGGTGCCCAGGCTGGAGTGCAAAGGCGCGATCTTGGCTCACCGCAACCTCTGCCTCCCGGGTTCAAGCCATTCTCCTGCCTCAGCCTCCCAAGTTGCTGGGATTACAGGCATGTGCCACCATGCCCGGCTAATTTTTGTATTTTTAATAGAGACGGGGTTTCTCCATGTTGGTCAGGCTGGTCTCGAACTCCCAGCCTCAGGTGATCCACCCCTCTCGGCCTCCCAAAGTGCTGGGATTAAAGGAGTGAGCCACCGCGCCCCCAGCCTCTGGCTGTCATTCTTAAGTCAATTTCCATTACGCTCAGTTGCAGGTCACGATGTTCACATGGATGGGCTACCATCAGGGCGCAAGGTAGCAGGATGAAAGTGCTCTGTGCCAGATAAAACCACACTCTGGACTTGTATATACAGCAATTATAGTCTAGTGGACATCACACAAGAGCCCAAAGCCACTGACTGCCTGGGCCACAGGATGTCTTTGCTACCCTTGCTCTTCAATAAAAGTGAGGTGTGTGTGTGAGTGAGAGAGAGACAGAGAGAGAGAGAGGAGAGAGATTGTTTCTACCTCTTCCCAGAGTTCTTGATAATATGATTGTTTCTAACTCCAGTCATACCTCTGTGATCATGGAAGAAAAATGGATGTTAAGACTGGCAGACACCCACTGGTCACTGATTTTAATTTCGTCATTTGAATTTGAATTTAAAATCCAACACCACCAACACTAAGAAAACAACACCATGAACAAAAACAAAACAATCCCCCACAAAATATTGTGTTTCCTCTTAGGAACAAAGCAGACAGTTTGGCTTCCATGATCTTCTCTGTCCCTCACCCTGGGAGAGCTTGCTAATTAAGCAGCAGAGGAACCAAAAGGTGGCAAGGGAAAGAAGTGATGAGGATGCAGTCCACGGCTCGGAGAGCTGGTGGCAGCGCAATGTTCTGGGGGAAGAAAAGAAAGGATCCCTGAGGGCCACGCCAGCTCTGACCTTACAGAGGAAGGCCTTGAGTGAAACAGGCAACGGTTCAATGGGGCAATGCTGGGAGCCTCAGTCTCCCTCTTATGAAATGAGATTGGACACCTGATCTGTGAGTTCTTTCAGCCTACAAGCCCTCTGATCCAGAATTATTCGAATTCCCTCATAAGAGCTACAATTCACAAAGCAAACATTTATTGAATGTTTACTATGTGCCAGGCATCATGCAAACTTGTAGATACAAGGATGAACACAAGTTTCTACCCGCAAACCGGAGAACAAAAGCGTCCTGCAGACAGGAGCAGGAGTGAGCGCTGGCAGACACGAGCAGGAAGGGGGACCCACGGCACCTCCTTGGGGAAAAGGGCAGGTGGGAGACGACCTAAATGAATTCAAGGAACACATTGCTTTTAATGTAGAGGTGTTCCCCCCTCTCTTTTACCTAGTACTCTTTCTGGACCTCAACACACACACACATGCACACACATGCACACAGACGCACACACAGGCTGTGGCCTGAGTTGGGGGACAGAATGCCTGCGGACTCTGTGCTGTTCATGCACTGACACCCACACCCATAACCTATGACTTGGCCCTTTTCACACATTCGATGCCAAACACTCATATCGATCCTGGACCTGCGGAGTGCCCATTTGGAGGGCACAAGGGCTGGGAGTGGGGGTAGGGCAAGAGATGCAGGCCCCAGTATAGTTTCCATCACCTCCTCCTGGTGTGGCCTCAGGCACGCCAGCCGCCCACTCTGGCCCTCGGTCTCCTCATCTGTGAAATGCACCGGTTGTGCTGAATCAATCCTCTGTCTCTCTCTCTCTCTCTCTCTCTCTCTCTCTCTGTGTGTGTGTGTGTGTGTGTGTGTGTGTGTGTGTGTGTGTTTGTGCTGAATCAATCCTCTTTTTTTCTCTCTCTCTCTCTCTCTTCTTTCTCCCTTTCTCTCTTTCTCCACAGGGTCTCACTCTGTCACCAGGCTGGACTGCAGTGGTGCGATCTCAGCTCACTGCAGCCTCTACCTCCCCAGGCTCACATCTTCCCACCTCAGCCTCCCCAGCAGGACCACAGGCGCGCGCCACGACGCCTGGCTAATTTTATTTTTTCGTAGAGATGGAGTTTCGCCATGGTGCCCAGGCTGGTCTCTATCTGCTGGGCTCAAGCGATCCTGCCGCCTCTGCCTCACTAAGTGCTGGGATTACAAATATGCGCCACCGCGCCCAGCTTGCCGAATCATTTCTAAGCTTCCTTACAGCTCTTTAGGAACAAATGAACACCACATCGTTAACAGACACTGGGATTAAGAAGTGGAATAAAGCCATGTATTTGTTGCCGGGTAGAAAAACGCTGCCGGCCCACTCCACGCAGAGGCCCCGCAGGCGCTGGCAGAAGCCTCGGTGCGCGGCCGGGGGTGCAGCCCGGGTGATGGATGGCCGCGGGGCCGGCGCCTGGCAGGCCTTATTGATGAGGTGCGCGCTGACGGCCGCCGCGGAACCCCAGGCGGCTGGAGGCGAGCGCGGGGCGGCGGGCGGCGCAAACTCGGCGGCGCTCGGGGTCAGCCCCCGGCCGGCCGCCCCCGCCTCTGCCCGGCCTGGCGCCCGCTGCGCCGGCCCCGCTTCCTCCCCTCGGCAGCCTCGCTTCCCGCCCCCCGTCCGTCCGCGCCCTCGCGTGGGTCCCGGCGCCTGCTCTCCCTCCCAGCCTCCCGACGGAGCAGCCCCGCACCCCTCACCCCCGCACCCCCGCACGCACCCGCGGTGGAGGTCGGCTGAGGCGCAGAGGCCGCGGGTCCCCAGAAGCCGGTTCCCGCCCCAGCGCGGGGGCCACGCCCTCCCAGGCGGAGCCGCCGCGGCCCGAAGGATCAGATTCAATCTAGATCCGCATGAGCATAGTTTCACGGGAATTACTCACGCTGTGCACGGGAGGAGAAAATTCAGGACACCGGTCAATATTCTATTAGGGTTCATTCGAATTATATAGTGATAGATAAGATAGGTAGAGAAATCAACGTAAATACACCTGCGTATAAAGACGGCGAGGTCTTGCGTGAAATTTTTTGTACGTTTCTAATGTTCTCATGGAGCAAGTGTTCTTTTATAACAGCACACACTGTCATTGCTGTGCTTGAAAAGGTGTGATGGAGCTTAGTTCATTCTCCACCCCTGCGCTCAGTTTCCCCCAGTTCCACCTTCCTCCCTCTGGTTGTTGCCTCGTTTTTCTTCTCTTGCCTTTGGGGAAGTAGGAGTGAGGCTGCTGGGCTGTTACCTGAGGCCATTAGGCTGGAGAACAGGTGGCCCGAGCTCCTGCCTGCCTCACCTGTCACCTTCCCTTTCTACGGAAAGCACCCACGGCCACCTCTGTTGGTGACACTAAGGTGAGGATCATGAACAGATCCCCTGCGAAGCAGTCTCCCTGAATGAGAATTAAAGGAGAAAGTCAACATTGTAAGCAACATGGAGCATTTATGGTCTGAAGTGGTTTTTGATTTTTTTTTTTTCTTCCCTCTTTGAGTTGAGAGCTAGCCCTGGACTGGGAAAGGTCCTAAATTCTTCCTTAGATGTGCCTTAAGTACTGGGAAACAGGTAGTCTTTTGTTTGGGGCGCCATAGAAAGAGGAGGGAGGGACCCCAGGTTGCTGTGGCCTGAGTGTCAGTGTAGAGCGAAGCTTAGGCCTCGAGGATCTGGATCTAGTTGAGGCTGGAGGGAGCTCCTTGGTCTGGGAGTCAGGATTCCCGGATTCTAATCCCACGACTGCCACCAGAGGACTGCCATGCCCACAGGCGAGTCACTTAACTTTCTAAGCCTTAGTTTTCTGTCCATAAAATGAAGAGACTACTAAACTGTCTCCCAGGTTCCTTCCTATCCCAACATTTTGTGACTTTAAGCTCTCGAAATCCAGCCTGGACAACATGGAGAAACCTCATCTTTAATAAGGAATAGAAAAACATAGCGGGTTGTGGTGGCACGTGCCTGTAGTCCCAGTTACCAGGAGGACTGAGGTGGGAAGATCATTTGAACCTGGGAGGTTGAGGCTGCAGTGAGCAGTGATGGCACCACTGCACGCCAGCCTGGGCAACAGAGTGAGGCCTTATCTCTTAGGGTGGGAACACCAGGATCCTAAGTCTGAACTCAATCTTAGCCATTCATAATGAATATGTTCAGTGAGGAACTAAAAATGGGAGGCCCATCTGAATATGCAAAATAAAAGGCTTGGATTGCAGATGAAAACTGGGATCCATTTACTAGGCAAACATTTACTGAGTAACACTGGACATTGCTATATGCCAGGCACAGCGCCAAGTATGCTGCGTGGATTGATTATCCACACAATCATTTATCCACACAGTCACTCTATTTCCTCCATTTTATAGATGAAGAAACCAAGGCACAAACTATTAAGTAACTTGCCCCGCTTATAAGGTGGTGGAGCCAAGACTTAAATTCAAGTAGGTTGACTGCAGAACTCAAAAACTGCTCCTCTGGGCAAGGCATTGGTATTGTGCAGGGTATCTTCTTACATAACCTTTTTTGTTTGAAGAGAGACAGACAGGGTGTTTCCCTTTCACCCAGGTTGGAGTGCAGTAGTGCAATCATAGTTCACTAGAGCCTCCAATTCCTGGGCTCAAGCGATCCTCCCACCTCGGCCTCCGGAGTAGCGAGGAGTACAGGTGCGCACCACCAGATCTGGCTATTTTGTTTGTTTGTTTGTAAAGACGGGGTCTCACTATGTTGACCAGGCTGTTCTGGAATTCCTGGCTGGAGTGACCCTCTCACTGCCCTCTTGCTTAACCTCCAGAAGTGCTGGGATTACAGCCCTGAGCCAGAGCCACCACACCAGGCCAGCTTTTTTTTGTTTTTTTAATTTCCATCCTTATTCCAGAATCAGTCTCTTTCCCCTTCTGTTTCTACAGCCTTTATCACACTGTATTTTAGTTTAACCTGTCTATACATCTGCCTCTCTATATACCTCTCTCTCCAAAATTTTAGTCTCCTTGAAGGCAGAAATCTTATATTTGACATCTTTGTATTTTCCAGTTTCTAACATATAGTAGACATTTTTTAAAAAAGTTTGCTGAATTGAATTTTAAAAAGTGGAGTTTCCACTTTGTCCTATTACAGTGTAAATCCCCATCCTTGATGACTGAAGATGTGGTATCAGGGCTGTGGCTGAGACACGGGCGCCATGGTCTCTTCCACTGTGTGCAAACACAGAGGCTCATGTGCGGAAGATGCCACGTGGCACCTCTTCACACCTTCATCCTCCATTGGTGGGTGATTATGGCACCAGGTACCTTTGGCCCGTTTATCAGTCCTGAGACAGCCTCTCTCTGACACTGATGTGGAGCCCTGGTATTGCAAGGGACTTCAAGGATTCTGGTCCAATCCACTCATTTTGCAGAAGAGGCAAGTAGTATCCAGACAGGGCTATAGAGCCACACACCTATTTACCAGCACAGCCAGGACAAGGTTCCCTGGCACCCTGGTTATATTCTGTTATCCATTTCAACATGCTACTATAGGAATTGATACCTCCCCTCTATACATTGACTCCTAAGGCCAAACTTCCCTCGCCCTGATGTAATCAGTAGGGTGAGAGGATCAGAGATAAGGCAGCCCTGGGCTCTCGGGCAGAGCCTAGAAGTCTGGCAGCCTGGTTAGAGCTGCTGCCCACACCCCTTGCAGGGCACTGGAAACAGTGACCCTGGCCCAGCCAAGGGTGGGGGTGGGTGAGGGCTTGAGGATGAGGTAAAGGGAGGTCATAGACATTCAAAACCGCAGTCATTCCATGCACTACTTAGAGTGGGGATAAACCAAGCCAAAATGGGCACCAGGCACATATTGCACCTCTAGGCTGAATATCTTCCTAATGGTCTTGTGGACTCAGCCTTCAAAATAAACAAAAGAAGGTAGCCAAGTGTGTGTGGGGCATAATGGGTGGGTCCTTGTTCTGATTCTCATTGTTTATTGGGGGTGATCCAATGTCCTGGATGCCTGAAACAGGTCAGGTGCATGCTGCTGTTCTGGGTAATCATCAGTGATATACACATTCACTTATAATTTTGCATAAATTATGTGGTCACTCTATGTATAAGTCATTTGAATTTGCTGAGCCTCAGTTTCCCAATATCCCAAGTAAAGGATTTTGAGTGAATGTCTTCCCATTTCTTTTTACACTGGAAAATGCTTCAGTTTCACAGATGCAGGGCCCAGAAATAAGTGGTTACTGGCCTGAAGAAACAGGCCCCATCCCTGGGGAGGGACAGTGAATTGACCCATGGGAGGTTCCAGAAGTCGTCTTGCAGCTTCTTGTCTGGGCAGCTAAGAGCAAAGTCGCTTATTGGATTTGCCGCTGCTTTGTTATTTATATTGAACTTTGGGTCTCAGGTCCACCACTGGAAGACTGGGAGTGATAAAAATATAAGGTAAACCGACCTTTCTGAATAACACATGAGAATTCATTAGTGCTCACCTCCCAAATAAATCATCTGTTGATTTTATTCATTTTCTGCAGACATTACAAATATTATAACTGCTATTGCCCCCATTGTTCCCTCACCCATCTCTCCACCAGTTTGTGCTTCAGGGGATTTGGGGATTAGGTTCTTAATTGGGGCCATCAATTCTTTGTCTTATTTTCTGCCTATGAATTTTCCTAACACTATTCTCATGAGAAAGATATGTCACTGGGGAGAAGGTTGAGGCAAGGCCACCTCCTCAATGTGTTCCTAGTTGTGGCTCCCCTAGTCACACCAGGCAATCTTTCCATTCCCTCCTGTCCCCATGCACACACTCCCCTGACACCCACTGACTCTGGGCATCACATAACGTCCCCACACAAAGATTTATAGGGTTGAGATTCAAGTGTGTGTGTGTGTGTGTGTGTGTGTGCATGCGCGCACGCGCATGCATGCATGTGTGCTTTATTTTGTCACCTCAGTAGGTTTAAAAAGTTCTTGATGGCTGGAATATCCTTTAGTAATTCTATAATCCCCTACAGTGGTCTGCACAGAGTAGGTACACAATACATACTCAAAAGAATGAATTAATGATTGAATATGTCTGAAGGTCAAATATAGAGCTCTGTATAAGAAATGTGCCTATTTCTGAAATGCAAAAAATGTTCCCAAGTATTATTCTTTTTCATATTTCAGGAGACCTCAGGCATAGACGCATTATAAATGTATAGCTTTGAAAATCAATTTGTTTTTCACTGTTTTGATCTCACGTGTGTGGGGGGCTCTTGAACTGCTATTTGCTTCACTTTATAACTTGCACCTTGGAAAGGCTGGATGATAAATGAGAGATGAATAATTCCTTATTGCTACTTATCTGCTGAATCTATAAACTGGTGTCAGCATTTACTCAGTTGGGTTTAAGCTGTGCCTGGTATACTTATTAACCTGCTTAAAATAAGCCATAAAAATGGGCTTGGTAGAAGGTACTTTTAACTAATTTTTAAAAATGACATTGGTCATTTTCCATGAACTCATGGAGTGACCTTTGGCAAATCACTCAACCTCATTGGGCAACACCTGCCAAATGAAACGGGGGCAGGGCTTGATCAGTTCTAGGAGCCTTGTAGCTGTGTAATTTTTTGATTTTTGGATGAGTAAGGGATCCCAATAAAACCTGTCAGAGCCATTACATATCAGCTCATGTAGACAATCTCCTGTATTCTTGGCTTTTCTCTGGAGGGTGAGGGAGGCAGCACTTGGTAGTTAGAGCAAGGCATTTTGAGTTCAATTCTGTTACTTATTAGTACTGTGACCTTTGGCTTTACAACATCTCTGAATCTCAGTTTTCTCATCTATAAAAAGGGGGAAATGGTCTAATAATACACCAGAGAGTTGCTGTGAGGTTCAAATGTGATGTATGTGATACCACTTTGATAAACCACAACAATTATTCATTGCCCCCAACTCACAGATGAGGGCACAGAGCTCTGTTTGGTTCAGCAGTTTGAAGCAGGGCCAAGAGGAGGATTGCTTGACCTCCCGGATTCTATTTTGATTACAGGTGGAGATTATTACAAAACTGTACAAAGATGGAGCACCTTGGATACTTCTCTGGATAATTCTCTGCGGGGGGAGGGTGGTCTATGGATGCCTAAAAAAAACTGTGCCTGAGGAGCCATTTCTGGGGATGCTAAATGGTACAGCGATAAGAAAAGCAGTCAACAACATACTGACCCACCCATCCCAGAATGCCTAGCTAGCAGAGAATGAAGCGTTTTTCAAAGGCAAGGGAAATCTCTTCCCTCCCAGCTGTGTCCTCCTCACTTCTCACATCTCTTGCTTTGGAAGGCATCCTCTGCACATCAAGAACACAGATGTCTGCTCAGGCTTTGGAGTTAATCCCCTTCCTAGAAAAGGGGCAGATTAAACAACTGTGGTTGAGGATTTTTTTTTTTTTTTTGAAACGGATTCTCACTCTGTCACCCAGGCCGGAGTGCAATGGCGCAATCTCGCTTCACTGCAACCTCCGCCTCCCGGGTTCAAGTGGTTTTCCTGCCTCAGCCTCCTGAGTAGCTGGGATTACAGGCGCGCCCCACCATGCCCAGGTAATTTTTGTATTTTTAGTAGAAACGGGGTTTCATCATGTTGGTCAGGCTGGTCTCGAACTCCTGACCTCGTGATCTGACCGCCTCGGCCTCCCAAAGTGCTGGGATTAGAGGCATGAGCTACTGCGCCCAGCCTGAGGATTTTGTTTGTAGAGAATTAAGTCAACAAGGGTGTCTGGAACTCACCCCTGCAAGAATCATCCTTCAGGAAAGTTCCTACCACTATGCCTGTGCAGTGTAGGGGGCTGGAAAATTACATGAAGATGGCTATGGTGCCTGTCTCGGCCTTGCTTGCCTTGTAGATGAAGAAGGGAAGAGATGAGCTTAGGAGGAGCTGCCTCCAGTCTTCAGAAAATTCTGTGATTTGCAAAAATTCTATTCACACTCCATTATCAACAAACACACCCACCCAACCAACGAAGGCCAACCTCAAAAATTTTTTTTAAATGTAGGACTTAGAGAAAGAAAATACCATTATTAAATGGTATTTTAAGTTTATATTTCATGCTATATTCAGAATGCAATTTATTTGCTATTTATTTGCTAATTAATAAAAGTGAAATTGGTCTTTATCTCGATGTTACTTTTATCTTCTGTTGACTGGGATGTGCTACATTAAGATTAAAAAAAAAAAAACAGACCCAGTACAAGATCTTTTGAAGGTCTCCTAAGTTTATGGTGGGATCTCACTTCTACTTGCTTTTGTGACCACTCTCCCCCAGCTCCATCCCACACCCTTCTTGTAAAGCAGGAGGAAGGCATCTGCTACTTGTTTCTCTACAAGTGCAAACTATTTCAGTTTCAAAACCGGAACCTGACATTTATTAAGAGCTGTCTTGTGATTCATTCAGTCTGCAGTCCTGTCCTCCGCTTTGGCTCTCTTGCCTTCAAACGGCCTTCCTTTCTGAACACCTGGCTTCTTGGCCACCAACAAAGCTCTGACTTTCCTCCCCACCAAGTCTCCTCCTTTTCTCCCTCCCTGAGGTCTGAATAATCAGCTTCTATTTGCAGCATCCCCCATCACTACCCCACACCTGGCCTCACATCCCACCACATCCTCCTGCCAGAAAAGGGAGTCGTGGAAGAGGGAAAAGTTACAAGAACTTAGATGATTGTTTTCAATTTCAGAAACACTCAAGGTTGCAAGTGAAATTCTGAGAAAATTTGGACCTGAAAACATTTTCTAAATGGGGAGGGGAATCTCTTCCTTGTGGAAAAATCACTCCTACCAACTGTGAACATCTCTAGCCTGGAATCAGGAGTCCAGGGCTGTTCTTGGAGTTTTGAGTCCATTGAGTTTTGGGGACCCTAAAACTGAATTCTCTGGAACAAATGATTTGCTACGAAAGCGCACCAGTCATAAACATCGTAGGAAGCCTGAAGAAGGCTGACATGTCTTGGATCTGGCCAATCTTCCTCACCTCTCTCAAAATATTTGTTTATTCTGCTTTCAAATAAACACGAGTTTGTCATAGTCCATTTGGAAATACAGAAAAGTATAACGGGGACAACCAAATCCATCCTTAGCCACATTAGGCAGAAAGAATTGGAAACATTAGTCTTCTCTCTTCTCTTTCTCGACTGTGGTAGAAGTGTTTCACAATCTACTTTTTCTTTCTTAAGAATCGAGACTTCCCATGTCATTGAATATCTTAAGAAAACATAATTTAATGATCGTGTAATGGATTTAGTATAGTTCATGTAAGTAAACTCTTATTGTTTAGAGTTTAGGTTATTTTCTGTTTTTCACCTCAATTCATAATGTTTGGTGCGTCCTTGTCAAATTATAAACTTTGCTAAGTAAAGCATCTTGTGAATCTCTGATTATTTCCTGAGGGTAAATTTCTATTACCAGAAAAAGTGGGTCAAAGAATATGACCACTTTTTGGGTTTTGAATATCTATTGCCAAATTGCCTTTCGGAAAGGTTAACTCACACAATTTCCACAACCACCAGCAGCAGTCAATTTTGGCTAAGCTAAATAAAAAACATATTTATCAGTGTGTCAGATAAATTTCTACCTCTCAGTAGATGTATTTAATTTCTGAAGAGTTTTGAAGTAATAGGTTAAGAAACAAAACACACAAAGCCAAACAAAAACAAGGAGAACATTAGCATCCAGCTGAACACATGATTATGTCAGGGATTAGGGCAGTCTTTCCGTCCTCTAAGGTTTATAAAGATTTTAAAATATAAGAAACTGAAACACAGAAGCGTTAAGTAATTTGACCAAGAAAACACAGCCAGTGAGTGGAGGAGATGGAATTCAAATCACAACATTCTAATACTGGAGTCTAAACTCTTACACTGACCTAGGGACGATGTACATTTAGGATCTAAACAAATCTAAAAGGTTTCCAGAACATTCTTTGTAATGAGTTTATGGTTCAGAAATTGGCTTTTGTGAACACAGACTATAAGGAGAAATTTTATCTTTGAAAAAGATGTCATTTTCAACTTTTGAGAAGCACATTCCTGCACCTTATTTTTAGACTATGCTAGAAATAGAAGTGAAATAACTTACTCAAGGTCACCCAGCTTGTAGGTGTTTGTGTGGGAACTAGAATCTAGAATCTAGGCTCTGGCAATTCTTTGGCTACTCCCTGTAGTGTTTTCTCTCACCTGGCAGCAAATATCCACCATAACATCAGAGGAAGGTTGGCTTGACTAAGGCCCACAGCGTCTTCAGGTTTCAGGGGCTTTAGTTTCTAGCAGCTCAGGGATCTCCATCACCAGGGCAAGGCTGAAGGGAGCCATGGCACAGCCCAGGTCGTGGCCAGCCAGTTATGGCTGAGGACATGGGTTGCCCTGGGCAGGGGAACTCTTACTTTTGGGGCATAAACCCGGAGACTTGGGAGTCACAGTAGCATTAAGGGCTCAGCAGTCCAAGTTTAGGTGTGGGCAGGCTAAGACCATTTTCTCCCAGGGAAATTCTTTCCCGTTCACAGAGCCAGTTTCAAATGGGAAGCCCACCCGGGAGCTGTAGTTTCCTGAGCTGGCAGAGAGTACAGGTAGGGGCCTGGCCCAGGCATTGTGGGGAGGGATTCCTGCACTGAATGGAAGGCTGGCTAGATAACCTCTGGGGCCCTTCCAACGCCAAACATCTCCGATTTGTGTGTCTTGGGGCAAACAAGTGAGCAGTTGCGGGACTGAAATAGTTGATTTAGGGTCCCGCCCCAGTCTCCGGCTTTAGTCCTCATCTTGGGCAAATAATTTAACCTGTCAGTACAAGGCATAACGCCCAGCGCAGAGGAAAGCTTGGTAAATGTTTGCCGAATGAATGAATGAAAGAATGGGGGGATGGATTTAGTCTACCTAGTCTCAAGGAATACGGTGAAAGTTGGAATCGAACCGCGCCCCTTGATGGGTGAGTTTGAATGAGACAATGTAAAGCTCATTGAACTTCTTAAAAGAAAAAAAACGATACCTCCAACCCAAAAGGATTCTGCTACTTCCTAACAGTCACAATGGGTAGAATTACTATTTACCGGCATCAGCAAGCATAATACGCAGTGGTGAGTTTTGATTTAGCACAAAACTCTCTGATTAATCCCCCTGCCACCTGTGGGGCAGCTCTGCGCCTCCCAGGGCCAGGTGGAGCACGCCAGCCCCGTCCCTCCGTCCTCCCCCGCTCCGGATAAATGCTGAGGTCTAATGGATTGTTCCTGCTGCTGTCCAGATTAGATAGCGAGCCCCTCCATTATCTCTGCTGGAGCAAACCCCAGTGGCCACCACACCAAGAGCTTTCCAAGGCAATCCGGCGAGAAGGCTGGGAAAACCTAGGGGGTAAGAGACACCAGAGAGCTGTCGAGAAACCCCCGCGCACCGAGGCTGTTTCCACCTCAAGACTCTTCCCAGAACTTTCTCTGAACCCAGTATCTTGTCCCCACACCCATAGCATTTAACAAAGCAGGTCCCCGGTGTGGAAACTAGCTACTACCTACCGAATTCTCCGGAGTAGTTCTAAGAGGGTAACTGTTAGATTCTGTGTCAACCTCTGAGAAGTGAGAAGGACTATTGGACCACACTCCCTCCCCACATCGCCACGGCCAAGAGGTGTTTTTGCACAAACGGGGACTACTACGTCTGACCAGTAGGATAGTAACTTTCCAAATTTTTGTTGTTCTGCAATCATTGCAGAGGAGACATAGCTGACTTTCACATCTTCCTTCTGAATTTCTCATGGTCAAGTTTTTCCCCGTTAAAAATTTTGTTTCTTCAAGGAAAGTTTTGTTAGAATTTTTTTTTAAGAGTTAAAGCTTTCTTTAAGTTTCTTGAAGGGAAAAAAACTTCTTACAAGCAAAATCTTGTCTCTGTTTTGTTGGAAATGAAAAGCATCTACTATCTATCAGCACTATTCTATGAAATAAAATTCTCATGTATGATCTAACAACAAATTCTACCTAAAACAAATAATAAGCACTCGAAATCATTATTTATCTACAAAAAAGACGAATTGTTCTATCATTATTATGATAGCACTACTGTGATCTAACAGAAAGCAAATAAAATCTTAGCTAGTGAACAAGGCAAAGTTATCTATTTCTACCATATCAGTTTCCTGTTCAATCTTTAGAGTTAGTGGAAGCTACAAATAAACGATGTAGCAGGAGAAGCCATCCGACACCGTTTTAAAAGATTCTACATTTAAGAAATTCTGCATCGTTTTTGAGTGAATCAATCTTGTCAGACACCACCTAGTGCTTGGAAAATTATTTAAAATGTGCCATTAGTTAGAGGTAAAAACCTAAGAAATTTATTAAAGGCAAATAAAATAGCTACTGTGCAGTTTAATATCCAGAAATTAAAATAATTCACAGACAAGAAGCCTTTTGATTCATGAAACAAAACATCTTTATCGAGTAACTTCTGTAGACAAACATCAGAATGAATAAAAACGAATTTATTGTGAGGGGCAAGGATCTCAGATTGAGGTGGGAAGAGACCCAGGCAGACGCAGACCACATCTGAAGGCGCAGAGTATGCCAGGGAAAAGCTGCAGTCCTTACATCAGCCGGGTCTGCCCACGGCCAAGAACAGCGGGAAAGAAGACAGGCAGGCAAGGAGAAAAGAAGAACGAATGCTGTGGGCAAAGAACAAAGTAAGCGGGGAGAATTTTGATTAAGCAAGAAAAGGAAACTTTGCAACAGAATTAAGGAAAAAGAGAGAAATGAAGAGAGAAAGGGGATGAAAAAAGGCAAGGAGGAGACAAGAAACGTTCACAAGACAATAGTAAACCAATAAATAAAATTGTTAAGAACAGCGAGTGGGGTGGAGGAGGGAGAAATTATATTCAGTATCTAAAGAAACAACAGCAGCCGTTCCCGAGAGGGACCGACCCCATCCCCCCCCCCCCCCCCGCGAGCGCCGCACCCCGCGCGGGGACCGGGCCCCGGATTCCGGCGTCTGCGCGGGGATCGTAGCTACGGCCCCCGAGTTGAGCCACGCGTGATCCCGGAAGGGTCTGCCAGGAGTTTTTATGAGACCTAGGGGGACGAGTGCTGGAAATTTGATGGGTTGGGGCGCAGGTCGAGAAGTGGTGAAGACAGTGCTCTTCCCCGGAACCTCAGCGTGCGGAGGCCTGGGAATCCAGTCGCTCCCAGACGAGCTGTAAGTCCCCAAACGTCGAGAAATCTCTGCCTCCAGATCCCGCGCGGGCCAGGGCCTGTGACTAACCCCCGAAGGTTCTGCGAACAGAACGGAGCTGGAGATTCCCTGGGCTCGGTTTTCCGGACCACGAACCCTGCGAGCCTGGGGCGCCACCCATGCCCCTCAATGTCCCTCCAAATCCGGCCAGAGAAGGAAGGCATTAGATCTGTGCTTTGCAGCCTGGGGTATGGGATTCGGGGGTGCGGGGTCTCTCTGCAGGGGGATATTGAGATACCAGCAGCCTAACCTGGGGGACACAGTGACCATTTTGATGAAACACCTACTGTGATCCTTGGCCTCTTTAGGGGTCTCACACAGGGGGTCGCAACTGAGAAGAAATGGGTCAGGGGCTTCGCTATGTGTCTTGCTGCCCAGAGCGTGGGGACCGAGGCGTCGGGGTGAGCAGGGCGAGGGGCGGGTGAGCACCTCGCATCTGGAGAGGGGTGCGCAGAAGCCGGGCTCTCCTCGCCGCCCAGGGTATCCGTGCGCAGCGGCTGGAGGATTCCGGTCTCCCCAAGGGGGGGGTCTCTGACGCAAAGGGCGACCCGAGACACGTTCCCAGCAGCGCCAGGCGTGGCAAGAGGTCACGCCACCGACCGCCGCTCGGACCCGGCTGGGCATAGCCTGGGCTTCCTGGCCCACCAGCGTGCGACCACGAAGGACGTCGGCGCGACACCCGTCCGAGGTGACCTGGCCCATGTGGCGCCAGATTGATCGAAATGCATCCAAAGCAAACCGGCTTCGGCCTTGCCAGGAACGGAGAGGCGATGAGAGGGAGCTCCTCAGCCTCGTGGGCCGAGGGCGGGAAAGTGGCAATGAATCCGAGGGGCCTGGTTAGTTACTTGCAGAGATTCCCCGGCTCCAGGGCCCGTTGTCGCGCCTGTCCGCGGGGATCTTCCGAGCCTCGCGCTGCTGAAGTAGCCTGCTCCACCGGCACCGCCTGGTCTCCCGCCTGCCCACTCAGGCTTTGCACCAAAGATTGAGCCGGGGGTCGGGACATTCCGGACGTTAAGCGGCCCCAGAGCGGCCTAGGTGGGAGCGGCGTCATTTACAGGCGCGCGTTATGTTTTCCCCGCGGGCTGCGCGCTCTGGGTGGGAATCTCTCTTGGGAAGACCTTCTCCGGCGGGAAGTCCTTTAGCAACTGGTCCAAGCCCCCTGGCAGGAGACCCCGGCGATGTGACTTTGAGCTGATTAACTTCTCCCAATCTTTCTTTCTTCTCATCATGCGGGGAGTGGGAGAAACAAAACCCCAGTGCAAAAAGAGTTTGTAAACTATTCGGCGACACACAACAGGGATTAAAATTCATGGCCAGTTAACAATACTGTTACCCTCTTCCTCATTTTCCCCTCTTAGGGACACTTCTCTATCTGTTGCTGGTGTCTCTGAGGCTTCTGCGTTTCCATTATTCGGGGGTCTCCATCTCCCTCCCGATCCCAACCTCGCCCCTGTAAAAATGTCACTTTCCGTTCGCTTTTCCAACCTCAGTGCAGGGCTAGGACTGTTCGCCCAGCACCCGGCCCACTCAGGGCTCGCCGGGATACTTTTAAGGCCGCGGGTGCTTGGCTGCCCTGGGGTCGGGCAGGTGGGGGGCCCAGGCCGCGCGCCCAGCTCCTCTCCCCGGCTGCGCGCCCCGCAAGCGGCCCAGGGCTCGGACCCCAGCAGTCGGGGTTCCTTTTCATTCCGCCGCCAGCCTGAGAGGGCTCCACTCTCCTCTCCTCCCGGCCCTCGGCCCAAGCCTGACGCCGCCTGGTTTATTGACCTTAGATCGGCTTCGGGGCTTTATCAGACCCGGCTGGGGCGTCCCGCGGCGCACGCCCTCCACCTACAGTCGTGCGGCGCGAGCCCCCTTTAAGTTTCTTCTAGAAACGTCCCCTTCCTCCCCCATCCCCGAGTCTGAGAACCTTCAGAAAAATTGCCCGAATTCGCGCGACCGTGGAGATCCGAGGCAGGGCCTTCAGGGCCACTGACATTCTCCTGTGTCGCTCTTTTATCTAGATAATTCAGGCGAAAGTGCCCCCCCCCGCAATTATTCGGATAATTGCCTCGAATCTCCACTTCGTGTAGTGTTTAGACAATTGGAGATTGATGGCTTGAATTTAACCCTAAAACCTCTCCTCTCCTCTGCTCCAAGCTCTAAAATATCTCTGAACTTTACACACGCAAACTATAATTTTCTGTCCTATAAATCACTTGGCAAATATAACAAGACATTAGAAAGCTATTTGAAATGGATATTTTATTATACTTGAGACTAGACCAGGGAGAAAGAGTAATTTATAAACACTTCCTCAATACTAAGCACACAAAATTGTTTTTAAGGCTCCCCCCTAATCGAACTTGAGAATGCAAAATCACTTTCAGAGACAAATTCTTAGAAGAAAAAGGAAATTTGTGGCAATGATTATGTCACTAAAAATGAACTCTGAAAAAAAATAGTTCATAAAGTGGGACTTTCAAGTATCCTTTACTGTAGACCGATTTATCAAAATGAGACCAGCAGAAACAAAACATTTGCTAGTACTACAAATACTACAACAACTACTGCTACTACTACTTAAAAAGCCAATCCAATTTTGTGATGATAAATCACAGGATTCTAGCCACCTTACATAATACGGCTTTCCCTTAACTCAGATTGGCCCGTCCCTGCTTTTCCCACTAAAACCCTTTCAATTTCCCTTATTTTTGGACAGCGTACAGAAGAGCAGGAATATCAGCCCTGGGAAAACATTAGCAAGGGTAAGCAAGCCAGAGAGTTGGGCAGGGGAAAGATAAGCAATGCAGATGATTGTAAGTTTTGTGACAGCTTTTCAAATCACCCCCTGGAAGCCGGTGGGGCTGCTGGAGATGGAAAGATAGTCAAAGGGAACAATTTTCTGTTCTCTGCTTCACAAAGCTAATATTTGTAATAGGTACACCAGGACTGAGAGGCTTTGCCCTCAATCCTACCCAATTCCAGAAGAGCGCTTGCTGGGTCCTCCTGAGGCTACAGAGTGAACAAATGGTGTTGTCTGCTTTCAACCTGCGAGCATGTGGACTAGGCACAGGAAACTTGGTAGGTTTCAAACTCTCAGAGCCTTGGTTATGACACTGACCCGTGCCTTCTCAAAGCTGCACTCCTTCTCAAAGCTGTCACTCCTATTTATTATTATTATTATTATTATTATTATTATTATTATTATTATTATTTTGACTCAGCCCTTTTCTCAGCTACAAATCAGATTTAAGGCTCATTTGCCCAGACTTTGGCTTTGTAGGAAGTAGAGGTAATTTCGACTTGTATGCAAAAGCGTGTGCAACCAAAAGCATTAGCCACCAAGCTCTGCAACGCACGCAGTGGGCCTGGGGAAGAAAACTACGAGCTCTGTGGTCCACCTGCAAAACCCACCCCCACGCCTCCTTCCCATCTCAGGTCTGGCTCCAGAATAATCGGAAATTAAACCCTATACCAAGCCTGGCTGACCCTTGATCTGCGAATAGGCAAAGAAAAGTATCCGACTCTGAGAGCTCTGAGACCTAGCTACTAACTAATGAAGCCAAGCGATGGGAAACAGCACAGACTTTCTGACCCCAAAAGCAAAGTGGGCTGGGTCTGACATGGGCCAGGTTTGCCTGAAGTTTCCAAGGGCGTTCTTAAGAGGACACCAAGGGCTGCGGGGGACCCCAGGGGATTTGGGTGTTCTGGAGGAAGCAGAGGCCAGATGGTCCTGGGATACCTGGTCAGATCCATTTGATTTCTGGTGTGTATGTATTTATTTAGGTTTTTCCTGAGACACCAGGCACCCCTCTCCATTTCCAGTTGTTGGAGTGGGAAGCTGAATCGGGAAATAGAGAAACTAAAATGCCACCTCAGTGGAAGAAGGAGGGACACAGAAAGAAAGTGGGAAGGAAGCCCGGCGTCTGCGGCCTGGCCTTCACAGAGCCTCATCCTTCCTTCCTGTCCGCAAAGGCCTCAAAGCCTCTCCACAGCCTCCGCCTCGGCCCCACGCTGGGGAAGCCTTCCCCTCCCCTCCCCCACCTCCCTCTCCCCACAGCTGGAGATTGTGGTGAGCAAGGAGACTCCCCAAGCCTTCCATTCCCCCAGCATCCCAGCCTCCCACGGCAGAGGGGTCACCAGGAGGGCCAGGAGGGGACTCACCCGCGGTGGGGAGCGGCGTCCCTGCGGCTGCTCAAGGCCTGGTGTGAGGCAAACTCTGCACAGGGATTCCAGGCTGTTCTCAGCCGGGTGGGAGGGAGACGTTGTGAGCCGTGTCTCCCAGCTCCCTCTGAGCTCCCAGCTTCCTTCTCAGAATTAGATAACAGGAAAAATAGATAAGAGAAGTGGTTCATTAATTCAGCAAGCCTCTTTTTTTTTTTTGGTGTGTGTAAAAGTGGAAGGAAACTCTGCTAGGGAATGAAGTTCTGGCTGGACAGTTTTAAAAAAGTCAGTGTTCACAAGGTTACAGAGATGCTTCTGGAAGGTCACTCAGAAGGACCCAAGGAATCGCCGTTCATGGGGAGAAATGCTCAGTTCACCGTATGTGCTTCCTGCACCCCAAGACTCCTCTCAGACTCTAGTCTTGCCTTTAGATTGAGGTAGGGAGGGCTGCTTTGTGGCATTTGCTTATGTTGTGCGATCGCCCTCTGGGCATGGGATAATAGTAACAGCAGCGCAGCTCCTCCTAGCATGCCAATTACAAATTACAATTTTTTCCAAGTACTGCTATAACAGCATTTCTGAGCTCCTTACAATAGGGTCAAGCAGGCAGATGCTATATTATTAACCTAGATGAGGTAACCGGCTCAGAGAGGTTAGGAATCTGCCTGTGGTCAAGTCACACAGCAAGAAAGAAATGGAGCCGGTACTGAACTTCAAATTAAAGAAATCCATGGCTTCTTAGAATAGGAAGAGACCTCAGAATTCCAAGCTCCTGCTTAAATCAGGAATTCCCTCCAAGGCGATTATCCGTACTCTACTTGAATACTCTTGGTGATGGGGAGCTCATTCTCTGCGTGCCATGGGCGTGCAGCTCTGCTGACCACCACACTTTCCTGCTTCCCAAATGACCCAGCATTGCAGGGCTGGGAACACAGGCACAGGGAGCTGCCGCTGTCATGTGATTTGAGGAACCGGGCAAACAGATCTCCCTTGACAGGTCTGCTGCGGAATTCCCTGCTCTCCTGCCTGGTTTTATTTTGGGAAGTTGTCCCTGTTGGGAGTTGGTATCTCGCAAAGGCAGTTTGGAGGAAAGGAAGAAACACAATACCTTTCTATTTTAACATATTTCCCAGTTCACAGTCTCACGGGATCCTTAGAACTATCTCTGCAAGGTAGGGAGAAACCGAATAAGTTAATATTTTTTTCCAAATGTAGGCCAGGATGCTGAGCTTGGTGGCTCACACCTGTGGTTCCAGCACTCTGGGAGACTAAGGCAGGCAGATCACTTGAGGTCGGGAGTTCGACACCAGACTGGCCAACGTGGCAAAACCCTATCTCTACTAAAAATGCAAAAAATTAGCCGAGTGTGGTGGCGGGTGCCTGTAATCCCATCTACTGAGGAGGCTGAGGCAGGAGAATAGCTTGAACCTGGGAGGCAGAGGTTGCAGTGAGCTGAGATCGAGATCATGCCACTGCACTTCAGCCTGGGTGACAGAGTGAGATCCCATCTCAAAACAAACAAACAAACAAACAACAAAAACAAAAAACAAATGTAGGCCAGGAAACTGAAACAGAAAAGGTAAGTGAACTGCCAGAAATCAAAGAGTAAAGGTAAGGTCATATGGTGGGAACAGAACTAGAGAGGTGAATCAGGCTGGGAAGAGAGAGGAAAAATATGAAGGAAACATGAATATTTTTTCCCTTCCAAGAATTTTTGGTTTTGAATATTTTTGCAAATGATGAATAAAGTGTCCTTTATTGTTATCTGTCTTTATACTCTTCCCCTGCCAAATGACTCGTAGAAACTAGGCTTCAGGAAGATTTTAGTGTAAAGCTCCCTGTGGTGTCAGATCATTAAAATTCCTGACGCATGAGCCCAACAGTACAAGGCACAGATGCAGAGGCCAGGGCCAGGCCTTGTCTTTCCAGGGGCCCTGTCATTTACACCAGGGAGGAGCCTTGTTCACTTGTAGCTTTCCCTTATGGAGTTGTTTTTTTTTGTTTGTTTGTTTGTTTGTTTTTCTAGACAGAGTCTCGCACTCTCGCCCAGGCTGGAGTGCAGCGGCAGGATCTCGGCTCACTGCAAGCTCCGCCTCCCGGATTCATGCCATTCTCCTGCCTCAGCCTCCCAAGTAGGTGGGACCACAGGCGCCCGCCACCACGCCCGGCTAATTTTTTTGTATTGTTAGTAGAGACAGGGTTTCACCGTGTTAGCCAGGATGGTCTCAATCTCCTGACCTTGTAATGCGCCCGCCTCGGCCTCCCAAAGTGCTGGGATTACAGGCATGAGCCACCGCGCCCGGCCTTATGGAGTTATTTTTATTACTTATGATTATTATGGTAAAATACGCATACTACAAAATTTGCCACATGAACCTTTTTAATTTTATTTCATTTTATTTTTTTGAGTCAGAGTTTCGCTCTTCTCACCCAGGCTGGAGTGCAGTGGCCTGATGTCCGCTCACTGCAACCTCTTCTGCCTCCCAGTTTCAAGCAGTTCTCTTGTCTCAGCCTTCCAACACTTTAACCGTGGTTTTTTTTTTTTTTAAACTTGCTCTGTAGCCCAGGCTGGAGTGCAGTGGTGTGATCTTGGCTCACTGCAACCTCTGCCTCCCAAGTCCCGGTTCAAGCAATTCTCCTGCTTCAGCCTCTCCAGTAGCTGGGATTATAGGCACGCACCACTATCTCCAGCTAATTTTTGTATTTTTCTTGTTAGCCAGGATGGTCTCAATCCCCTGACTTAGTGATTCGCCTGCCTCGGCCTCCCAAAGTGCTGGGATTACTGGAGTGAGCCACCGCGCCCGGCCCCACTGTAACCGTTTTTAAGGGTACACGTCCATAGTATTAGGTACATTCACATTGTTGTACAACTACCACCACTTCCATCTCCGGAACATTTTCAGCTTTCCAAACAGAAACCCTGCACCTATTAGCACTAATTCTCCATTCCCCTCTTTCCCATAACCTCTGGTAACCGCCCTCAACTTTCTGTCTCCATGAATGTGACTCCTCTAGGTACCTCCTATAAGTGGAATCATACAGTACGTACTCCTTTGTGGCTGGCTTATTTCACTTGGCATCCTGTCCTCAAGCTTCATCCATGTTGTAGCAGGGGCCAGAATTTCCCTCCTTTTTAAGACCAAGTGATACTCCATTGCACACAAAGACTGTATTTTGTTTATCCATTCATCTGTTGATGGGCATTTGGGTTGTTTTCACCTTTTGGTTACTGTGAATATTTCTGCCATAAACACAGGCGTGCGAATGTCTGTTTTAGTTGCTGCTTTCAATTCTTCTGGGTATATCCTTAGAAGGGGGATTGCCAGCTCACATGGACCTATCTATGTGCAAGTTTTTTGAGGAATTGCCATACCATTTTCTACCTGTTATGGAGTTTTGACCCAAAATTTAGAGAGGAGGTCTCCATCATCCTCTTTATGTAGCAGGTAACTGGGAGCAGCAGCATCCACTTATCCCAGTTTGGGTCATATTCACGGGCAGATTGCCCTGCCTGCTGCAAAGTTCTGTGAGAGAGTGATGTGCAGTAAGGAAGAAGGTGAAACATGAAGTTCTCTTGAGAATTGCACTGGAGCAGAGAGAACACTCACTTCTTTATTAAAAAATTAGGAAGCATAACTTCCAGCGTTGTGGTACAGTAACAAGAGCACCTGTGTTTGACCTTCACCTCTGACATCCCACTGCCTCCCTCCTCCACATGTGCCTACAAGAATCTGGGGACCTCATGGCATTATTATTGAGGCCAGCAATGTCCAGGAAAAGTATTCAAGTCCTAGAGAACACACTTTTGTGTTCCAAAATTGAAAAAATAAAAGGAATCATGGGAGTGTTAGAGAACCGTCAGGTATTTTTATTTCTCCCTACTTTTCTGAATTGTTTCTTGTGAGGTGAAAGGAAGCCCATTTTTGTCCCCCATGGTTTCAGATTTTCCAGGGGTTTTATATATTTTGGGGAACCTAAAACTCCACTGTTCTGAGGCCTAGCTCAGGGCGTTATGCCAGCCCAGGGCAGCATGAGTCTTTCCCTGGGAAAAATTCTAATGAAGCCCAGTGGCCACTACTGCCCGGGATGGTGGAGAATGGGGCCAGGACACAGGACCCAGGGAACCCAGGCGTCATGAGCGAAGCCACCTGCTGTGACTCCTGAGTGTCCTTGTCCTGGGCAGAGGCTGGTGTGCCTCTGTGCTCCCACGTTTGTCCTGTTGAGTCAGGGGGGCCACCAGAGATGATGAGGATGATGTGACTGCTGATAACACCAGCCCAAACTCCAAAAATCACTTGGAATCCAGACCAGGGAGAGGGCCAGAGAGAGACTTTCTGGGGAGCACCTCGGCCTTGAGGCCTGCTGTCCCTGTTCTTTAAACTGAGTGTTTACACACACACATACATGCGGGCATGCACGTGCACAAAATTTTTATTAGTTTTTCTTATCAAGGTGTTACATATTTATTGCTGAACTTAAAACTACTGTATTTTATTTTTTATTTTTAGAGAAAGTCTCTCTCTGTTGCCCAGGCTGGAGTGCAGTGGCATGATCATAGCTCACTGAAGCCTTGAACCCCTGGCCTCAAGCAGTCGTCCCCCTCGGCCTCCCAAACTCCTGGGATTATAGGCATGAGCCATTGCGTCCTGCCCAAAAGTACTGCAGAAGGTAGAGAACAACAGTCTTCTGACCATCTGCCATTTCCCCGTCCGCAGCCAACTCTTCTATTCCGACTTCGCATCTGAGGACTGTCCTTTTCCTGAGGTGTTTGACATTAAGCATGTGATTACGAGACAGTCTCCAGAAATTACATTTCTTTCTCTAGTGTAGCAAATGAATGAACATCTTTAATCCTCAGTTTTCAAATCTGTAAAGTGAGTGCAATAATAATACTTATCTCATAGGGTCCTTGCCAAGGTTAAAATGAGATAACCATATGAGAATCACTTAGTGTGATGCCTGGTGCTGAAAACAACTAGCTATTACTACCACTGCTAATATTATTAGTAGCTGTGGGCAAAAGGATTCTTGCATTCAGCCTGGTGACGCTGCTCTAGCCACCTAGACTGACTTGTGTTTAAGGCAGAAAACCAAAACCTGTGGACAGCTGCCTGCTGAGTGTTCACGAGCTGTGGCTGCTCCAGGCCCAGGAGCTGAGGGCTATGCAGTGCTCAGTAGGCAGCTTCTCCCATCGTGGCGACAGAACTGCTGGAAAGAGTGTCCCCTTGGGACTAGGAAGCCCTAAGTGATGAACTGCCGGTGAGTGGCACTTTATTTGCACCTGAGTCTCCAGAAGAGCTAAGGGACCCTGGAGTTACCTGAAGTCCCCACAGCATGGGCAGAAGTGAGAATAATTTGAAACCAAGTGGACTGATGGACCAGGCTCCGACTGAACCTCTACATTTCCTTCCTGCAATGAGTGATGCTCCCTGTTCCAGCCTGTTAGGCTTCCACTGTTACAAAATGAGATAGAATTCACATAGCATCAATTTACCCTTCAAAAATGTATGAGTCAGTGGTTTTTAGTATCGCACAAGGTTATGCAACCATCTGTTATGCAATGGTTATGCAATACTGATGTATTGAAATCTTAACATTTTCATCCCCCAAGTCTGCAATTTGATTGGATTCAGTAAATGTTTACTGGAAGTTTCTTGTGTAAAATCCCACGTATTGTAGTTAGTGTGCTCCTTGGAGTTTGGCTGGCCCAGCTCCATGCTGGCTCACTTTTTTTGGTCCACGTCTGCAACTGAGCCACACTCCCTCCCTCTGGCTTGACACATTAACATTGAACTGGGACATTGGTGAACTGGGACTGTCTTGATCAATGACCACCATTTCTTGGGCTCTCCCAGTAGCAGGCACTGTGCTAAGCCCTCTGTGTGCATTCTCTCTTATTATCTAATTTTACAAGAAAGCCTAGAACTGAGGTCTTCTGGCTTCCACTCTCATATTCTTGTGGCTGGGCACAGTGACTCAAGCCTGTAATCCCAGCACTTTGGGAGGCCAGAGTAGAAGGATCACTTGAGCCCAGGACTTCAAGACCAGCCTGGGCAACATAGTGAGATCCTGTGTCTACAAAAAATAAAAAAATTAGCTGGGCATGATGGCACACACCTATAGTCCTAGCTACTCAGAAGGCTGAGGCAGGAGGATCACTTGAGCCCAAGAGTTTGAGGTTACAGTGACCTATGATCACACCATTGCACTCCATCCTGGGTGGCAGAGCAAGACCTTATCTCAAAAAAAAAATTATTTCATTCTTGCTGTGCCAGGCTGACTCTGACCTACTCATTAGACCCGCCCTCAAGCTCACACTCCTAGCTAAGTAATACCAACAATAATTTGTGTAGCAGTTTGCAGTTTACAAAGCATTCTCTTCTGTTGCTTCATTTGATTCTCCCATCCACCTTGTGTGTATGAGGGGAGAATGTTTTCATACTTTGCCTCCTTTGACCCTGCTCCTTGGAGTCTCTCTGCACCAGGTTCATCTGATCCCAGACCCTCCAGTCACTTGGGAGTCCAGCTCAACATTTGATTATTCAGCCTTTAACATCCTAGTCAGATCAATGTCTTTTCATAGGTTGAGTGTGTGCATATTTGCAATCTCCCATCTCTGGTGTTTATGTATTAATTATGTATTTGGATTCATCTTGTTGCTCTTCTTGGGACATAAGGACATAAGGTCTACAGGACCAAGGGCCATCTGGTAATTTCATTTTTAAGGGCCAAGAGGGTTTTTTGGGGGGCTGGTCCGATCATATGGCTTCTCTCATCCCTTCTTCAAGGGACAGATCCTCTTTCCTATGCGACATCCACTCCCTGAGGCTGAGGTGCAACAGATGTCCCAAGTTTGGCCAATTTGAAGATCCACTAAGAATTTTCCTGGGACTTTTTAGCCAGGGCTAATAATGAAAAAGCTATCTGTCCAAAAATAATTCTAAAATTTGTATAGAACAACAATAACAACAAAAAACCGTGAATAACCAATGCAATCTTAAGCAAAAAGAACAAAGGTAAAGGCATCACACTACTTGTCTTCCAAATACACTACAAAGCTATAGTAACCAAAACAGCATGATACTGGTATAAAAACAGACACATAGACCGATGGAACAGAATAGAAAGCCCAGAAATGAATTCACACATCTGCAGCCAACTGATTTTTGACAAAGAGACCAAACACATGGGGAAAAGGATATTTTCTTCAATAAGTGGTGCTGGAAAAATTGGATAGCTACATGAAGAAGAATGACACTAGACCTCTATCTCTTACCAAATACAAAAATCAACTCAAAATGGATTACAGACTTGAAGATTAGGCTCAAAACTATGAAACTACTAGAATAAGTCGTAGGGAAAATGTTTCATGATGTTGGTCTGGGCAAGGATTTTTTGGATAAGATCTCAAAATCACAGGCAACAAAAGCAAAAAATAGACACATGGAATTACATCAAACTAAGAAGAGTCTGCACAGCAAAGGTAACAATCAACAAAGTGAAGAGACAACCCACAGAATGGGAGAAGATATTTGCAAACTCTATATCTAACAAAGGGTTAATATCCAGACTACGTCAGGAATTCAAATAATTCAATACCAAAAAAAAATTTGATTTAAAAGTGAGCAAAATAACTGAATAGATGGAATAAATATTTCTCAAAAGAAGGCATACAAATAGCAAACAGGTATGTGAAAAAATGCTCAACATCAGTAATCATCAGGGAAATGCAACTCAAAATGACAATGAGATATCACTTCACTCCATTTAGAACGGCTATGGTCAGACAGACAAAAGATAGCAAGTGTTGGCAAGGATGTGGAGAAAGGGAAACCCTTATACACTGTTGATGGAAATGTAAATTTAGTATAGCCACTGAGAAAACAGTACAGAGGTTTCAAAAAAAATTTAAAACTAGAATTACCTATGTAATCCGGTAATCTCACTACTGAGTAGTGGGAAAGAAAAGGAAATCAGTATGTAGAAATGACATCTGCACTCCCATGTATATAGCCACACTCTTCACAATAGTGAAGACATGGATTCAACCCAAGTGTCCATTAACAGATGAATAAAGAAAATGTGGCACATATACACAATGGAAGACTATTCAGCCATAAAAAGAAGGAAATTCTCTCCTTTGATGAAAGGATTTACAACAGAAGATGTAAATCCTTTGATAAAAAGACATCCTCCTCATGTCTTTTGCCCATTGTCTGGGTAATTAGGTTTTACTATTGTTATTATAATTATTATTTTACTATTGAGCTTTGAGGGTTCTTTATATATTCTAGATGTGAATCCTTGGTTTGCAAGTATTTTCTCCCCATCTGTAACTTATCTTTTCAGTTACTTAAAAGGGTCTTTCACAAAGCAGACATTTTCAGTTTGAAGAAGTTCAATTTTTTAATGAATTGTACTTTTATTGTCATGTCTAAGCAGTTTTCATCAAACCTTAGGTTATGAAGATTTTCTCCTATGTTTTCTTCTAAAAGTTTTATACTTATACATTTTACATTCAAATCTATGCTCCACTTTGAGTTATTTTTGTATAAAGTATGAGTTGAGTTCAAAGTTTGTTTGTTTATTTAGTTTCAAGATATCCAGTTGTTCCAGCATCATTTGTTGAAAGGACTATCTATTCTCCATTGAATTTCTTTTGCACCTTTGTCAAAAATCAGTCGGCCATACTTGTGTGGGTCTATTTCTGGGTTCTCTACTCTGTTCTACTGATGTAGTGCCTATTTCTCTATCAATGCTACATAGTCTTGATTACTATAGCTATAAAATCCCACTTTGTCCTTCTTTTCCAAAATTGTTTCAGCTCTTCTAGTTGGGTGGGTTTTTTAATGCTTTCTACATAATTTTTTCACCTTTTTACATAAATTTTAGAATAACCTTGTCTCTATATGAAAATCTTGCTGAGATTTTTCACAGGAATTGCATTAAAACTATATATGAACTTTGAAAGAACTGACATATTTACTATGTTGAATCTTCCAATCCATGAACGTGGTATGTCTCTCCATTTATTTAAATCTTAATTTCTTTCACCAGTGTTTTGTAACATTCAGTATACAAGTCCTATACATGTTTTGTTGGATTTACACTTAAGAATCTAATTATTTGAGCAATTGCAACTAATATTATATGGTTAATTTCATTTTCCACATGTTCATTGCTAGTATATAGAATTATAGTTTGTTTTTGTATGTTGATTTTGTTTTCTGCAGCCTTGCTGAACTCATTTGTTAGTTCCAGGAGGTTTTTTTTTTCTTTTCTGGTATATTTCTTGGAGGTTTTCTATGTAGATGATCACTTTATCTCCGAACAGACATACTTTAATTTCTTCCCTTCTGACCTGTATTCATTGTATTTTTATTTTTGTTACTATCTTTTAAAAAGACAGGGTCTTGCTGTGTTGCCCAGGCTGGAGGTCAGTGGCTATTCACAGGTGCAGTTATGGTGTACTACAGCCTGAGCTCCTGGGCTCAAGTGATCCTGTTGCCTCAGCCTCCCTAGTAGATTGGACTACTACTGGTACATACTACTGCACCCAGCCCTTTTATTATTATTTTCTTTACTTGCCTTATTTTCTGGCTAAAACTTCCATTACTATGCTGAATAGAAGTAGTGAGAGTGGAAATTCTTGTCTTATTCTCAGCCTTTGTGGAAAGGCTTTAGTCTTTTACCATTAATTATGTTAGCTGTTGGTCTTTTGTAAGTGCTCTTTATCAAGTTGAGGAAGTTCCCTTTATTCCTAATTTTCAGAGTTTTTATCATGAATGGGTATCAAATTTCATCGAAAGCTTTTTTCTGTACCAATTGGTATGATCATATGATTTGTTTTCCTTAGCATGTTAAACTGGTGGATTGCATTGATTTTAAATTAGTGAGTCAGTTATGCATCTCTGAAATAAATCTCACTAGTCATGATGTGTAATTCTTGCATGTTGCTGCATTCTATTTGCTGATATTTTGTTAAGGATTTGCATCTATGTCAATGAGGGATATTGGGCTGTAGTGTTTTCTTTGTATGTTAGTCTGGTTTTAGTGTTACTGTAATACTGGCCTTACAAAATGCATTGGAAAATGTTTTTTTTTTCTTGGAAAAAATGTGTTGAATTGGTGTGTTTTCTGAGTTTTAATTACTGTTTCAATTTTAAAAAGAGTTATAGGGCTATTCAAATGGCTGATTTCATATTAAGTAAGTGGTTGTACTTTATACTTTTTGAAGAATTGGTATTTTTAGTAGAGATGAGATTTCATTCACCATGTTGGTCAGGCTGGTCTCGAACTCCTGACCTCAGATCCACCTGCCTCGGCCTCCCAAAGTGCTGGAATTATAGGCATGAGCTACCACGCCCAGTCTTTTCAGCTTTTTGTTTTATTGTTTTTTTTCTGTTATTTTTCTATTTTCTATTTCATTGATATCCGCTCCTGTCTTTATTACTTCCTTCCTTTTATTTGCTTTGGACTTATTTTGCTCTTATTTTTCCAGTTTCTTGAGGCGAGAGCTTAGATAGCTGATTTGAAACTTTTCCTCTTTTTTTTTTTTTTTTTTTTTTTTTTTAATTGAGACAGGGTCTCACTCTGTCACCCAGGCTGGAGTGCAGTGGTGTGTGATCACAGCTTACTGCAGCCTCAACTTCCCTGGCTCAAGTGATCCTCGCACCTCAACCTCCCTTCCTGAGTAGCTGGGACTACAGATGTGTGCCACCATGCCTGGCTAATTCTTTAAAATTTTTGTAGAGACAGAGTCACACTGTTTTGCCCAGGTTGGTCTCAAACTTCTGGTTTCAGGTTATCCTCCTGCCTTGGCCTCCCAAAATGATGGGATTATAGGCACGAGCTGCTCCACCCAGCCTGATATTTTTAGGATAAATGAAGGATAAAACTGGTATAAATTTGGAGTCATTTTAATGAAATTATTATTCTTAATATTGATGTAACTATTCTAAATGAATAAAATATTAGCAAGCTGAATCCAGCAGTATATTAAAAGAAAATATCAATGTTCAATAGGGTTTTCCCTTAGGGAGCCAGGTCATTAATATTAGGAAACAGACAGGCACTGTGGCTTATGCCTGTAATCCCAGCTACTTGGGAGGCTGAGGCAGGAGGACTTCTTGAGCCCAGGAGTTCAAGGCTGCAGTGAGCTATGATTGTACCAGTGCACTCTAGCCTGGGTGATAGAGTAAGACTCTCATCTCTAAAAAAATAAAACAAAATATTAGGAAACAATAAAATTTATTACAGTATTCAGTCAAAGGAAGAAAAACTATACAACTATACCAATAGGAGTGAAAAGGCATTTAACCAAATGTAGCATCCTTTCTTGATTAAAACAAATAAAACTCTCACTAAAAAATTAGAACAGAAGGATATTCCCATAATATAATAAAAATATCTGACTCAAACACAATAAAGAAATGGGACCTTATTAAACTAAAAGCTTCTGTACAGCAAAAGAAATAATCATCAGAGTAAACAGACAACTCACAGAGTGGGAGAAAATATTTGCAAACTATTCATTTGACAAAGGACTAATTTCCAGACTCTACAAGGAATTCAAACAAATCAGCAAGAAAGAAACAAATAATCCCATCAAAAAGTGGGCAAATGACATGAGTAGACATTCTCAAAAGAAGGTATACAAATGGCCAACCAACATATGAAAAAATGCTCAACATCACTAATTATCAGGGAAATGCAAATTAAAACCACAATGAGATACAACCTTACCCCTGCAAGAATGGCCACTATTTAACAAATTAAAAAACAATAGGTGCTGGCTGCATGTGGTGAAAAGGGACCATTATACACTGCTGGTGAAAATGTAAATGAGTACAACCTCTATGGAAAACAGTGTGGAGATTTCTCAAAGAAGTAAAAGTAGATCTATCATTTGATCCAGTAATCTCACTACCAGGTAACTACCCAAAGGAAAAGAAGTAATATCAAAAAGACACCCACATGCATATGTTTATTACAATGCAATTCTCAATTGCAAAGATGTAGAACCAATCTAAGTGCCCACTGACTAATGAGTAGCGAAAGCAAATATATATGTCATGGAATACTACTCACCCATAAAAAAGGAAATGATATCTTTTGCAGCAACTTGACTGGAGCTGGAGGCCATTATTCTAAGTGAAATAACTCAAGGATGGAAAACCAAACACGGTATGTTCTCACTTATAAGTGAGAGCTAAGCTACGGGTATGCAAGGGCAGACAGAGTGGTATAATGGACTTTAGAGACTCAGAAGAAAGAGGGAGGTAGGGAGGGAGGTGAGGGATAAAAAATTACTTATTGGGTACAATGTATACTACTTGGGTGACAGGTGCATAAAGATCTGACTTTGCCACTGTACAATTCATCCATGTAACCAAAAAACCACTTGTACTCAAAAAGCTATTGAAATAAAAAAAGTTTGAAATCTGACTCAAGCCAACCACTAGCATTATTTAATTGTGAAAAACCAGAAGAGATGTTCTCATGCTTGTTAGGAACAAAAGCAAGATGCCCAACATCAGTATTCCGGAAATGCTAGCCAATGCAATAATATAAGAAAAATAAGAGACAGAAGAATTGGAAGGGAAGAAGCAAAATCATTTTTACCTACACACTGCAGAAGTCTAAGCTGTAGTCCCTGCCTCAAACCCACCTTTCTGCCTTTCTGTTTTCTGTCTTGTGCTTGTGGGGTTGAGATTCTATAAGCCACCATTCTGTCTTTCTGGCTGGCTCTGTATCAGGTTCTGCCCACAGACAACAATGAAGGGAGACTACAAGGCTTGTGGAGGTGAAGGAAATACACCTTTCGTTTGCTTCCTAGTCATAAATGCTTTTCTCTAGCCTCTCTATCATGGCAGCAACAGTTCATTCTTGTAGCAGCAGCTGAATCCAGTTTTCAGTTTTGTCTTTTTTTTTTTTTTTTGAGATGGAATCTCACTCTGTAGCCCAGGCTAGAGTGCAGTGGTACGATACTTGCTCACTGTAACCTCCGCCTCCTAGCTTCAACTGATTTTCCTGCCTCAGCCTCCTGAGTAGCTGAGATTACAGGCATGTGCCACCACGCCCAGCTAATTTTTGCATTTTTGGTAAAGATGGGGTTTCACCATGTTGGCCAGGCTGGTCTGGAGCTCCTGAGCTCAAGTGTTCCCTCCATCTCCACCTCCCAAAGTGCTAGAATTACAGGTATGAGCCACCACGCCCAGCCCAGTTTTTCTTATTCTTGCAGAAACAAACTCTTCAAGATGCTGTCAGAGATGCCAGTACTGTCTGTCACTCACCCCCTCCTCAGACATATGTTTCCAGCCCCATGGGCCTCTCCTCCAAGTGTCTAAATGTTAATAATTTCAACCTTTTTCTTCTGATTGCCCAACTTTACAAGTAATATCTGCCTCTGCAGTCTCTACCTTCATCATACGTTAGGATTATCTTTCTGCTTTAGTGGTTTTTCCATGCCTAGTTAACAATTCCTTTTATTATATTATCTGTTAAAAATACTGATATAGTTTCTGTCTCCTCACTGGTCCCTGGCTGGTACCCCAGCTCATAAGATAGTTTTATACGGTAGCTGGTTATAAAAGAAGTTTCTGAAGAAATTAACTTTCATACCAACACTAACTAGTTAAGAAACATAATTGGGTGTTTATCTGAAATTCACTTGTGACTGGGTATCCTGCATTTTTATCTGCTAAAGCTAGAAACCCTCAATATGGAGAGCCTGCTCCAAGTGTTTTGGGATCAAGGGATGGGATAAGTGTTGATGGGGATGCTGTGTCAATGGTGGGATCCTACACAGGGCTACTGGCATTATGATAGCGTCCTGTTCCAAAGCTTGGATTAGCACACTAGGACAACCCAGGGTTGAAGATAAGTGAATGCTTTACAAAGATGGTGTCTGAAGGGTGGTGAATTTCCCAGGAATATTATCCACACACATTACAATATATTGGACATAATGTCAGCTCTACCTACTCTCTCCAGAATTCTTGTCTTATTATTCGTTTTTGTCAAGTCACTCAAATACACCAATTCGCTGCTGTCTCAGAGCCACCTCCCATTAAACTGACCTCTGACTACAATGGTACTAGTTGAGTCCATGAGGCCAATAAACCTGGGGGCCTTGTGGGCTGGGGGGGAAGGAGCCAGGCCACCCGGAGCTGGCCTGAATCAGTCTTTCTGGGAGTAAAGTCTCTCCTGAGGGAGGTGAATGAACTCTGTTCTCACCCAGCTCACAAGCCACGTTTTCCTGGTGGCGCTAACAGTGCATTCGCCTCCCTTGAATGGCTTGGGTCACAGAACGGTTTGTTCTTGTTTGTTGAATAATAGTACCAGGGAACTACCACCACCACCACCACCATCCCCTTTACATACAAAACACAGAAATTCAAACATTTAGGTTCAAATTTGTATCCAAGAAAGGTCTGGAAAGACCCTGCAAATGTAAAAATAGTTACTCTGGGAGAATGAGATTAGGGGGTTGGGTAGTGGGAGTAAGGCAGTGCTTTTCTTTCTTTCTTTCTTTCTTTTAAAACATTTTATTCACTGCTGCATTGCTTGAAAACAAAAGCTTTACAAACAGAATGTAATGTTAATAATTTGTAACAGACCAGTAACAAAGCAATAACAATAGAAACAAAATTTGAAAATAAAACCCACTTCCAAACACAACTATTTTCATGTTTTGAAATACTGTTTCCCCCCACACACACAATTATTGCAGTTCATAGGATGTGAGCAATTTTTTTTTTATTCTGCTATGTTCCTTAACATTTTACTACAATTTTTCTTTGCATTGCTAAAAATTCTTTCTGAGCACACCCGTTTCAGGGCTAGAAGGGTAGCTTTGAGGACAGCTTGTAGCAAAACTTGTCTTTCCTGAGCCCTGCCTTACCCAGCTAAGGAAGGTGGAGGTGGGGAAGGGGTTAGTTTATCTTGGGCAAGTTCCTTCTTTTCTCTGGGCCTCAATTTTGGTGTTTGTTTTTTTTTTTTTTTTTTCCATCTGGAAAAAGAGGCACTGGAAGCAGGTTCTCCCAGGGTCTCTTCGAGTTCTCATCTGTTACCCTCACCAAGCACATCATAAATAAGGATCATTTGGACATAATTCTTTGTAAATCTTTATTTAATCCACCAGCCTTCCTGTTCCAAGATCACTTGGCGCAATGCAGTTCATTTATCCTCATGATAAATACCTGGCAGTGGACAGAATTTTCCCTTTCATAGATGGAGAAACTGAGTCCAGAGGTGTGGGATGGAGGTGTGGGATGATTTACCACCGTTTCGGCCTCTTATCAGGGCAGCCCTGGGGTTCGGCTGCCCGTGCTATGGGTGATGCATAGCAGACGGGGTCTCCGTGGTGTGGACATCACGGCGGCTTACGTATGACTATTGCACAGATCCATCATGTGCCTGCGGCCTCCCTTTTTTTCCTCTTTGGACTTCAAGTCACTATTTCTCTGTGACATTTCTTTGGGATCTATTCGTGAATAAACCTTTGGAGCCAACACACACACACACACACACACACACACACACACACACGCACACACGACAATTTGGTCACACCTAAGAGGCAGATAAAGCTGGAGCGAGCCTGCAAAAGGAGCTGCAGATAAAAAGTCCAGTATCGGGGCAGGTAACACCCAATTACAACTGAGCAGTATTGACTTACACTTTTCCTTATCGGGGGAATCAGGTATTTGTGTAGATTTGTGTAAATCAGAGAAGGATTTGATGGATACCAGTGCATTGGAGTCTCTAGCCAACGGACAGGTTTGGTTAAACAAAATATATATTCTCCTTATCTGCAGTGGCGACTATCACTGCAACTCCCCGTCTCCCCTCTACTCCTCCGAGCTCTATAAAAACGAGGGCCTTATCTAGCATTTGTAATAGGCTCATGTCTAGCAGGGTCTGTGCTAAAATCACTCTGACAATGCCACAGCTCAGGCCCAGCGCAAGCCATTTTGGCAGACAGATGATTTTCCCTTATCTCCAATTGTCTTGGCAATAAATGTCTTTTTCTTAAGATGCTTGTTTAGACTACCCAGGAGAAAAGAACAGGTACCGTCTCTCTCGATGGAAGAAGCCTTTAAGACGCGGAGTCTCACAAACTGATGCACTTGTTCCATGCAGTTTGAGGGCCGTGGTGCAGAGAGAGCACAGACTCCAAGAGGCTGTTGTTCCTGCATCAGGTCGGCTGCAAACGCCTACAGAAAAAAATAATGCCAGTGACAATTGTGTGACACGCGGAGCTTTGGGTAAGGCAGGAAGTCTTCACTTGGATAATAAAGAAATAAGGATGGAGAAGAAAGCAGAAAGGTGATGAAGGTCAAAGGAGGGAAAGTAGTTTACATGAGACATGAGGAAGTTGCTGATATTTGGGGGTCACTTGTTGAAAAATCTGTGAGATGGTTGGTGTCAGGCTGAAAGTCATGAGGGGATGCAGTGTGGTGGAGTGAGAGGCCTGTGCCAGGCTCTGCCCCTAACCCGCTGAGAGACCGTGATCAAGCCCCTCCAACTCCCAGGCTTCAGAGCTGGTCTTCCATGAGTGTGGTCCACCCCGCGTGGTCCCGGAGGTGCATAAAGGCAGCGACATACTCCTTCTCTGCTACTGCTGGAGCAGTGCCTCCCTGGGACCCACCCTGGGCGACCACAAGGTGCTAGTCGGCCTCGAATTTGCCTTTTCTCTCACTCCTAGGTGCTCTCGGTTGAATAACAAGATGGTCAGAGTGAAAATCCTGGGAGTGGCCTTTCAGTCACCCAGTGGAACATCCTGTGTGAACTGGCATGTCACCTCTATCCACCCAGAGGAGTGTCTAATCTTATGCTTCCACCCCAAGCCCCGCAATGAAATGGATGCCTCATTCTCCCTGGGTAACTTCTTCAGAACTGCATGGGCCTGTCCGCCTCTTCCCACCAACTATGTAGTCTAAACTCCCCTTTCTTAGTTTGATTTGCATTTCCCTAACGATTAGTGATGTCGAGCATCTTTTCACGAGTGCTGGCCATCTGTATATCTTCCTTGGAGAAATGTCTGTTCAAGTCCTTTGCCCATTTTAAAAAATTGGTTGTTTTTTTTTTTGTGGTTGAGTTGTTGGACTTCTTTATATATTATGAATATTGACCCCTTATATGTTATATGGTTTGCAAATCTTTTCTCCCATTTCATAAGGTACATGTTTCACTCAGAGAGATGGTGAGGTGGATTCACATGGGTCTTTTGGAGAAGACCAAGTTTGCTGGGGTGGGGACCACAGGTCTGGAAGGCTCCTCAGGGAACCAAGGAGCAGGCTGACCCTGTCACTTCCCCAAAGGTGCCCTGGGGAGAAAGTCCACCGTGCTTTCCACTGGGCAGCAGCAGGGGCAGGCGGCCTATGGTGCCAGCTGGTGCTTCTGGGGAGATGAGGAAGGTGCTTCTGGGAAGTGGGAAAGGACTCTTAGTTTCATTCTCTTTCACTTACAAAGAAGGTGAGAGGTTCTCCTTAGAGGGGAATTCTCAGGAAAGGAGGAAAAGGGTTTTGGTGGAGGGAGAAGGACTTCACCAGTCTGGGATCACAGAGAAGGAAAACAGAGAGGTGCAGGGGATGGTAGCATTCTGGGGATCTAGGGCAGCTCTGCACAGGGACAAGTCACGAAGAGGCTGGGAGTCAGAGGGTGGAGATGGATGAGTGGGGGTTGTAGAGGGCCCTGAAGATGACTTCCCTCAGGTGGCTGCCCTCTGGAAGCAGGCAGGACAGGGCTCGGAGCCCTGTGAGATTGGCAAGACATCTTGGATGCCACTTCTTATGTGGGTGAAAGGTGATATTTCCACTTCTGAACTTGGAAGGTAGGGTCCTGCCCAACCTCTCTCTTGAAAAGGGAGTGCCAACGGCCACTTGGTTATTTATTTCTTTCGAATCCTGTCATTTTATTGGGCTGTAAATGAGGATGGCAGGGAATTAATTAAGAAGGTGGAGTCCAGGCGAATAGCAGAGTCCTTGCCCATGTGGCACTTGCAGTCTAAAGGTGCAGCCAGGACAGTCCGGGGCTGTGGGAGGGACCGTGGCTCTACCCTCAAGGAATGACCAAGAGAGAGATCTTCTCCGACAGCCACCAGGGGACAGGCAGCAGAGTGACGCAGGTGGCCACAGGTCACTGGAGCAGCCAGAGTGAAGCAGGGGAGGGAGGACCCAGATTCCGTCTCCTTTGTTTAGGAGATGTGGGAGTGGCCGTGGTTGAGTGGCTGGAGCAAGTGGGCAGAAGCCTCTGTTTTCTCATCTGGAGAATGGTAGCTGTAGGACATCATTCTCTCCATAATCCCTATAACACAAGTCCTCTGTCTTCCTGTCTTTCGGCATGTGGCTCCACCCCCTGGCTCGATAATCCTCAGGGGGACTTGGTGGGATGCAATCGGATGTGTCCCGGTCTCCAGGGCTTATGCTCCCATCAGTGGATCCAGATTTTCTCTGCGTTTCTCATAAATCCCCTCTTATCCCTCACCTACCCATGCCATGAGGTGCCTCTGCAGCCCATATGGCTGCCACCCTCTTCTGCTCTTTTTTGCCGATGCCATTCCTCTTCCTTTACACCCCGAAGCATCAGGGACATCCCAGCTTTGTGTGAGGCCGGCTTTACTAAGGTCTACGGAGGTAACAGAGAGGGAAGCTCACCTCTCAGGACCACACAGCACGTGGATCTAAATCGAATATTGGACATGATTGTCCTGGGGTTCGTTGGCCACCCCCCAGGCAGATTTTGCTCTGAGAACCTTTCCTCTCAGGCCCCCACTGGCTGCTGTGCTGCCCTCCCTCTCCCCACTCTCCTCCTGTTCTCACCTTTTCTCCTCCCTGGTTGGGGCTGCCTGGAAACCTGGCATTCCTTCCACTTTATCACACATGACAAGGCAGCTCCGAATCAGGCTGCCTGGCCTCTGCAGACCAGGGCTGGGGAGGGAGGGAGCGCCACTCACCTTTCTCTTCCCAGAAGACCCAGGCAGGCATCTTCTGAGAAGGAAAGAAGGTCATGCAGTGAAGACTGGAGAGCGCAGAGCGCAGCTTGGACACATGAGCCATCCTCATGTTTACCTGCCTGTGGGCTGCTCCCAGGGCTGTGTGGGCCTGGAGCTGTAGCCGGATAGCTGTAAGTGGTAACCAAATGTCCCAGGGCATTCTCCTGTCTGTCCTCAGCTCTGCTACTGGACAAGAACTGGACTCATTCTCAAAACCTTGGGTATGGTGCTCCCAGCGCCCAGGCTGAAGTCACGGACTGAGAGCTCCACGGCCAAATGTGCAGATAGACATTGATTTTCCATTTGTTGCACGCTGGTTCTGGTGCCAGAATGCTGCTGGGGTGAAGGACCCAGACTCAGCAGGCAAGCTGTCAGCACATGGCTCCTGGCTCTGCCTCCTATTAGCTGGGTGACTTGGGGGAGTTAGCCCCTCTATGCCTCCTGTGAAGAGTAACAGTAATAATGGCCCACCTTATGGGGTTGTTGTGAACATTAAATGAGATACTCTATGCAAATGAATTCACTATGTAGTGAGTGCTCAACAAAACTTAGCTACTATTATACTGATGGTCCCTGGCTTGGAGAACTCATAGCCAGTGCACAGCTAGATATGTAATGTCATTAAGCAAGAAAAGCCCATTGGTCTTCACTGTGCTCCACTTCTGTCCTCTTCCGGAGAATACTCAGAAAGCAGGTCTGACTCCATTCTCCTCAATCCTGCCTCCCTTCCCTCCCCTGCACCCTCTCCCTACTGGTAGCTGAGGTAGGTGTAGGGTGCTGAGGGGCTGCTGGCCTGACTCCAACAGCACTATGATCAGGAGTCAGGGGAAGTGGGACCAGCTGGAAAGACTGTAGCAAATGACTGGCTGTAGTGGGCAAGGAGGTGGGCATAACTGAGGAGGCTGTTAGGCACTGCCATGGGCATTTATGACTCTTCCTTGGAAGGTTTAAAGAAAAGAAGAGAGACGTCTGTCTTTTGGGGACAGGTTTAGAAATCACAGTTTCTGAGAAGTGGCTGGGAGGATGTCCCAAGTCCTCTGATTTTGTTTAATGCTTGGTAGAAAATGCCCCCCACCACTGGACACCACCTTGGACAAGGCTGTTGGTGGCATGTGGACGAAGGAAGGCTTCCTAGAGGAAGAAGTGAGTTATAAAGGATGAATACGAGTTTGAAAATTGGATGATGCCAAAGGAAGGCATTCTGGGCACAGAGACCAGCACCTTCTCATGCAGGTGATCTGCCCCATCCTTTCTGTTTCTGGTACCCCTGCACTGTGTTTGCTGCAGTCCAAGTTTCTCTAGGGCCTCTTAGTTTATTCCCACTGGCTGAGACCTGGTCTGTTCTAGGCAGTGTCACCAGGGTTGTTTTGGTGGCAGTGCTCACTGGGAAAAGTTACAGCCTTATAATCCACAAATTCAAATACTGAAGATCTTGGGGGAAGGGTGGAGAGTGCATGGATAAAGGGAATGGCAGGAAGGCACAAGATACAAACATCTCTACAGAGGGGCAGGTTGAAACATTTATGGTATTTAATATATTTACCCTTGTGATTGTGGTGATGGTTTCACGGGTTTCTACATGTGTCAAAACTTATCAAATTGTACATTTAAATAGGTGCAGTTTATTGTATATCAGCTTTATTTCCATCAAGCTGTTAAAAAGAATACAGATCCCTCAAAAATTTTAGTTGCTTTAAAGATGTATGTTTCTAAAGCATAAAACTAATACAGGATAATCAGAAATTTAAAAATTTGTGAAAGCAGGAAAAAGAAGATAAATCACTCATTTCATTTTTGTGTATGTTTGGGGGATTGTTTTTTACCATAAAAAAGATATCCAGTGCTCACCAATGAACAAGGCTCTAGTCCCAGCTCCAGTGGGCCAAGATGCTTCATTGAACTGAGCAGAGTCCTCTGAGGGACTGTGTCCTGCAAATGTCCAGCTGCTCCCACTCAGTGACTGCAGTGCAGCAGGTCTGAGAAGGAGACTCAGAATCTGATTTAAATCCAGTGACTCATGTTATTCTGTTCCAGCCAATCCACAGCCCACGCTTTGAGAAATGCTGAAGTAGGGAATGAATCACAAATCCCTTGATCTATTTTCCTTTGGCCATAACCATGCTAAAAAAACCCCTGTTTACAGATGTGGGGTTGCCACTCTGTCTTGAGATAGAACTATCTAACTCTAGTCTTAGGAAGTCTTCTAGTAACAGCAGCAGAACTGGTAGAATTATTAATAGTAGTAATGGAGGTAGTGATATTAATGGTTGTAATAGTAGCAGTAATTTTTAAAAATTTTTAATTTTGTGGGTACATAGTAGGTGTATATATTTATGGGGTACATGAGATATTTTGATACAGGAACGTAAGGCATAATAATCACACCAGGGTAAATGGGGTATCCATCACCTCGAGCATTTAACCTTTCATTGTGTTACAAACAATCCAATTATACTCTTTTAGTTATTTTTATATGTACAATAAGTTATTGTTGACTGTAGTTACCCTGTTGTTGACTGTAGTCACCCTAGATCTTATTCATTCTAATTATACTGTTGTCCCTGCACTGCCCCCCACCACACCCAGCCTCTACTCTCTATCTCATCTCATCATTCTACCTCCATCTCTATGAGTTCAATTGCTTTCATTTTTAGCTCCCACAATTAAATAAGAACATGTGAAGTTTGTCTTTATGTGCCTGGCTTATTTCACTTAACCTAATGACCTCCAGTTTCATCCAGTTGTTGCAAATGACAGTATCTCATTCCTTTTTAGGGCTGAATAGTACTCCACTGTTTCTATGTACCCATTTGGTCTATGCATTTGTCTGTTGATGAACAGTTAGGTTGTTTCCTAATCTTGGCTATTGTGAATAGTGCTGCAATAAACATGAAAGTGCAGATATTTCTTCAATATATTGATTTCCATTCTCTTGAGTATATATCTAGCAGTAGGATTGCTGCATCATATGGTAGTCCTATTTTTAGTTTTTTGAGGAACCTCAAAACTGTTCTCCACAGAGACTGTACTAATTTACATTCTCATCAACAGTGTACAAGGGTTCCCTTTTCTTCACATTTTTGCCAGCACTTGTTATTGCCTGTCTTTTGAATAAAAGCCATTTTAACTGGAGTAAGATGATATCCCATTGCAGTTTTGATTTGCATTTCTCTGATGATCAATGATGTTGAGCACCTTTTTATATACTTGTTTGCCATTTGTATGTCTTCTTTTGAGAAATGTCTATTCAGATCTTTTGCCCATTTTTAATTGTATTATTAGATTTTTTCCTGTAGAGTTGTTTGAGCTCCCTATATATTCTGGTTATTAATCCTTTGTCAGATAAATAGTTTGCAAATATTTTCTCCCACTCTGCAGGTTGTCTCTTCACTTTGTTGATTGCTTATTTTGCTGTGCAGAAGCTTTTTAACTTGATGTGATCCCATTTGTCTGTTTTTGCTTTGGCTGCCTGTGCTTGTGGGGTATTAGTCGAGAAATCTTTGCCCAGTCCAATGTCCTGGAGAGTTTCTCTAATGTTTTCTTGTAGTAGTTTCATAGTTTGAGGTCTTAGATTTAAGTTTTTTATTAATTTTGATTTGATTTTTGTAAATGCAAAGATAGGGGTCTAATTTCATTATTGTGCATATGAATATTGTTTTCCCAGCACTGTTTATCGAAGACTCTCCTTTCCCCAATGTATGTTATTGGCACCTTTGTTGAAAATGAGTTCACTGTAGATGTATGAATTTGTTTCTGGGTGCTATATTCTGTTTCATTGGTCTATGTGTCTGTTTTTATGCCAGTACCATGCTGTTTTTGTTACTATATCTCTGTAGTATAATTTGAAGTCAGGTAATGTGATTCCTCCAGTTTTGTTCTTTTTGCTCAGGATGGCTTTGGCTATTCTGGGTCTTTTGTGGTTCCACACAAATTTTAGGATTTTTTTTTTCTATTTCTGTGAAGAATTTCATTGGTGTTTTGATAGGGATTGCATTTAATCTGTAGATTGTTTCTGGTAATATGTACATTTTACCAATATTGATTCTTCCAATCCATGAACGTGGAATATCTTTCCATATTTTTTGTCCTCTTCAATTTCTTTTGTTAATGTTTTGTAATTTTCATTGCAGAGATCTTACACTTCTTTGGTTAAGTTTTGTTGCTGTTGTTTCAACTACTCTGTCTCTATGATATCTTTGGTTAATTCCTAGGTATTTAATTTTATTTGTAGCTCTTGCAAGTGGAATTACTTTCTTGTTGTCTTTTTCAGATTATTTGCTGTTGCCATATAGAAATGCTACTGATTTGTGTATGTTGACTTTGTATCCTGCAACTTTACTGTATTTGTTGATCAGTTCTAATAGTTTTTTTGCTGGAGTCTTTAGGTTTTTCTAAATATAAGATCATATCATCTGTAATCAAAGATAATTTGACTTCTTCCTTTCTAATTTGGATGCCTTTTATTTCTTTCTCTTGTCTGATTGCTCTACTAGGACTTCCATAGCAGTAATGTTAGTGGTAGTTGATATGGTTTGGCTCTGTGTTCCCACCCAAATCTCAGGTTGAATTGTAATCCCCATTGTTGGGTGTGGAACCTGGTGGAAGGTGATTGGATTGTTGGGGCAGATTTCCCCCTTGCTGTTCTCATGATAGTGAGTGAGTTCTCATGAGATCTGGTTGTTTAACAATGTGTAGCACTTCCCTTTTCACTCTCTCTCTCCTGCTCCACCATGGTAAGATATGCTTGCTTCCCCTTTGCCTTCTGCCACAATAGTAAGTTTCCTGAGGCCTCCCAACCATGCTTCCTATTCAGCTTGTAGAACTGTAAGCTGAATCAAACTTCTTTTCTTTATAAATTACCCAGTCTCAGGTAGTTCCTTATAGCAGTGTGAGAACAAACTAATACAGTAATAATAGCTCACATTTATTGGACATTTACTAATAAATACATCCATGGCACTGTGTCAAGAGCTCTACATGTGTCATCTTAGTGCTAGTTGTTAGGAGCAAGTTCCTGCAGGTAAATGTTTAGGTATGAATTTGGTCCTGCCACTGCTAGTTCAATAGCCTTGGGCAAGTTACGTAAAAGCCCTAAGTTACACATTTCTCCAAAGAAGATATACGAATGTCCAGCAAGCACATGAAAAGATGCTCAAAATCACAAATCATTAGGGAAATATAAATCACAACCACAATGAGATATTACCTTATGTCCATCTTTGGCTACTATCAACAGAAAATATGTGTTGGTGGGGATGTGGAGAAATCAGAGCCCTTGTGCATTTGGTGGCAGTGTAGAATGGTGCAGCCACTGTGAGAAACAGCATGGAGTTTCCTCCAAAAATTAAACATAGCATTACCATATAATTCAGCAATCCCACTTCTGGTATATACCAATAAGAATTGAAAGCAGGGTCTTGAAGAGATATGTGGATACCAGGTTCACAGCTGCATTATTCACAATGGCCAAAAGGTGCAAATGACCCAAGTGTCCATTATGTGTGAATAGATAAAGAAAATGTACATAAATGGAGTATTATTTAGCCTTAAAAGGAAGGAAAATTTGACACATGCTACCACATGGATGCAACTTGAGCACGTTATGCTGAGTGAAGTAAGCAAGACACAAAAGATGAATACTGCTTGAGGCACCTGGAGTAGTCAAATTCATAGAGACAAAGTAGAATGGGGACTGCCAGGGGCTGGGGGGAGGAGACATGGGAGTTAGTGTTTAATGGGTGCAAGAGTTTCAGTTTGGGAACATTGGTTGTATAACAATCGGAAGCCATGTGATGCCACTGAGCTGCACACTTAAAATAGTTAATGTTCTGTGTATTTTACAATAATTTTTAAAAAGTTCCAACTTCCTTATCTCTAAAATTGGGTGAAAAAGCCTTCCCTGCCTCTGAGAGTGATGAGGCTTGAATTTGTGATATGTCCAACACCCTCAGTAAATGATCCAGCCCAAAGTCAGTGATCAGTGACACCAATGAAGAGTGTGATGGTCTTTCCTGTCCTTCTGCTGGCTCGTGCTCAGGGATGGTCAGCCCTTGGGCACAGTCCTTCACCTCTCTGGGCCTCAGTTTCCCCACACAGAACAGATATGGTGCGACCATGGCCAAGGCCCCTCTCCTTTCCTGCAGTGGTGCTCCCCACTGGTTACATGCTGGGAAGGGCATCACCCTTCCCAGGATCTGGAACCAAGATTACTGGGGGCGGGGCCTGTGGATTTTATTCTGCTTCTCCGGATGATGAGGGGTAAAAGACAGGGGTGACCTGTGCTCCCCCTACTGGAGAAGCCTAACTCTGGCATTTGATGGTCCTGGCGGGTGTGCACATATGTGCATATACGACCAAGTGTGTGTATGTCCACACATGGGTGTATCCATCCACGTGGCGGGGTGTGGAGGCGGGAAGTCCTAGCGGTGTGTGCACAGAGGGAGGGGCTGCTGTGCTGAAGGCCATAGCCCTCATTTTGGTCCTCAGATGACAAATATTGAAGAGTCTTTCCATATTTGTCGATATCAGTGTTTTGTTAATCTTTTCTGCACATTGGAAAACTTTATAAGAATGTGGGTGCCTGAGGCCCACCCCAGAGGCGCTGATTTAATTGATCTGGAGGTGGCCTGGGCCCAGGCTTTCAAAGCTCCCTTGGGATTTTAATGTGCAGCCAGTTGGGAGCTACTGCTCCTTGGGGCAGACAGAGAAGGCTCCAGCCCAGACTTGCTGGGGCTGTTCCCAGTCTGAGGGCTGAGGAAGCTGCTGTGTGTGTGAGGGAGGCTACCTGTAAGCTGTTTATTACCTGCTTGAATTACTGGGTAAATATTGGCCAGAGGCTCCGGTGTCCCAGGAGCTACCTGTGGTCACCACGGGTACATCCCTGGCGTAGCGGGATCGATGTGTCTGGCTGGGGCTCTGGACGGGCCACACAGAGGGAAAGGGTATCCCTGGGGGACGCAGTGGCAGGACCTTCCAGTGGAGAGCTGGGCTCTTCAGACAGGCATGTCCATGTGCAGCGGAAGCCCCGGAGGTGAGGTTGGGCTGAATTTTGCTCATTTGAGCTTTGAGAGTTTTGGCAGGATTTCTAATCTGTCTGAATCTCAGTCTCAACCTGTACAAAGATAGCAGTAGCTGCCTGCAGTGTTACCATGTGGATGAAATGACACCACGGTGCACAAAGCACTGTCACACAGCAGTCACTCAATAAACAGGTGTTTCTTTTTTCTGGATGAGAGATCCAGCGGGCTGCCTGGTCTGTGGGAAGGTGTCTCGGTCTTCCTGCCGTGAGTCGCGGCAATCCCACGGCTCCGGGGAAATGTGGGGAAGAGACTGAACTCCTTTCCTTCTGGGTAGGGGCTGAATTGTGCCCGCCCAAAATTCAAAGTTCTAACTCCCTGTGTACTTGGAGGGTCTTTAAAGAGGTAATTAAAGTTAAACGAGGTCATTAGGTTGGGCCCTAATCCAATATGACCGGCATCCTTATAAGAAGAGGAGATTAGGGACATAGTCACACACAGAGGGAAGACCCAGTGAAAACACAGGGAGGAGGCGACGGTATCTACAAGTCACAGAGAGAGGCCTCAGAAGAAACTGATCCTGCCAACCTTAACTTTGGACTTCCAGCCACCAGGCTGTGAGGAATACTTTTTGTCGTTAAAGCTCTTGCGTCTGTGGCACTTTAGGCACCCCTAACTGACAGATACACTTCCCCACCTCAACCCCGCTCCAGCTCTGGAGCACATCAGCCACATCAGCACTCACCCTCTTCCTGCAACGTCTAAATCCTTCATCTCTCCCTTCTCCTTTCCCCCAAGTAACACCAGTCACCAAATCCTAAAGTCTCCCAGCTTTTCCTCCACTGTAACCCTCGGCCTCCCAGGCCTCCTTCTGTGTCATTGCCAGAGCCTGCTCCGCACCATCCTCCACCACAGGCATGTTTGTCAGCTTTGCACACGAGCACACGATGGGGCGGTGTTCAGATCCTGATGCATTAGACTCCAGGAGAGCCCAGATCGCTGGGCTGGACGGCCAGCCCTCCATGATCAGCCATGTCTCTCCTACACCACAGGCTGCATGGACATCTGAACAGGACCCGCATAGTTTCCAGAACATGCCATGTTACTCTCACACCTCTGGGCCTCTGGGCTCCACTGCCTGAGACCTTCCTCCCTTTCCTGCCCATCAAACTCCTATTCATCCTTCAAAGTCCTCTTTCAGTGTTTCTCTGCCGGAAGCTCTTCCCTCTTTCCTTCCAGTGCTGTGCACTGGCCTGTGCCACAAGCACGCAGTGTGGCAACACGTCATCTGTGTGTCTTCCTCCCTGCCAGAGTGTGAGCTGATGACACCAGGGGCCATGCTTTATTTATCCTCACATCCCAAGCATCTAGCCCCGCAACTGGGGGCATAGTTGGTGCTCAATAGAGGCTTCTCAGATGAAGGAAATAAATGAATAGTTTAGGCTAGATTTTTTGGCCAGAGGATTCTTTGCTGGGGAGACACAAAGAAGAGATTCTTTCCTGCTGTGCAGGGTAGGCTGTTTAGCAGCATCTCTGGCCTCTGTCCATTAGACGTAGGTTGCACTCCTGCCCCCACCTCCAAGTTGTAACAACCCAAAACATCTCCAGAGACTGTCAAATGTTCCCTGGGGACAAAATCCCCTGGTTGAGAACCACTGATGTAGGCCTGCAGAGAGTTCAGAATCTTTTGAAATTCACTGTCGGTAGATCCAAGTTTAGTAGGACACACATATTGATTTTATTAGAGCACGAATAAGAGATAAACAGCAATTCCGGAGGCCTCGTCCTGAAGAGGGTTCTATTACAAATGGTGGGAGGGAGGGGTCTTCTTCTAGTAATAAGGCTAGGAGGCTTTTTTTCCCCCTGATATTTCGACTTGAATTTCCTGTTAAATGGTGTGCAAAGCCAGTGGGAGAAGATACACTTTCCGTACCAGGCAGTGGCTCTGAGAGCAGTAGGGATTACAATTTTCAGAAATCAAGTTGGCACCTCTTCTGCCTCCCTCCAATTAAATCCCCTCTTTAAAAATCTTTAACTGATTTTCTCCAAAATCACTTTGTCCCTGAAGCTTCCCGGATGCATAAGCATCATAAAACACTTTGCACAAGCCTCCTTTCGCTGGGACCATCCACGAAGTGTCGGGAACACCAGGCATCCCTCTGCATCCTTGCTGTCCATCTGTGTCTCTCCGTGCCCAGGGCAGCAGCTTAAGGTAACGTTCCCTCTCTCCCACGTTGGTCCCCAACCACTCAGGTGACCGCTTCCCATGGGGTGAACTGGACACGTTTCTAACCTCCCTGCACTCAGTTTACCCTTTTGTAAAAGCGGATGATAATATCCCCCTCATCATGACTGTAAAGCAGTGGGCACCCAGCAATGCCACCATCCTCACAGGCCACGACACAGAGTTTGTTTAGGGACCAGATGGCCAGATAAGCTGCCCCTTCTGACACGAAGCAAATTCTTAGGTGAGGAAGCTCCTCTTATCTGGGGAACTCTCCCAGGCCCATAAGCCCTCCTTCCTAATCACAACGTTGGCTATTATTGTCTCCTGTTAGACATCAAGTTCCTTTAAAAGGTAGCACATTGGGCCTTAGCAGTAGGGCTGCCAGATAAAATACAAGATGCCCAACGAAATTTCAATTTCAGATAAACAACAAGTAATAAATTAGCTTACGTATGTTTCAAACATTGCACAGGACATACTATACTTAAAATTATTCATCATTTGTCTCAAATACAAATTCAACTGTGGAGTTTGTATTTTATGTGCGAAATCTGGCAACTCTACTTACCAACCATTTACACCTCAGGTAAGTACGCCCATTGGATCCATTTCAGAGAGGGAGTTTAGATAGAAAGAGAATAAATATGAAGTTCATGGAACTACCTCTTGGGTGGTAACAAGTACGGTGGCCCTGGTGGGTCATTTGGTATGGATTGGCTTACCAGCTGAGTTTTATCTGTCATGAAACAGCTTAAAAAAAAAATAAGGAAGCCTAGTTTCCACTGACCCTGTGGCTTCTATATGAAACATGCATGTAAGGCTTCTGTGCTGGACCCCTTCCTCAAGATTTTTGGCAAAGAGGACCAAAAAGTAGCTTCTGTGGATATTACTTATTTAGTATTAATGTGGCAAAGCTAGGTCTCAGCTAGACATTTCAAGTAAACAGGATCACGCCACATACAGTTGTTTGAAACCAGAGATTTCCTGTGACCCTCAGAGCTTTAACGAGAACCAGAGAAGTGATTCTTTATAGAAACCCGTTAATTTTCCCTCCTCCCCCGTTTAACCCCAAATACAACAAATCCCAGAACGTCTGCAGACAGTGGCTTGTTTGATAGATGAAGCCAGGAGGCCATCCCCCGATGCAGTTGTGCTGATGACTGGAGGCTGAGGCGGGTGCCAGTCCATATACAATAATTTCAAGAAGCTACAAACACAACTAATGAAGAAAAACATTAACCCCCAGCACACGATGTCTTTCGGTAAAGTCTCTTGGAGGGCTTTGCAAATCTCTTCTGACCTCAGCAGCTTAAAAGAGTTCCCAGGCAGATATGGAATCACGGTGGCTCCTTCATATTTCTCCTGGAGCAATCTACTGTCTCCAGACCCTGAACATTTGCTCGTGCTTTGCGGAGCAGACTTTGGCGGAATTCCCTATTGGAGGGACAACGATTGTTGTGAGATGACCATAAGAAACTTTCCCTCTGTTAAACAAGAAAATCACATCAGTTATTTTGCTAGGTTGAGCATTTTCTCTTTTCTTTTTCTTTTTCTTTTTTTCTTTTTTTTTTTTGAGATAGAGTCACCTCAGACTCCCAAGTGCCTGGGATTCTAGGTGTCCACCACCACACCTGGCTATTTTTTTTTTTTTTTTTTTTTTTTTTTTTGGTATTTTCAGTAGAGACAGGATTTCATCATGTTGGCCAGGCTGGTCTCAAACACCTGACCTCAGGTGATTCACCCGCCTCTGCCTCCCAAAGTGTTGGGATTACAGGTGTGAGCCATGATGCTTGGCCTAATTTTTGTATTTTTAGTAGAGACGGGGGTTTCACCATGTTGGCCATGCTGGTCTCGAACTGGCCTCAAGTGATTCCCCCCACCTCGGCGTCCCAAAGTGCTGAGATTACTGGCATGAGCCACTGTACCTGGCCATTCTGAGCATTTTCTATTGGGATAATATACGCAAGTGAAGTATAAATGATTGTTGCTGTAGTCAAAAGCTGTAAGAGTATCTGAGTTAAGGCATGTCCCTTGGACTTAGAATACGAGTGTTTTAGTGGAGTGGACTGACCCATGGTCTACAGGGTCCACATAATTCCATATAACCTCACTAATGACCTGCTACCTCTTTAGGGGAATCTGTGGAGGCCACCAAGTGCCCCTGGGTCACCAGAGTTGTGATCTTTCAGCTAGTGCTTGTCCAATTACAAGCGCATTTTTCTTTTTAAGAATGGTAGAGAAAGGACAAGAAGAGACAGGAAAAGAAAATACTAGATGCATAGCAAATCTTCAGGGTGAGTATTGTCTTGTGACACTTTTGTTTCAGGTACTTGATACACACATTTGTGTATTGGACTGCAGGTAAAGATATGTTTGCTACTGTGAGTTGTGCTGAAAACAATTTAAAAGAGCTGTCTTAAGCAAAGACAAATCTGATGTCATTACTTGGGCAGCTTTGAGTCCAAAATCCAGCCAAGGAAGTGAGTGCTGAGAGAGTCATCAGGCGAGTGCAGGAATGCCTTCTTGATTAGAGTCACAGGACAGAGTCAGGGCACCAACATGGTGCCGTCAGGCAGGTCTAACCCCAGCTCTTCACTTAGTACCTTTCAGTCTCTCCAAGCCCCACTTCCTAACCCTCAGCAAGTGGACTGAGTACCAAAAGGGCCAGGCTTTGTTCAGTGCTAACTTCCAGGGCTCTTTACCTCCTTGACTGTTTTAAGACAGCCTTTGGCTTCCTCAGCATAGGGAGGGGCTGAGGCTAGTGCCGAGCCTGTCTTCCTTGCCCTCCACAGGACCCCTGCTCTGACTGATCTGGGGTCCCTCCTCCTGGGGCTCCCACACAATGAATGTCCCCAACATCCTTGGCATGAGTGGAGATAGGAAAGTTTTCCAAATGTTTCCCTCTCCTCCTCTGAGAGATAAGATTCCCCCTCCATGTTTTTACCCATCAGGATGACGTGGGGCACATCTTGGGCACTTCAGGCTGGGACTTTTGTCAGTAGCAGGGTTGGCAAACCCATACATCTCCCTGCTTCATCCTGCGAAGGGGATCTCCAGCCACAGAGCCAATGATCCTTCCCTTTCCCAAATGCACATCATTTGAATTTGCCAACTCACAGACAGAGTGGACACTCTTCCCTCATTCTTCCCTTCTGGGTTTCCTTCCCGGCTCTTCCCTTAATTTTGTCTTTCCCCCTTTCCCTCTAAATCGTGCTGTTTCTGATGCAGCTTCCTAGTTTGTAAATAGGCACACCTACACATATATTTTTATGTTGGAGAAAGCATTTGCGGAAATTAAGCAAAGCCAATGAAAAACTGTATGGCTTTGACAATTGCATATTGCAAATATGCATTATGTGACTCTTGTTGAAATAGAGGTTCAATCAATCTAATGATCTTCCACTGTGCTTTCTGACTTGATCCCTAATTCTGAGGCTTATTCATCTGAAATATTCCTCACTTTTTGGGGGGCAGAGGTAGAGGATCATGTTTTTCCTTATAAATTGCCTTTAGTAATTGTTCAACAAAACATTTAAAGACATTGGCACTAAGTAGCACAAAAGTGATATCACTGCAACTGATAGGAAGGTATCTAACTAGAAATCAACAGTTTGACGGTTATTTTTCCCCCAGGATGTATACTTTACCACCTCCTCTTATAATCATAGTAAAGGTCGTATACCTGGAATTTAACTATTTAAAAAGCACTATGAAAATATCTTCCTCCCAAAGCCTTGCTGCACCTCGAGGGTGATCTTTGAGGAGGGAAGCATCTTGGGAAGAGCACACACGAAGCAGACCAGCCTTTTCCCACACTGCCTGGTCAGTCTTGATCCTCCCAGAAACAGATGCTAACATGGTATTAAACGTGCAAAGATTTTCTTAGGGGAAATGCATGTGTGAGAGAAAATGAGGAAGGAGCAAGAGAATCTGGAACTGTCAGTCTGCAAAGCAAGTTTAAATTCGATGAAGGAAAGAGGGAGAGACAGTTGGGTGGAAATTTCTTGACCAAGATGCCATCAAAGGCAAGTCTGGCAAAGCAGTCACGGTGTCACTGCACTCACGCTGGCCACCGGAGGAGCCCGCCCGCTCTCCCTGCTGCACTCAGTTGTGGCTGGGAGCAGCCTGTGCATGGTGGGAAGGGAGACCTCCCTGGAAAAGCTGCCCTGGATTTCAGAGCAGCGGTGCGGCCTGGTCCATTAGCGCTGCCCTAGTGGGCAGGTGGGGTGGGAGGGTGTGTGTAAGGTGCATTCTTAAGGCCACGCTGCCTAACCTGGCCATTTTCCTACCTACCTGATAGGGATCATCTGGCCTCTTTACATCCATGCTTGCTTAAAGATACTTTTGCAGTATGCAAGACTTCTCTGTTTTGTGATTAGTTACTATTCATAGGTAATCCACAGATGGATCATGCTGCTTACAGCACACAAATGTGCCTCCTCCAGAGTTTGGTTAGCAGGTTCTACAGCTGGAGAAAGCAAACAACTCAGGGAGTGCACTGAGTTCTGATGGAGTGACTGCTGGTGCCCAGCTTAGGCTCCATATCAGCCTCGGCTGTGTGTTCTCAAGGGAGCAGAAGCGGTAAGCTCCCTTGCAAAAAGTAATGCCCGTTGTGGGTTCCGTAGTGCATGAGAGGTTAACCCTGCACTTGGAGCCTCTCTGCCCCTTGGCAGTTGAGGTGCACCTCGCTCTGATCCTGTGGCACAGCCTGGGGAAGCCCCGAGGCCTCCTGGGACTGCTGTGAAGGGCCAGCCTCTCTTCCTTATGGCCCTTGCCTTGGCTCCTACATCCAGATCTGTTACCTCTGGTCAGCCTCCTGCCAGCTGGCACGATGTTGGACCCTTCACCTCTTCAAGCAGAAATCTTGCCACTCTTGTATGTCATCTGGTTAGTGAATTCACTGCAGCTTTAAGGATCACTTCAGGTACGTCCTTCTGCCACCTTGCCTCGTCTCCCTCCTCACTCCATGTCCTTTCCAAAAGCCCATGTTCCCCGGAGCCCTGGGTTCCCCCCGACTCCACGCCCCCGACACTCTAGCTCTCTGGGAGTAACTGCATCTGCTCTGAGAACTTCTTTCCCAGACCCCTCCCCACCAAACCCACCTTTCCCAGGCTCCAAGAATTCTGGGGAGTAAGAATGTCCTCTCCTTATGATCATTTTTTAAAGATTTCTTTTCTGAAATAATTTCAAACTTAACAAAAAAGTTGCAAAAACAGTACAAAGAATCACCACATACCCAGATTTCCCAAAGGTTAACAGCTCACAGAACCACAGCAAAACGAGTGAAATCAAGAAACTGACCTTGAGGCACTCTATTGTCTAATCTGCAGGTCCCTTTCAAATTGCACCAGTTTCCCTTCAAATGTCCTTTTTCTGGTCTAGGATCCAATTCGAGACAGGCTCACACATTGCATTTCATTGTCACATCGTTTTAGTCTCTTTTAATCCAAATTCTGGCGGCTGGGAGGGCGAGGGTTGGCAACATTTTTCTGTAAAAGACCAGATACGAAATGTTTTAGGCTCTGCAGGTCATGTAGACACCCTTACAGTTATTTTTATTGTTTCTAAATGAATGTCTGGCAAATCTAGGCCAATAGATTCTGTAGATTAAAAAAACACAGTCTCTGATTTTTCTATCATTTCCTCATTATTCCTCTAATATTCCTCTAATATTTCCTCATTAAAAGCGTCTGACAGCCATCCGCATTTATCCAGTGTGTTTTAAGCAGTGCTCGGATGGAGTGAGACAGTGCCCATGAGCACAGGCTCGAGGGGCTCCATCCTCGTTTGGACCAGGAGGAGTGGGCGTGTCCTGAGGTTGAGCCCTGAGCTGGGCAGATGGGCTTGCAGAGCAGCTGTGTCTGGGTTGCCGGCTCTTCCACATCATTTAGAATGGAGGCTGCTCACGTCTCAGGGGGCTGGGACCCACCCAGCCTTCCCCTCAGTGCCCTCCTTCCCTCCCCCAATCGGAATGCCTGGGGAACGGGCTTCACTTCAGATTCCTTCCCAACCCAGACTCTTCTTCCCCAGTGTGAGATGCTTGGAATCCCAGACAGGCAGAGTCAGCTGAGGACGGTGGGAGAAGAGGGCGGGGGCGGGGGGGGGGGGCGGTGCGGAGAGGAATAAGCCTCTTCAGCAATCAAAGCTGGCATTGTTCTCAAAGAGTTAGCCTGCATACCAGGCTTGCAATTAGCAGGGAATAATGGGGTGTGATGGCTGCAGAACAGCGGCTGGAACTGACTTTCAGCCTCACGGTGACAAACTGCCCTGCTGACTTCCCTGCCGTGTTTCCTGGTAACTTGCTGTGGGCAAGCTCAGTAGAGCAGAAATCCTCAGGGTAGGGGGAGGGAGCAATCTGTCTTCGAATAATTTAAACAATGCAGCTCAGCCAAGCTAAATGGAGCTTATCAAATGTTACACCTCTTAAAGCTGCAATCAGAGGCGGCAGGATATTAACTGTAAAGCCTGGGTTCTGCTCGGAAAGAAGGAAAGACCAGACTTGCTACTTAACAGAAAAGAAGGAGGAGTTTGAGAGGTGACTGGAGAGAGAATGGGATCAGCTTTGAAGCCCAGATCAAGAAGCAGATATTTGAGGACGGGGCAGGGAGACAGCCTTCACGGAGCACCTACTGTGTACGGGCCTGGCAGCTCGTTTACATAGATCGCTTTCTCTAACCTTTGCCCCAGCTCTGTAGAGACATGCTGTTATTCATACGCATTTTTAAATTTCTCTAACCTCTGCCCCAGCTCGGTACACACATGCCGTCATCATATGCATTTTTAAACAGTAGAGCGAATCACTTGAGACTTGTTCGCTTGCAAAAATGTTAGAAAACCCTGACTCCAACTGACCTGAGCAAAGGGATTTTGTTTTCCTCTCTGTCTCTTGTAGTTAAGAATCTAGTGAACAAGCTTGATTCAGGGCTGCAAGGATGTCACCTGCAGCTGATCTCTCTCCACCTCCTGGGTCTGCCTTTTGCTGTGTTGGCTTTAGATTCAGGCTCCTTGAAGAGGTAAAATGGCAAGAGCCACTCGGATCCCTGGCGTCCTCTAAGGTCCAGGCCCAGGGAAGAAGAAGAGCTCTCTGCTCTAAAAGTTTAAGCAGGACTGACCTCCAGCTCCAGCCAACATGGAGTGAAAGGCCATGTTCACTCTCACCTTAAACACTCAAAACCAGTATATGAAGCAATGGTTTTTGGACAAGAAATAGCATTCAGCTGGGGACAGGGACCCTCAAGGGAAGCAAAGGAATGAGTTGAGACTCCCATTGCCCCTGCTCTCTGCCTGGGGAGTTTCTTTTCTTTTCTTTTCTTTTCTTTTTCTTGAGATGTAGTCTCACTGTGTCGCCCAGGCTGGAGTGCAGTAGGGCGATCTCGGCTCACTGCAAGCTCCGCCTCCCGGGTTCACGCCATTCTCCTGCCTCAGCCTCCGGAATAGCTGTGACTACAGGTGCCTGCCACCACGCCCGGCTAATTTTTTTTTTTACTTTTAGTGGAGATGGAGATGGGGTTTCACCGCTTTAGCCAGGATGGTCTTGATCTCCTGACCTCGTGATCCGCCCGCCTCGGCCTCCCAAAGTGCTCGGATTACAGGCATGAGCCACTCCGCCCGGCCTGCCTGGGGAGTTTCTACGCTGCAGGACTGGGACGGGAGAGTCAGGTGGAGCCTGGTGGTCTCCACGAGCAGAGGCGGACCCGGGAATCTGGGGAGGACAGGCAGCTGCAGGTCCCTGGAGAGAGCTGCACAGAGAGAGAGCTCTGGAGACCTGCAGAAGGTCCCCGCTGAACATTCAGCAGACGATGGACTGGACCAGACCGTGGCATTCACACAAGGAAACTACTGGAGCCTGGGGAAACAGCCCCTTGAAGGAACGGGCATACCAATTCCCAGAGCTCACGCTATCAGGAACCTGGTCCTGCTAGCCAGAGTGGAGACAGCTTGTAAGACACAGGGCATCAGGAGGAGCATTTAGAAAGCTGCCGCCTCAGTAGTGACAATTAGTCCAATTAGCCCTTGACTTAAGGCTGTTCTGGTGCTAGCAGATCTCATGCAAGTCTTGAAAGGAATAAACTGTTTCCAAGTGACTGAACGAGATCCCAGAATAAAAACTCGAGAACATCTGAAGAACATGTAAAAATACCCATCACTCAAGAAGGTAGAATTCACAGTGTCTGTCAGCCGAGTAGAAATTACCAAGAACACAAAGAATACAACCCTTCATGAACAGAACTAGAAATCAATAGAAATAGAGCTAGAAGTGATACCAATGATAGTAAACAAAGACACTAAAACTGTTATTATAAGTATTTTTTTATATGTTCAAAAAGGTCGAGAAAAACATGAACACTTAAAATAGAGATATGAAACATAGAAAAAGACCCAAATATAACTTCTAGAGATGGAAAAACAAACCTAGTTGTTATCTCAATGTCTGAGGTAACAACTAGACAGAATGGGACAGTTTTGACATTGTAGAAGAAAACATTACTTGGCTGGGAGCAGTGGCTCACGCCTGTAATCCCAGCACTTTGGGAGGCCAAGGTGGGCGGATCATCTGAGGTCAGGAGTTCAAGACCAGCCTGGCCAGTATGGTGAAACCCCATCTCCATTAAAAATACAAAATTAGCCGGGCGTGGTGGTGCATGCCTGTAATCCCAGCTACTCGGGAGGTTGAGCCAGGAGAATCACTTGAAACCAGGAGGCAGAGGTTGCAGTGAGTCGAGATCGAGCCATTGCACTCCAGCCTGGGCAACAAGAGTGAAACTCCATCTCAAAAAAAAAAGAAAAAAAGAAAACATTACTTAACTTGAAGAAATAGCAGGAGGGTGCAAGAGTAATTTGCAAAAACCGCAATTACTTTCGCACCAACCTGATAGCAATAGAAACTATTCAAAATGAGAGTCCAGACAGGCCAGGCATGATGGCTCATGTCTGTAATCCTAGCACTTTGGAAGGCTGAGGCGGGATCACCTGTGGTCAGGAGTTTGAGACCAGCCTGACCAACATGGAGAAACCCCGTCTCTACTAAAAATACAAAAATTAGCTGGACGTGGTGGCACATGCCTGTAATCCCAGCTACTCGGGAGGCTGAGGCTGGAGAATCACTTGAACACGAGGCAGAGCTTGCAGTGAGCTGAGATCGCATCACTGCACTCCAGCCTGGGCGACAGAGTAAGGCTCCATCTCAAAAAAAAGAAACAAGAAAATGAGAGTCTAGGTGAGGGTGGCTGTTGCCTGTCATTCCAGCACTTTGGGCAGCCAAGGCAGGTGGGTTGCTCGAGCCCAGGAGTTTGAGACCAGCCTGGGCAACATGGTGAAACCTTGTCTCTACAAAAAGTTAAAAAATTAACCGGGTGTGGTGGCATGTGCCTGTAGTCCCAGCTACCTGGGAGGCTTGAGGTAGCAGGATCACTTGAGCCTGGGAGGTTGAGGCTGGAGTCAACCATGATTGTCCAGCCTGGGCGATAGAGTGAGACCCTGTGAAAGAAAGAGAGAAAGAGAGAGAGAGAGAAAGAGAGAAAGGAAGGAGGGAAGGAAGGAAGGAAGGAAGGAAGGAAGGAAGGAAGGAAGGAAGGAAGGAAGGAAGGAAGGAAGGCAAAATGAAACAGAGAAAAAGACTGGAAAATAAAAGCCCAAATGGAACATTAGTGAGCTATGACACTGCATGTTGGAGTCCCTGAAGAAGAACAGATGGGCAGAGTCTCTAATTTGCACACTGCCACCCTCAGGGACTTGTGTATGGGGGTGCTCTGTTGTTAAATAAATGAATGGTGCTGTTGCCTTGTGACCTTGCACTCTTCCGCTCTATGGAGTTGGTCTAATAATGAGAGTCATAGTAACGATGGTGATGATGACAGCCCTTCATTCACTGATCACAGGACATGTGAGAATACACAGAATCCTTTCTTTTCCCCTTGCAGCAGTCCTGTGAAATCAGGGTCACTATCCTCACATTACAGATGAGGAAATAAGCATATGAGGCTTCTTTGTCCCATGAAGGTTTAGCCAGCACAAGTATCTTGGGGAATCCAATTTGATTGTATAAATTCACATAGTTTTGTGAGAAGTTGAGCCCCTGGATGTGATTTGAGCTAGAGGAGAGGGGATCGGAGAACAGCCTTGGTTTAATCTTTCATGTAACTTGTGTGCATGGCAAGTCTTTTTCCGTCTCCAGTCCTCATGTTTTCTTCCTATGATAGGAGAATATTTGAATAAATTGGTCTCTAGGAGCCCTTCCACTGTGAGTATTGGTTTCCATCACTTGTGTGTTGGGAATAAATTTGTCCAGGCTACTTAATGCAGTCACTTTCAGTTATGTGGCATTTGTACATGAAACATTTGTAGCATTGTCTCATAAATGACACTGAAAACAAAACTTTAACGAATGTTAATAATGTTTGATGACTCAAAAACTGGCGCATAATTCCCTGTTTCCCTAAATAAAGGCTATTATAATGGATTCTTTTTTTTTTTTTTTTTGAGACGGAGTCTCGCTCTGATGCCCAACCTGGAGTGGAGTAGCACAATCTCAGCTCACTGCAAACTCTGCCTCCTGGGTTCAAGTGATTCTCCTACCTCAGCCTCCCGAGTAGCTGGGATCACAGGTGCGTGCTGCCATACCTGGCTACTTTTTGTATTTTTAGTATAGACGGGGGTCTCATCATGTTGGCCATGTTGGCCATGTTGGTCTTGAGCTCCTGATCTCAAATAATCCACCCTCCTCAGCCTCCCAAAGTGCTTGGATTACAGGCGTGAGCCACGTCTATAGGTGCCCAGCCTATTTTAATCTATTCTTGATGACAAAGAGTAACACAGTGATGCCTCCATGACCAATGAGATGTAGAACACTATCTACCCTGAAACTATATGTCCACATTGGTCTGCTTTAAGTAAGTTAAGTTTACTATCCCATCTTTAGGTTGTCAGCTCTCAGTTTTCACTAATATGAGCATTCCTTCCTCTTCAGGGTCTCCCTCCAGTGTGCCGTGGGCCAGACCCTGTGGCAAACACACACCCTCACATACACACACACTCACATACACACACCCTCACATACACACACCCTCACATACACACACCCTCACATACACACACCCTCACATACACACACCCTCACATACACACACCCTCACATACACACACCCTCACATACACACACACTCACATACACACACCCTCACATACACACACCCTCACATACACACACCCTCACATACACACCCTCACATACACACACCCTCACATACACACACCCTCACATACACACACACTCACATACACACACCCTCACATACACACACCCTCACATACACACACACTCACATACACACACCCTCACATACACACACTCACATACACACACCCTCACATACACACACACTCACATACACACACCCTCACATACACACACACTCACATACACACACACTCACTGCTTTACTGCAGTGTGACCACCCTGAAGCTGCAGAGTCGGTTTTTATAACTCTGATACTAACTGGACGGATGTCACACAAGCCATGAGAAAGGAGGACCACAGCATGCCTACAGCATGGTTTTGTGTGGAGCCTGTCCTAGACATCTCCCTCTGGGCTCCTCATCTTTGCAGAGTCCTTCCTCTGGGCTCATCTTGCCAGCTTTCCCTTGGTTCTGGCTTCTAAATTTCTAGCATAGCCTGGAGTATGGTTTTGGTCTTTGAGTTGGTCTTCATGGGAGTGAGCTTTGCAAGTATGTGGTCTTGGTCATTGCCAAGTACTGTTTGCATATCATCCCACAGTCACTCCTCAGGCATTTGAACCCCCTCCCCCCTCAGATAACTCTCAGACTCCCCAATAATTGCACATGCATGGCCTCAGACATCCAAGGGGCTCCCCTTGTCATGAACACCATTTTGACTGAATACACTGATTTTGCTCACACCTCTACAGCTCTTTGAATGACAAAGTTATGAACAATTTGACCTGTTACACATAACATAGATAACGTGACATGGAGCTATTAGCAGCATGAACTCAGGCAGTTGTAATTACTTTCATAAGATAATTGCTTAAACTCATAGTATTTCTAACTTGCAGTTTCTCACAATTGCATCTTAACCTGTAAATTGACTATATATTTTAAGCTGAAATATTTTAAAGTGAATTGCAGGTATATCCCCCCTAAATATTTCCAAATGTATCTCTAAAACATAGACCATTTTCTTAAACAGTCTGATATAGTTTGGGTATGTGTCCCCTCCCAAATCTCTTGTTGATTTGTAATCCCCAAGGATGGAGGTGGAGCCTGGTGGGAGGTGTTTAAATCTCTCATGGTTTGGTGCTCTCTTCCTGAGAGTGAATTCTTGTGAAATCTGGTTATTTAAAAGTGTATGCTCTCTCTGTCTCTCTCTCTCTGTCTGTCTCCTTTCCTCCTGCTTTGCCATGTGACGTGCCTGCTTCCCCATCACCTTCCGCCATGATCAGAAGCTTCCTGAGCCCTCCCTAGAAGCTGAGCAGATGCCAGCATCATGCTTCCTGTAAAGCCTGCAAAACTGTGAGCCAATTTGATCTCTTTTCTTTATAAATTACCCAGTCTTAGGTATTTCTTGTTTTTTGTTTGTTTTTGAGACAGAGTCTTGCTCTGTCTCTCAGGCTGGAGTGCCATGGCAAAATATCAGCTCACCACAACCTCCGCCTCCCAGGTTCAAACGATTCTCTTGCATCAGCCTCCTGCATAGCTGGGATTACAGGTGCCCACCACCACACCTGGCTATTTTTTTTGTATTTTTAGTAGATAGAGGGTTTCACTACATTGATCAGGCTAGTCTCGAACTCCTGACCTCAGGTAATCCACCTGCAGCCGCCTCCCAAAGTGCTGGGATTACAGGGGTGAGCCACAGCCCCAGGCCAGGTATTTCTTTATAGCGATACAAGAATGACCTAATATATGTCAAAATAACAGTATAATATCAAGAAACTAATAATAATGTATTAGTATTCTCTAACCTCTATTTTGTGTTCAGTTTCTCCTGACATCCCCACCGGAACCCAATCTGTGATCGTGCGTTGCACCTGGCTGTCACTTCCCTTGTGTCTCTTTTAATTGGTGGAAGTCTATGCGCTGTCTCCCCTGCTGGATTTTTCTGGTCACTTCCCTGACAGTGTCTCCTGGCTTGCCGCTGTGTCCCCTGTTTCTTCCATAGCTGGCAGGTCCTGCAGCCCAAGGCTCCAGATGCCTCCACCCTTCCCCATGGCCCAGGCTATTCTGACCTATGGCTGAACACTTCCTTGAAGGGCAAGAGGACACTGGTGAGGAGCACCCCAGGGAGCAGAGGGAAATTTCTCCGTCCCCAACCTGCTAAGTCCCCTACAGCAGGGATACTTCCTGATTTCAGAAGAAAAAAGGAAAGTGCTGACAATTGAACTTCATCACCTACACCTTGGCTCTTGTACCAGGCTCCCCGCTGTCCTCCCTGCTTCCGGGCCAATCCCTTCCAAAGCATCCTGTAGTTTGTTTAGTTCCGTTGGACAGACTGTATTGAGCTTCCCCAATGTGCCAGGCATGGAGCTAGGGGACAGGGTTGCAATGTTGTATAGGAATGAGTTCTGAGTCCCAGTCCTTCAGCCCACAGGCTAGTGGGGAAGGTGAGGCTGTCATCAGGTAACAGCATCGCAGTGCAGTGTATGGGTCTTTATATGGGGTGCACTGAGGACACCTATGATGGACGCTTAGTCCAGTCTGGGGCCAGAAACCTTTCCAGAGGAGATGCTCCCTGAGATTGTCTTGAGGGGCAGATGAGACTCATGCAGCCATAGTGGAGGGAGGGAAGGGCATTCCAGGCAGGGGGAACAGCCCAGCTGCAGGCATTGGGGCAGGGAGCAACATGGGTCTCAGGGCTCTACAAGCAGCTATGGGTTCCCCTGGAGTGTGACTCGGCATGAGGCTGTGCCATGGAGGAGCAGATATGTTCCACCGAGGAACTGGGACTTTACGTTGTGAGTGATGGGGGCTCACTGAGAGGTGTCAAGAAGGGGCAGGCACAGTCAGGTCTGTATGTCAGGAGCTCAGGTGAGTGGAGTGCCCGAGGGCAGGTGGGGTGAAGGGAGGTGGGCACCCAGGTGAGAGCTAGTGCAGGGCTGGGGAGGGGTGCCAAGGCCTTGGCCCAGGTGGGGGCAGTGGGAGAGGAGGGGCAGAGATGGACAGGGTAGAACTGAGGGCACCTGCGATTGGTAGGGGTGCGGATGAGGGAGGGAGAAAAGGCCATTGCCAGGTTTCTGGCCTGGTTGCCACTGCCCATTAACACAGGGAGGTGAAACTGCCTAAGGAAGAACCGTGGTGCTGGAGGATCAGGAAAGATGACTTGGTTCTGGAAAGTGTTGGAGTTAAGGTGCCTGGAGTGCCTGGATCGTGTTCCACTTATTAGGGGGTGGGCCGACCCAGGCGGCGATGCTAAGCAGGTGCTCTGGCGTGCTTGTCTAAGCTCTGAGGAGAAGCCTGGGTGGTGGGTATGGTGTTGTCAGCAGATGCACAGCAGCTGGCATGGTGAGAATGGATGATACCACCCAGGTCATAGACAGAAAATTGCAGTGGGCCGAGGTGGCCGAATGGTCGGAGAAGGGGGAGGAGAAACGAGGAGCATGTGGATGATGCCACAGGAGGGTTCGAAGAACAGCAGAGAAATGTATAGCGTTCCACACCCCAGGTCCAGAGAGACAAAGCCTGGAAAAAGTGCCGTGCGCTGGGAAACAGGGCGGACACGGTGTCCCTTGCCAGTGCAGTTTCAGTGGAGTAGGAGGAGGAGAGGAACAATACAGTGGCTTAACCTTCCATTAATGGGTACAGGCATTTGGACCCCAGGAGGAAAGAGGAGGGAGGATGAGATAAAAATGACAGTCGAAGTACTGGAGTCAAACAGGTGAGGTCCGCATCACCTCTGTTCAAACCCAGCCACATGTTCATCCTGGACTGAAACCCAAGTTCCTCAATCCAGGCCTCGGTGGTCCCAGGAACTGGTCCAAGCCTGCATTTGGAACTTTCTGGAGAGAGATCGCCCTCTACTTCCCCATAAGCCTCCATCCCGGCAGATTAGCCCGAGCATGGACCACTCCCCTGCCTCTGCACTTCTGCTATTCCTCATCCTGGAACCCCCTTCCCAGACTTCTTTGTCCCGCCAAGTCCCGTGTACCTTTCAAGACTGAGACCCTGCCTCACTTCGTTTGGGAGGTCTTCTCTGTCTACTCCAGCAGAAACCATCTCATACCCTCACACCCTCAGTAATGGTGAGCCCAGCCCACTTTTTTCTTCCCCACACAATTGAGATGTCTCCCCAGTCAGACCAGCCTCTTCAGTGCTGGATACTGAATCTTGCATTTTCTTTTTTTTACAGTCCCTAGACTGCCCAGCCTCTGTCCCAGGGTGGGACTTCATTAGCCACAGAGGGGAATCTCAAAGGTAGGCAGTAAGGCCCTGGGGCTGCTTTCCAGGGCCTCGCACACAAAGTTCGGTCTCCTGAACTCACCACATCTCCGCTGTCTTCCCAACACCGAGTTCAGAGAGCAGGAGAGATAGGCAGGTCCAGGCCTTGCCCCCAGTGGCTGGAGAGCCTGACGCACACAGCCCAGGCTTTGCTGCAGCAGAGGAAAGGGCAGGTGCTTCCCGGAGAGCCTAGTTCTCTTTCGAGGGACAACGCCAGAGCCTGTTTGCGGGGAGCAGCCGACACCACGCTGGATGTTTTGTGCACATAATCTCATTTAACCTTCACAATCTGAATTGTTCTTATTCTCAAATGCCTGCTGTGAGAGTGAATTCTCAGGGCTTGACCAGCTTAGTTGCAAACCGCAGAAGCAGCCTTAGCTGATAGTGAAGAGAGGAAAGGCTTTATGAGAGACGTGAGTGAGCTCCAGGCTCACTGAACAGTGGGGGCACAGGCTCTGGGGTGATCTTGCAGGAACGACTTTCTGAGCCTGATGGAACTGGCCTGGTCAGGAGCCAGGCTGCAAGACCCTGGCCCCGCGTGGCCTCTGCTACAATCCAAGTCCCGTGCCTGTGTGCCCTGCAGCCTCAGAGGCTGGGAAACAGCTTTTTTTGTGTGTTTTGCTTTTTTTTGTTTTGTTTTGTTTTAAATTCTACATTGGGAAAGTGGATTTACAATAAGGAAACCATAAAACACGGAGAGAATGTTCCTAGGGGTTTGGGCATCCTTGCACTACCGTCCTATCTGTGCCGTACCTCAGGCAGACCCAGAACGTTTACAGATTTGCCAGCGAAGGAAACTAAAGCTCAGAGAGGCAAACTCACAGCTGGTTTTGGGGCAGCTGGGATCCAGGACTGTGATGGGAAGTTTCCATTCTTTCCACGTGGCTTGGAGGATTAGGCTCTCAAAGCAGAAAAGTGACGGTGGCTTTGACAGAAACAGGAAAAAGGGGGGTGGGTTCTGTGGGGATGGAGATGGCTCACCTTTAAAGATACCAAAGGCGCTGTTGGGATTCAGGTGGCCACATCCGACAAGCAGTTGGAGGTTGAGATTTGGAGCCATTTAGCCTGTCTTCCTGGCCTTGGAGAGAAGTTCTGAACAAAACGCCTCTATGAATTTAGTCTCAAGATCTCTACGTGTTTCTCAACACACATGCATACACAAGGACACACGCAGACACACACATTAGCACACAGACATACACAGACACACAGTGACACATGCATAAACAGGGACACACACATGGACACATGCACATATGTGCACATACACTGACATGCTCTGACACACACTTGACACACACGTGTGCCCACACGCGCGCACACACACACGCACAAACACACACACACAGGTAACATTGACAGCCTGTGGCTGTAGAAGTGCTTCCAAGGGCCTTTCTTTTTTGTCCTTGTCTGGAGTTTACAGCACTTGGAAAATGTCAGGCGTGGGAGGCCTTTTGGTCTTGGGTTAGGGTAAACTCCCTCCACATATTTGGAGAGCCTCCAGGCCCTGCAAACCGCTCACGAAGCAGATAACAGTGACCTTGCTGCTGAGGGAGGACGGCCCTGCCGAGGCCAGGGAGCTGTGCTGGCAGAGCTGAGGTTACCTCTCCTCCCCGCTGCACCTGGGTCGGCTCTGATGTCAAAGACCTCCCCCGCTCCATCCCCGGTTGGGCTCCCGGCCCTCTTTGTGCCGGAAACACAAGGCCCAGCTCTCAGGGAGGAGGGGAGGGCAGAGCACTGCTCTGTAGTTCCAGGTGGAGAACAGCCCAGCTCTCCCCTAGGGGCTGCAGGCTGAGTGTCCGACTCCAACCCCCTTGCCTTTTTGCAGGCCCAAAGCGGCTTCTCCAGGATGGCGACAGATTTTCCAAGACTCATCCCAGGCTGGAGGGGGCCCAGCTGCAACTTCACTGGTGTGTGTATGTGTGGGTGTCCACAGGTTGAGCTGACCCTGAGAGTCCTGGTGCTAGAGGGCTGTGGAGGTCATGTCATCCCAACAGAACCCTCTCTGCTGGCATTCCCTTCAAGGGCTCATCCTGACCCATTCAGGGAGCTCACTGCTACCAGGGGCAGCCTATGGATGGTGGAGCCTCTCCAGGTTTCTGCCTCTCTGTCACTTCCACTTGGTGGCCTTAATTGCACCTCTTGAGCTACTCAGATTAGGACTAGCCCTTCTTCCACATATGTGAAAACAGCTGCATTCATACATTCAGCTACATATAGCTTTGAAGCCCTCCCCAGTCAGCCAGCTCCCTCTCTTTGGCCCCCATTTGCAAGTTAGGGAAAGTTCAAGTCTGACTGGGTGCAAGGCCTGGTGCTGGGAGCTGGGGATAGACACATGGTTTGCTACAAGTAGTTGGTGGCCTAGTGGAGGAGGCAGACGGCAGGCCCTGGTCAGCGTGCTGAGTCTGGGGGAGGGGATAGCAAGCCTGCAGGAGGACATGCAGGAGTTACTCTGCTGGGGAGCTGGGGGCCTTAAGGTGCTCCAGACAGAGGGGACAGGATGCGCAAAGCCTGAATGGTGCAGCACAGTGCCCTGACCTGCAGGTGGTTCAGAATGTGTGGGTCTCAAGCAAGCCTACCGGGTATGCACCCAAAGGAAAATATATCATTCTACCAAAAAGACACCTGCATTTGTATGTTCATTGCAGCATGATTCACAATTGCAAAGATATGGAATCAACTTAGGTGCTTATTAGCAGTGGACTAGATAAAGAAAATGTGGTATATATACACCATGGAATACTATGCAGCCATAAAAAGAAGGAAATCACGTCCCTTGCAGCAACATGGGAATGCAGCTGGAGGCTATTATCCTAAGCCAATTAATGCAGGAACCGGAAACCAAATACTACATGTTCTCACTTGTAAGTGACATAAACCTTGGGTACACGTGGACATAAAGATGGGAACAACAGACATCAGAGACTTCAAAAGAAACAGGAGGGTGAGAGGGGCAAGGGCTGAAAATCTTTCTATATGCTACTATGTTCGCTGTCTGGGTGATGGGATCCATAGAAGCCCAAACGTCAGCATCATCCAATATACCCTTGTAACAAACCTGCACATGTATCCCCAAACCTAAAGTTATAATTAAGTGAAAAAGAAAATATGGGTTGCAAACAGCTGCAGCGCTTGCAGGGCCTCAGGGCATTGCCTTATCCTGAGGACCATGGCAGGGGTGGGAGGGTGGCAGCGTTCTGAAGTGTTTTCAGCAGGAGATGCAGAATTAGGTGCGAATTTAGTTGGAGAAGGGGTTTCAGGGGCTGTCCAGTGGTGTGGGCAGAGAGTCCCGCACAGGGGGCTGCAGTGGCTCTGGCGAGAGGTGGTGGTACCTAAGTGCCAGTTGTGGCAGTGGCCACGGGGCTTGGGAGCTGTAGGTGGAGTTGGGCAGACCAAGCCCTCTCTCCTCTGGCCATGGAGCTCCAGAGTCCACACAGATGTCTACGGATCTAGCTCGAAGCCCTCCCTGATCAGCCAGCTCCCTCTCTTTGGCCCCCATTTGCAAGGTCAAGAAAGTTCAAATGCGGTGCTCAGGATGGAAGCAGACTTCTAAGTGATGTCTGACACTGTGGGCTATTTCGGCACTTTGTTTTCCTCCTTCTCGCCTCTGTCTTCTCTGCCACCAAGGTTGACACTAGTGGCCTGGTAGCCACGGAGCACAGTGGGCTCCTACAGAACTCACAGTGTCTCCTGAAGACCCCAAAACTCCTCCATGCCGTCTGTTTCAAGCCCACACTCCCTCTGCCCTCATTGTGGAACTCGGCAGTTGGTATCTAGTGCTTAATAACAGGAACGCACATTTATGATTATTCTTTGCATTATCCCAATGAGATTCAATTTTCTTCGATTCAAGTCCTCCCACCTGCACCGCTTTCTCCTTTAAAGCAAGAGCCCTGGCTCAGAAGCCTCGAGGCTTGGCCTCTAGATTGATTTGTGACTTTCAACCGTAGTTCCATCTGCTTATAAAAACATAAGTCATGCCCTTTTTCACGCCGAAAAGTGTGAAAAAAGAATTTTATATTTTGCAAAAGTTTTCCCTAGAAGTTGCTGCCTGGGATATTTTTCATTCCATCTTGAAGGGATAACACTGCTAGTTGTATGGAGCAGTGAGGCAGCTGGGCCCAGCTCTGTCCACCTTCCGGCAGCCCCCAGAGGAACCTCGGGCTGCCTCTTGGGGCCCACTGGGCAAACTCAGGGAAAGACAGAGTCCGCCTGGCCGGCTTTCCTGAAGTACCTCCACCTGGGCCTGCGCAGCTGCCAGCTGGCTTGAGGCATGGTGGACACGCTCTTTTCTGGGACCTCTGAAAGACCATGTGAGTGCGATAGGAGTGTGTGTGTGAAGTGGGGGTCAGGTTATTAGGGGTGGAGGGAAGGGAGCTGTTTGATTAATGAGTGTCCTGTGAACCTGCACATTTGCCCAAGGCTGCATTCCTGGGCTTTCAAACCCGGGCAGTTTGATAAGCTGGGACCAAAGTCCTCTTTCCGCCCAGCAAGAAGAGCAAACAGGGCCACTCACTAATCCCAGCCCTGGCCTCTGGGGCTGTCTCTCGGCAACCAGCTAGCCAAGTGGCCTTTCACAAGCTAATCAATGAGCATCCCTGGGACCTCTGGGAGGCCTGGCCAGCTTGCCTCAGTAGGACAGGAGGGAGGCCAGGCTCACCCAACCTCCAGCATGCAGTCTGAAGGCCTGTGCTTAGCCAACTGGGCCCTTCATGACGGCAGTACCTGCAGTCTCTCCCGCTCCTTCCTGCAATCATTCCCACAGGGCAGCTTATCAGCCGGGCCTCCTCCATTCCTCCAGTGCCCGCCTAGAATGCTCTTCCCTACTTCCATAGCTCCTTCCCTAATCTCCCTCCCCCAGGAAGCTGTCCCTGACCAGCCTCCATGGGACACCCCCTTCCCTGCATCCCTACTGCCCCGGAGCCCTGGGTTACGGTTTAGCACCAGATACTTCTTCAGTCTGTTCCTGTGTGTTGGTTTGGTATCGCCAACTAGACTGTAAGCACCTTGAGGGTAGGGCTTCAATCTTCGGATCGTCCACAGTGGGGGGCACACTGGTGACTTTGGGAGGGTAATATTGGCGAGGGGTGGGCTTGTGGGAACAGGGGACAGATCCAGGGGTAGAGGCAGGCAGCTCTGAGGCCGGAGACCTCAATCCCAGTAAGATGTGGAGGGGAGGCTCTGGGAGATAAAAGGCAGCCGTGGAGTCAGGACTGGGGAAATGTTTATTTCTGGGGAGTCGCAGTAGGTACCTGTGGGGCATGGGGGTGTGGGCCCAGCCTGTCTCCATCCTCTACTCTAGCCTCTGAGAACTGCTTCTCTCCTTGGTGGGGCCCAAGCGATGGAACTGCATCTGTGTCTGCACCACTGGCTCCTTGTTCTTGACTACAGATGATTTGTATTGGGATGGACCCCGTAGGGCCCTCCAGATTCTCTTCCCTGGAAACTTGGGCTTAGGACTGAGAGAGACACATCTCCATCTCTGGGTGTTTGCCTCTGACAAGATGCAACCAGCTATGGGCTGTCTGCAGGGGGGAGCAGTGGGAACCAGACCGCGAGACAGAAGGAGGAGGCAGAGGTGCACAGAGGAGCTGAGACCAGGAACTCATAGCCCAGCTTGTGGACGATTTTGCTTCATATATCATCTAAACCAACCCTCACTGCCCTCCTAAGATATAGGTACTGTTAAGATCCTTTTTTATACATGGGGAGAATCAGGCTTAGAGAAGTTAAGTAATTCACCAAAACACACACAGCCGATAAGAGGGAGACTTGAACCCCGTCCTGCTGACTTACAGAGTCCAAGTGTCACATTTCTCCTCCCTTTGCTCCCAGCAGCTTTGTAGATCCAGGCCCCGGTCTCTCATGAGAACTTTCTGTACATCTCACACTTCAGTTCCACAGGATACCAGAAGAACTGTGACCAGCACTACTGTAACAAGGTTTTACTTTATCTATCTATCTATCTATCTATCTATCTATCTATCTATCTATCCATTCATTTATTCACCCACTCATCCATCTATCCATCTAATAATCTATTCATCCATCCATCCATCCATCCATTTATCCATCCATCCAGATATCCATCCATCCATCCATCCATTTATCCATTTATCCATCCATCCATCCATCCATCCATCATCTATCAATCCACCTATCCAACCATCTATCTATCCTTCCATCCATCCATCATCCATCCTTCCATCCATCCATCCATCCATCCATATCTACCTGTATAGCTAGGTAATGAGCAGCAATCACTTATTGAACCCTGCTGTGGACAAAACACTGCAACAGGTGCTGTGATGTTCTCAATCCTGCCTACCAGCACAGATGATGAGGGAAGGCAGATGACTACTTGTCTAACTATGTGGTACAGACAGACAAGCCAGTGTATCTATTAAAGTTCCCATGTAGAAATTACTACAGTTGCAGATTCCTTGACCCTTCCCAGGGATTCTAATTCAGAACAGGAGAGGAGCTCAGGAATCCGCTTTTCCAACAAATTCTTCAAGGGAACCTGATGTAGGTGATCCATAGAGCACACCTTGTAAAACGGCTGCCTGGAGAGTGTTGTTCAAAGCGATAGAGGGTCAGTGAGACCTGAGACAGTCAGGGAAGGCCACCTAGGGTCGAGGCCAGGCAGTCTCATGTCCCCTAGCAGGGCCTGGAAAACCTGGGAAAGAGTGGCGGGGTGAAGGGAGAGAGACCCAGGTCAGTGGGCAGCTTGGGCAAGGGCCTCAGGGTCTTCCCGTGGTGAGGGGCAGCCACCAGGGCAGAGGGCAATCTGTAGGAAGCTAGGTAAGCAGAAAAAGGCCATGGTCAGCTTTTGCTCAGTAACCATGATGTCACAAATGCAACAGCCAAAAAGTGTTCTGCCCACCTAGCCTCCGTGGAATTGGGTGCATTTCCACGCACATTTCTAGGGACTAAATGGACCTTCCATGGTGAAGAGGAAGGAACTTGTGTCTAATGCCTGGTCCAGGACTACAAAATAAAAAAAAACTTAAAGCAATTAGGGTTTCAGTGGGCATGAGAATGGTTGGAAACCCTGGAGATCTTGGGCTGAATGAGGACTGATAGATCATCTCATCATCATCATCATCATCATCATTATTGATTATCAATGTCATCATCATTGTCAATGATTATTAATGTCATTATCATTGTCAATGATTATCAATGTCATCATTATCAATGATTATCCATGTCATCATTATCATCGATGGCATCATTGTCAGTAATGATCAATGTCATCATCATTTGCTGTGGCCCACATGCCACGTGCTTTCCAGGCATGCTCTCTTGCCTCCCCACAGCAGCGCCATTCTGCAGGCAGGAAGCTAGAACAGCAAGGCATCCCACAGCTGTTTTAGGAATGAGTGTCACCTGCTCTCAGGCTGTCTCTTGGCACAGCCTCCAAACCACCCCAAGGGATAGAGATTTATCTGCTTATTACCAAGGAAATCCCCCAGCTTCCTCACAACATATTGCTCTGTTCAACCCACCCCAGGACTCTCTAAGCCTGGACGTGACGCCAGGGGGTGCCCAGTGTGAAGGCACCCACGCTCGGATGATTCTGGGGTCATTTTCCTGAAGAGCAGCCCCTACCCAGCGACGTCTCGGAATCAACCCCCACCTCACTTCGGCCAGCCCCACCTCATCTGGCCTTCCCCAGCCTCCCTCACCGTCTTCAGCAAAACCCTACCCCCTGCCTCACCTCCCCAGCCTGCCCTGGGGGGCCGCTCTCTCCCACTCCTTCCTTATTAGCGTGTATGAAAAGAAAAGGAATTTCTTTTGCAGTTTATCCTCTGAACAGCCTCCGAAAAGAGTTGAAGGACACGCTGCAAAGTGTGAAAAAAACAGGGCCTGAGCTTGCCAAGAGGGCCAAGTGGTTACTTTAATCATGTGGAACAGCCACTTTTTCATGGAAAATTTTCTACTCCAACACCTGTGGCCATTAAAGGCGCCCTCGGCTCTTTTCT